>NW_018654717.1:2748556-3050137 GCF_000001405.40 Homo sapiens
GTAGCAATGGGTCTTTTCTCATTTTTGACCTCAGCTTCCAAGTACACCTGAGCTCCCCAAATGCACATCAGAATTAAACCTGCAAAAAGTTCTGAATTCAAGAGATGAAGGTGAGGAAAGAAAACTATAGGATAAGATGAGTCCATTCCCTCCTGGGTCAAGAACTCTTCACCCCTACTATGAAGCTAGATGGTGCCCACTGCATCCTGGTCTGAGCAGCTGTTCTGGGTCAGGCCATGTGGCAGCAGCTGAGGCCGCACAGTTGAAAGCACTGCCCCTTCCTGTCCCCACTTCAGTGCACACCTGCCGTGTGCACCACCTCTTACTCCCCAGGGGTTCGTTGGTCACAGGTACTGCCCTCCTGATGGATAAGTGACAGAATAGAATAGCAGTCCTACTCCATGCACCCAGGGGTCACAGTGACAGCACCGAACCCAGAGGGTGGCTGAGGAAATGGAGAGATGCAGAGAAGTGGCCTGGACAGCAAGTGCCATGTGAGGTCCTGGGCCGGGGACAGTAGCACTGAGAGGCTTCTCCCGGAGGTAGGGCTTGGGCTAGGATGGCTAGTGGTTACGAGCTGGGGCTAGGGGGCTGAGGGGACCTTAGGATGCGGTGAGTCCAATCACGAGAAACCACAGACAGGTTACACAGCATGCACATGTGTGCATGTGTGCACACGTGCATATGTGTTTATGTGCATGCATTGGGGGGACGGAATGGTCTCTGGGTAGTTGGCGTGGGGCAGAGAGGGAGCTGAGAGTGACAGAAATGCTGCCCAGTTGAGGAGGGGACTCTGATGTCCCCCAGGCCGGAGACCTGAGAGGCGCACATTTGGAAGGTGTGAGTGTGTTGGTAGAGTGGCCAACACTGGGAGGAGGAAGCGTGGGACCTCCTCAGGGTCTATCAGAAAAATAACGTGGAGCTTTGGCCAATGAGGGGCAGGCCCGCGAGGTCCTGCCTGTGGCCTTGTGAAGATGGGGCTTCAGCCAGCCCAGCCGCCAGCTCAAGGCCTGTCCCTGGGTTGAAGGCCACGCAGCCACCAGGTCCCCCAAACACAGACCCAGAAAGGAGTGGCTGAGAGTCGGAGAGAGGTGAGGGTCACTATCGGTCGGGCTTGTTTCTTGTAGGGGACGTGGCTGTGTGTGGCAGAGAGAGCCCAGGACTATCAGGATGCCTGGGTTCCTGAGGGAGGGCATTCAGGCCAGCATGAGGAGTCTGGCCTTCTCTCTTCCAGATGTTTCTGCCTGAGGCCACACACTTCTCCAGCCAGAATGGCCTTCCTTACTACGCCTGGCTTCTCATGCCAGCTCTGTCCCCAACCAGCATGGTGACCCAGGGTGCCTATGTCTCTGGAGGACTCAGACGCCCCTTCTCCGCTCTGGGAGCCAAGGATTCGAGAGGCCCATGCTGTGGTTAGCAGCCACAGCACCAGTGCCAAGACGAGAAAGGAGGACTTCTCACCATACCCAGAAACCCTCGGTGTCTAGGGCTGTGACAGTCAGCCACTGAAGCCCCGTCGCTGTTTCCCAATTCTCATGCCATAGAAGCACAGGACTTTGCCACCAGGAGGGCCACACGCCTGCTGCGTCTTAGCTCTGCCATGCTGTCTCTCCGTGTCACTGCAGCTTGTGTAGTGCAGCGCTCTCATTCGAGAGAGAACAGCATAGAGGCCCAGAGAGGTTGTGTCCCTGCCTAAGGTCACACAGCAAGTCAGTGCCAAGCTAGGCGTAGGAACCGGGTTCTCTGATTTGCAGGCTCCATGGGCCTGAGAGAGTAAGCATCAGATCGCCACCTTCCTGCACAGGGGTGGGCACAGGGCCGGGGTGGGGAGGGCAGCGTTCTGGCCTAATTAAGACGCTGTCGAAGAGCGGGAATGTGAGAGGCCCTGCTCGGAGATTAGTGCCCCTCCATAGATCATAGGCACGGCAAGGACATAATAAATAATCTGCCCAAAGGTTTTAAAGGTAAAAATCAGCAAACCATTAATAACGTCCCCAGCACCATACATCACGCTGAAATCTTCCCATTACGCCGCTCCCTGAGCCGATGTGTGTTTTCTTTGCTGTCTTTTTTTTGGGGGGAGGGGTGCGGGGCAATTACAGTTGATTTTATTCTTTTTAAAAAACATTTTGCTTTAAGTTTTGGGAAATGTGCAGAACGTGCCGGTTTGTTGCGTAAGTACACATGTGCCATGGTGGTTTGCTGCACCTGTCAACCGAGGTTTTAAGCCCCACATGCATTAGGCATTTGTCCTAATGCTCTCCCTCCCCTTGCTCCCAACTCCCCAACAGGCCTCGGTGTGTGATGTTCCCTCCCTGTGCCTTTTTTCCCTCCCCTTTCTAGTGTGTTCCTCCGGAGCCTTGAAGCCCCTTCCACGCAGCCTGCTGAGCCCAAACGAGGATGCAAAGCCTTTCAGGGTTTACACCCGGTTTACACTCAGGCGTGGTGGCAGCCAGGGGGTGAGACGGGAGCTGCCCACTCCCTCTCTCAGCACTCTAGGCTCTGCTTCCACATGTCCTTCCAGGAAACAGGGTGGAGTCTCAACCACCCCCTGCATCCCAGCTCTAAGCAGTCACAGCTCTGCTGCTTCTCAGAAACAGAAGACGTTTAATTAATTAATGCAACAGGGCCCCGTTAAATAACAGAAGTGCTGATGGTGCGTTTTCCATCCCTGGCTTGCCTTCCCTCAGTCGGGAGCCCCAAGGCAGGAGCCCCGAGGCAGCCAGCAGGCACTGGGGTCCTGGTTCCCCACATTTGGGGGTCTGGATGCATTTATTTAGCATTTGCGGGTGAGCTGTGGTGTGCAGCAAATCAAGAGCTGGGGAAGGAGTGAGGAAGATCAAGGAGAGAGCAGCTAGAACAGTGGCCCAGGCTGGGCCAGTCCCATCCTGGCAGGTAGCACTATGAGCGGGTGACTTGCCCTGGGGTGCAGGGAGGCACGGGGTTGTGGCAGCGCAGGAGCAGAACCAGGGGCTGTGCCGGGGTGTCCTCTCCAGCACAGGGGGTGAGACCTTGACCGAGCCACACCCTTTTGACCTGAACCTCCTCAGCGGCACAGCAGGTGACTTATTCGACGATTCTGTGAAGTTCTTTGCGGGTCCCAGGCCTCGCTCCTTCATTAATTCCTTGAAGGAGACGTGGATTGAGAAGCTCCTAACACTGCCGCGGTGAAAGTGGTCTCTGGAACGAAGAATCGAGACTGAAGACAGAAGAATTCCGTACTCACCAGTTGTTGGCTTCTGGGAAGACCCCCTAGGGGACCGTTATAGGGGGACCCTCCTGGCCACTTGGAGAGGCGTGTTCTGGTGTCAGCTCTTTGGTAATAAGCTGGATGACCTTGAACGCTGAGCCAGCTCCTTCACTCTTCTGGGCCTGTTTCCTCACCTACGACATTGCTAAAGTCCTTTTCCACTCTGAAACACGGGGCTGAGTCACCCCTAAATTTCCATGACACTCCCTGGAGTAGAACCAAAGCCATGTGCTGGACTCGAGTAGTTCTGGTTTAGAGCCTGGGGTCCACCAGACTCAGCCTTTTTTTTCTTTTTGTTTTTTGAGACAGAGTCTCACTCTGTCACCCAGACGAGTTCAGTGGCACGTTTACAGCTCAGTGCAGCCTTTACCTCCCAGGCTCAGGTGATCCTCCCACTTTAGCCTCCCAAGTACCTGGGACTACAGGTGTGCACCAGCACTCCTGGCTAATTATTTTGCTTTTTTTGGTAGAGATGCAGTCTCGCCATGTTGCTCAGGGTGGTCTTGAACCTCTGGGCTCAGGCCCTCCTCGGCCTCCCAAAGTTCTGGGATTACAGGTATGAGCCACTGGCACCCAGCCCCTGCCTCAGGCTTTTTCAACCATGGCTAAGACATGAACTTCTCCACGGCTCAGGGTTCCATTGCCCTCCCCTCCCCAGCCCCACAGAGATAGATCAGAGGAACGCAGCAGACGACACCTCACGGGTGAGTTGCCCTGTACATTTTACAAAGCCCACCTGGGTTTCCTCTGTCCCTCAGCATGACCCATGAAGAGTCAAGGCCAGGCTTGCTAGACCCACCCATCTGGACAGATGAGAAAACTGATGCAGAAAGATCAGCGGGAGACTTGGAGAGCTCCTCCAAGGGAAGGGTCTCTTGTGGGGAGAATCTGGAGACCGGCAGAGCATGAGTCAGCAGAGACGGGGGTGTGGGCTTCTCTCTCCCCTGGCAGGCATCCCTGAAAGCCCACATCCTCCGGAGGCTGGTGGAACTTCCAGAACCAGATCATCCAGCCAGCCATTGTCCTGCCTCGATCTAGCCCGGGGTCCCCAGTAGCACATCTGTAGGTCCTAAAGGTGCAGCGTGTGGACCCCATCACGCCTTCTTCCGTGCCTGCAGTTTGCCCCTCTGCCACTCTCTGCTCATGAAGAGCATGAATCAGGGCAAGTTCCCGATGTCTCTGCACCTCAGTTTACACGTTCGCCTCCCACATACCTTGGTGGTTGTGGGAATTCAGGTGGTACAGACACATCATCGTGAATGTTTAATAAGTTAGTTATTGTGACAGGCTGACATTGGCTTCAACGGTTTTGAATGCTGCTGCTGCTCAGCCAGGAGCAAGAAAGCACATTCACACTGGGGTGGGGGTGGAGTAAATGGGGAAAGGCTCCTTGAAGAAAGAGGAGAGCTGGGGTGGGGGAGATCCCAGGGCAGGGAAAAGAAGTGTCCACCGTGCAGAGGCCTGGAAGACGGCCAGGGTCCAGCCTGGCCAGAGCTCAGGCGTCGGGGGAGAGGGAGGCATTTTGGCTTATGCCTGGCTCCTGGAAGCCAGGCCTCACTCCCTGCCCAGACACTAATTCTGATGATGTAAACCACTTTGCCACCCTGCTGTCCTGAGATTCTCTGGCTTCACCACCTCCCCCCTGCCACCCTACTCCCTGTCACTGTGACAGGCCCTCGGTCCCTCTCAGGCCCTGATGGATGGCCCCCATGCTGGGTGTCATACATCTCCGTCTTCCCTAGAAGCTGTGACACAAGTAATTGGTGTCACCACTGTTGATTGCAAGCCAAGTGCTGACAAAACAGACCACAATAGGAGCTCTGGAGCAACAGCCTTGATTGTGTTGGGGAGGGCCCTGCTGGGGACCCAGTCCAGTGTGGTTCCCCTGCGTATGTGAGGGAGAGGCAGTGGCCCGTTGGACCACGGCAGCAAATGCAAAGGTCTCCTGGTCCCCACCCGGAGAAGGTGCTAGAATCCCTCTGAACTGCACAGCTCCATGCTGGGGACCCACCATTGGCCCCAGGGCAGCACCTGGCGTAGAACATGCACCTGCCCAACCTGGGCAGTGGCGTGTGGGCCCCCTAGGGGTGGAGTCGGAGGCCTCAAGAGCTGCCCTCCCTGGCTCCTACCAGCTGAGCCTGCTGTTCCCCGTCACAGCTGATGCTTTGAGGTGACTGCAGGTGTCCGCCAGGGGAGGTGCTGGGGGCTGGGCTCGGCGGGTGACCCACCACATGACAAGGTGCACTCTCATCAGGCCAGGTCTTGGCCTCCTGCTGTCCAGGGTGGAGAGGGGCTGGATGGCCTCTCAGATGTCTTGCCTTTCACAAGAGGGCGGCAGCCCCACCCAGAGCACAGGGCTCAGCAGGGAGGTCAGCAAGGAACCAGGAGCATGCACGGCCAGAGGAACGGCTCCAGCTCTGACTACCTGACACCTAGCCAGGGCCCACTGAGGAATGGGCAGGCTGAGGACTGCGGGGGCCTCTCTATACGCAGGCAGTCTGCCCCTACCTGAAGCCACACAGCAGAGGGCTGGACACGTGGATGGTAGACAGTGGCCTCTGTCTCTGTTCCTGACCGGCCGTCCCTGTGCTGCCCCTGCCTATCATTGAGAGAATCTCCCAGAGACAGCCCTGGGAGGGGCAGGCTGTGGTCACAGTGAGACCCCGGGGTAGGAGTCCATGGATTTACACCACGTCCTCTGCAGGAAGACCTTGCCTGAGAAGTTCCTTTGGTTTTAGTATCAGAAAAGAACACCTGGGCTTCCTCCTCCACGTGACGGGCCGTGGTGTTTCTTTCTTGCTATGTTAGCGGCTGACCTGGCCATACTGGCTTCATGGTGTGACCTTCGTGGATTTGGCCTCACTCCTGGCTCCATTTTACCTTTCTTCCGTGTTTCTTTTCCCCTCAATTTTGTTCCTTATTAATGTATTTTATCCCGTTATACTGTTTGCATCTTATAGGTTGCTCTAAGGCCTTTTCAGTATAAGGTGGAGCTGGGGAGTGAACCCACAGACGTGGTCTCAACCCCAGCCCTGTGAATGCTGCAGAGGAAAGGGGCTTAGCCTTCGCTCCCTGGGCACCCCCGGTGAGGATTCCCGTTCCGGCTGGGAGGGTGGGATTATAGATGCCACTCACAGGCAGAGGCAGCTGCTCTTGGGGACCATTTCAGCAGCTCCCACAAGGCACGTGGCCATCTCCACAATATGGTCCGATGTTGGGCCAAGCCTCGAGGTATTTTGTTTCCCTGCTGCCCCAGTGGCCAGCCTACCTGAGTGACGGGCAGGCCCACCTGGGTGTCCTGTGCTGGACACAGATGCACTCACGGGCTCGGGGTGAGAAGGCCTCCTGCTGGGTGTTGGAGGGACAGGAGAGCGACAGAGTGAGAGGTTCCTGGATCCCCTGCGATCAGAACTGTGGCCATCCTGGGAGCCGCTCGATTCTCACTCTGACAGGTGACCTGCCCTCCTGCACATGGAGGGCAGGAAGGACCCATCTCAGGGGCAGGAGTCCCTGTCTCCACCTGCCCAACCCACAGGGATGTGTGGCTGCCTCCCTGGGGAGTGGAGCCTGTGGCGTCCCCCAAGTGCCCGCCGCAGCGCAGTCTCCAGCCTGGCCCCTGGGACCCGCGAGTCCTTCCTCGCTCCCGCTGGCCTGGGAGAGTCCTGCCGCCGGCTCATTGTCCTGCTTCTGCCACTTTTCCTCTGCAGCATTGTTCCCGTTATCAGCATCCTACACCCTGCAGCGGCTGTACAGGAAAGCCAGGCTGCCGCTGAGGCTGCCGCTGGGGCTGTCGCCGAGGCTGCACGGACGGCCCAGGTGTCCTGCTGGCAGGGGCAGAGGCACAGGCGGTCTCACAGGCCTTTCCCCGAGTCCCGGCCGTCTGGTGTGCTGGGCAGAGGGGTACCGAACACATGTCTGTGCTCTCTGTGTGGAATCCTGGTCTCGGTGCTCAGGGTGGGGGAAAGGAGACTCCAGCCCAGGCACCCACTTTGCCGCTATGATGTTGGGAGGCGTATGCTGTGCCCCCAAGTGTGTCTGTTGAGTTGAGGCCCTGCACAGGTTGGAATCTCTGTGCCTCAGTTTCCCTCTCTGTTAAGCACAGGCCTATTGCTTTATTGAAAGGACCAAAGAAAGTCGAGGAAATGCGAGTCTTTGTGGACTGTCCATCAGACAAGAAGAGGTTAGGGTGGCTCGGTTCGAGTGGTCTGTAGCATCCACTATTCCTTGCCCTTTCTGAAGTGAGGGGTTTAGATTGGAGCGGGCCTGGTATGGAAGCTCCTCCAAGGAGTTTTGGGGAGAAGGGGCTGGTGTAAGGGAGAAGGAACCCCACTTTTGGTCTGTGCTGGACTAGAATATTCTAGGAACCTCACTAAGAGAGTGGTAATGACTTAGCAGATAAAAAATACAAGACACCTAGTTAAATTTGAATTTCCAGATAAACAAAGACCACTTTTAAAAATATATGCACATTCTGCGCAATATTTGGCGCAGGCTTACTAACAAATTGTTCTTTATCTGGAATTCAAATTTAATTGGGAGTTCTGTATTTTCTTGGGTAACCCTATTCTAAGACCCCCGTGTAGGGTCTGGAATGCTGCAGGGAGGTCTTTGGGATGTTCTGGCCGAAGGAGGTGGGCGGGGGGTCTGTTCCTCCCTGGAGTTTCTCCCCAGCATCCTTCCCTGAGCTTTTTAGGGGAGACCTGAGGGCCAGGCTGGCTCTCCAGGGCTCAGGGGATGATCCGAGTCTGACGCCCCCGGCGCAGCCTGGCTCAGACGTTCGGGCCCAGGAACCTCTGCTGTCGTCTTAGATGGGGCCACTTTGTCAGGGGGCGTGGGTGCAGTAGGGAAAGCCGCCTGGTGGCCCCGCTGGTCCGGGACAGATCCTTGGAGCCTTCTCCAGCTCTGTCCCTGCAGGCGGCTGTGTGTCGCCCTCTGCTGGCAAGTGCGGATACGACAGGGCTTTGTGCGCCCAGGATAACCTGGATGGCAGCTTTTCTGGGAAGAAAAATTCACCCTCATGAATCTTGGTTACTGAAAAAACCCATTTCTTTCCCTCTAGCCAAGCAGGAACTCGGAGATATCAAAATATAAAACCCTTTCATTTTGTGTTGCAGAAGGAGGAAACTCAGAATCTTCTAGAAACAAAAACGTACCCAACAGGCTGGGAAGTAAGGCCTCCCAGCCATTAGAAGGATGGAAGCACCGGGCAGGGATGGCCACACTGAGGGAACCTTCTGGCTCCTGGCGACCCAGTTTGGCAGGGCAGGACGCCCTCTCCCGAGACCTTCAAGTGACCAGCGATCTCAGGACGAAGCTCCTCACACCCTGCCCGGCAGGCCCGACGGCACCATCCCTGCAAAGAAGTCGGGGGGTGAGCGTGGCGTGCGAGGAGAGGGGCCGGCGACACCAGCCAGAGAACACGTTCCCCTCTTGCGCTGAACGCCAGAATGGGAGACACTTCACCATCAAGACAGCCACAATCTGGATTTGGCGTGGTGGCTCACGCCTGTAATCCCAGCACTTTGGGAGGCCGAGGCGGGAGGATCACCTGTGGTCAGGAGTTCGAGACCAGACTGGCCAACATGGGGAAACCCTGTCTCTACTAAAAATACAAAAATCAGCGGGTCATGGTGGCTGAGTAATCCCAGATACTCAGAAGGCTGAGGCAGGAGAATCTCTCCAACCCGGGAGGCAGAGGTTGCAGTGAGCGGAGATTGTGCCACTGCACTCCAGTCTGGGTGACAAAGTTAAGACTCCATCTCAAAAAATAACCAAAACAAACAAACAAACAAAAAGACAGCAGCAATCTGAATGGGAAAATGGGCCAGTTGTCAGCATGAGCCGTGCAACTGAAAGGATGGGCTACACACATAGGGCAGACCCAGGGTTTGTGGCGGCCAACAACCTCGACACTGGCAGAAGCAGAGTCCAAGACAGTGAATGCATAATTAGGCTCAGAAGTTCATATTGACTGGGCATGAGGAAGTTAATCACAACAAATAACAGATTTTAAAATAGGCTTTATATTTTAGAGCAGTTTTAGGTTCACAGTAAAATTGAGCAGAAGGTCCTGAGAATCTCCATATATGCCCCGACCCACACACACAGCCTCCCCCACTATCATCACCATCCCCCCACCCCAGAGTGGTGCATTTGTTACAATCGATGAACCTACATTGACACGTCATCATCACCCAGAGTCCATATGTTATATTAGGGTTCATCCTTGGTGTTGAACATTCTGTGAATTTTGGCAAATGTGTAATAACCTGTACCCACCATTACATTATCATACAGAGGAGTTTCACCGCCGTAAAAATCCTCTGTGCTCAGCGTGTTCATCCCTGCCTCCCCACAACCCCGGGCAACCACTGAGCTTTATACTGTCTCTATAGTTTTGCCCAAATAGTGCACTTTTCAAAAGCTAAAAATCTCCACAAATATCACAAAACCAGAAAAATGATCCTTACAAGCTTCTGGGTCTGTACATTTCAAATCTTCTTTCTCTTCCACTGGATACGCACGGAAGCCCTAAGACATGTTCCCGCAGAGGTCCCGTGACCAGCCTTGTATCTTCACCTTGTGGCACTGGTGGGTCCCCAGAGAGTGCCTGCAGGCCATGTCTACACCAGGACAGTTATCGACGCTTACATTCTACGGAAATGACTGAGATAGATTAGATAGCTAGAGAGATGGTTAGATCGATAGAAAGGTGGATTGATGATGGATACATGAATAGATAGATGGATGGATGGATGGATGGATGGTCAGATTAGATCCCATTAAAGCTGCCTAAATAAGTCTTCAACTCAACATCCCCTTAGCCAGATTTCAAAAATGTCCTTGGCCACTCCAATGCCACCCAATAGGACAAGTACAACGGAAGGAAAGTCAGAGGGAAAACAAACAACAGTCTTCACCAATTTGTGATGAAATTTACTTTTGCAAATTTCATGAACAAATGGCTGTGGGAACACGTTGCGAGAGTGCTTTGAGGCTTCACCTCTGCTAGCTTTACCCACAAAGCTCCCACACTATACCTTACACTAAGGCCAAACCTCAACACAAATAATGTTAACATTAGCCACAAAAAAAATGGCTAATATTGAAAGAATTATCAGTATTTCAAGTGTTTTAGGGACATTTTTCCTAGAAGCATAGCCTGGTAAGAGTGACTCTGATTTTTGCATGTGTTTATAGAAACCAGGCTTCCTACTTGTAAGCCCAATAAAAAATCAAATGCTCTTTATTCACCGTTTACAAGATCAAGCTTTATCCTGAACTCTCAGACAATGTTACATTGAATCTTCCAATGTTTAAATTAGGCCCAATTTGTCCTGTTCCAACCCTACCCTGTCCTCCACCCTAGAGACATTAACATGGTAGCGAATGCCCGGTAAACAAGAATAATAGAGGGAAGGCATTTTGGGGAAGTAATCTGATCTGCTGCAATGTGAACCTGAGGTTCAAAGTCAGTGGAACAGAACGGGAGGAAATGGAACACAATGGGTGCAGGTTGGTTGAAGGGTTTCTCGATAGGGAGGATCTGCTGTACCCACACTGAGTTCCTGAATAAGGCAGGAGAGGTCTTTGTGAACGTACAGCCTTCTCATCTATTGGGCTGGGTGGACTTGGTTTGGGAGAGAATGGGCAGCTGGTCAGATGACCACTCTTAAGATGTCAGAATGCTAACTTTCTCTTGGCCTAGGTTCATGCCTGGATTTTAAGTAAACAATGCCCTCTACTGCTAAACAGCTAGCATGACAGCTGGGAGGGCTGCACAGCTTTCCCATGGGAGCTCTGTCTGCAGGGAACCCTCCAAAGCAAGTGGAGCAAGGTGCACATGAGAGTTTGATCCTTAAGACACGGACCACCTTCAGCAAAAGCAGAGATTTCCATCTCAGCAACGTATTTAGTGTGAAGCATCGGGGTGAGGTTTGACTACATGGCTCTTAGAACTGTGTCAGCACTAGGATACAGGACTATCTAGATTTGGTTGGATAATTTAAAAAGCAAAGCAAAACACTTTTTCTGCCTGTTTAGATCCAATGGATTGGCTGGCATATATATCTCCCCAGGTCAGGTCTTTGCAAACAGAATGGGAGGCTTTGTCAATTCGGAGCTTATTCTAAGAAACAAGATTCAAGCACACCTATCTCTCCAGGACCTCCAATTTTACCTAATTTAAGAGAGGTGAAGGCATGGACATCTGTGCTTTATGTAACTTGAATGTTTCCCTGGGAAACCTGAATATTCTTTGAAAGACGCTTGGAGCTACAATGTACATGGTAATTTAAAATAACCCGGGCTCAGTCATTGGTGACAAAGGCCCTGTGTCCATGTTCTCTGGCTTCCTTGGTTCCCTGGGTGGCAGAGCTGTCACTCCCTTCTTAGCTGGGCTTTTCAGATGAATGCTACCTCTCTCTTTGACCCCTCCCTGTAGGCTGAGGGAGGAGGCCAGCCTCCTTTGACCTCAAGGACTTTGCTTGACTTGCTCAACCTCACTCTTCCGTCCTGCAAAATGGATTGAACTAGATGATGGCTGTAGTATCTTCCAGCTCCCTCTGAGAACCAACAGTCCCACTTCTGTCACCACCAGGCTTCCACTGGGCTCCTTCTGGGTAGACGAGTCACCTCACTGTGAAGGGGAGAAAGGGTCCTAGTAGTGGACGTCTAATGCCAGGTGGCCTCTGCAACCTGGGACCCTACTTCTCTCTGTACAATCTGTGTGTTAACATCCGAGTAGAGTAGCTCTCTCCTCCTCCCCATATGAGAATGAATGGTGTTAAGGAATGGCCTTCATGCTCTGTGGAAGGCAGGCACATCTCACACCTCCACTTAATCACTGTGGATGAGTTGACAAGTTGTTCCAGTGGCTTAAATGGTTACATCAGGCAAAAATGCCAAAACTCACCTGGGTTTACATTTTCAAGTCTTAAAAGTAGCAGGGAGTCATACCCCAAGAATTCAGGCTTGTTGTCTTTTCTTTCTTTCTTTTTCTTTTTTTTTTTAGACGGAGTTTCGCTCTGTTGGCCAGGCTGGAGTGCAGTGGTGTGATCTCAGCTCACTGCAATCTCTGCCTTCCTAGGTTCAAGCAATTATCTGCCTCAGCCTCCCAAGTAGCTGGGATTACAGGTGCTCACCACCACACCTGGCTAATTTTTTATTTGTTTAGTAGAGACAGGGTTTCACCATGTTGGCCAGGCTGATCTTGAACTCCTGACCTCAAGATCCACCGGCCTCAGCCTCCCAAAGTGCTGGGATTACAGGCATGAGCCACTGCGCCCGGCCCAGGCTTATTTTCTATCTAGACTTGCACCCCAACGGACTGCACACTCAGAAGCATCTTTAGGCATTCAGGTTGTTAGGCAATTGGGTGCCTGCCCTGTGCCAGGTACTAGGCTGGGAGGCCTGTGCCCGCCAGGAGCGCCTGGCCAACTCTAGTTACCCACCCCCCGGGGGCACCAAGCCTCTGTCCTGAAGGAAACAGCTCCCCACAGAGATCAGACTCCTCCAGTCGTGCTCCTTTTGTTTCTCCTCTAAGCTCCTTGGCAGCTGAGGATGGGAGGAGAGAGCCAGATAAAATCAAAAAGGAATCCATGCGATTTAACCAGGTGCCTGGAGAGCTTCTGGGAAACTCCCAGGGGCATGGAACCACCCAGAAGGTAATAAATAATAGTGACAGAAACCAGCGCCGAATGTCTCCCCTTTCATCTTCTGTTTCCTCCATAGGGTCTTGGCGCCTGGGTTCAACGCTGACTTGGGAGTTTTGTTCTACTGTTTGACTGTGCCTCGGTATGAAAACAAAAGCTTTAACTTCCTCTGACTGCACGGCGACCCTGGGTCCGGCGACACTGGGAGGACCGAGGAGAGACTCCCCAGGGGCAGGGTCCTGCTCATCCCCACTCCCTCCCACCCTAGCAGGTCTCTGTCTGGGGAATCATGGCACCCTGATCTATGCTCAAGTTCAAGTGGAGAACTTGGAAGGTGACAAGCCAGGCTTCATATCTTGTTAAACCCACATGTGCATGCGCGAACACACACACACACACACACACACACGTGCACACACAGCCACACACACCCCTCTCACTGTAAATACAGGATTCAGCCTATAAAAGAAACAATGAGAGCTGGATTCAATGAGGTTCCCCCAGCAAATGGAGTGTTTAGGGTTTTGTTGGAACTCTATTGTGTAGACCAGAGTTCCTTAATACAGTGAGACAGTGAGCAGCTTCCTGTTATGGAAACAGTCAAACCCTGACATTCAGCAAGTCAATCTATAGAGCAACTGGATAAACAACCAAGATAATCATCAGCCATCATCGGCACAATAGCCAAAATGGCATTGCTTGGGGACAAGGGGCTGGCTCAGACCCAAACAATTCAGATGAATACAAGCCATCTCCTGGCCAACAGGACCATTCATTGTGCCCGGGATTGTGCACGCCGCCCTGTATGCCGGGCCGGGAGTGTGCATGCCCAGATCCAGATGCTGTTTATAGGTCTGCTCCCCGGGAGCCGTGTGTCTGGCTCTCTGGGTGACCTTCTGAAGGCCTGTGTAGGGCACTGGGTCGGGACAGGTGTCCCATCTTTGCCAGCACTGACATTGGAGACAAGACTCTAGATCCCGTCAGCTGTGGGGTAAAAGCTTGGCCAAGCCAGGCCTTGAATGCAGTTCTTAGCTTCCCCGCCTGCAGAAGGAGCCTAACGATGTGTCCAACTCTTCTGCTTTCTTTCCTCTGAGGGCTGCACACGTAGCTGCGCCTTTGACTAGAGAAGAAGGGACGGCCGGGGAGGCTTTATTTTAGGAAGTGTCTGAACTCTGGACTTGGCCCTTTCACAGTTGCTAGGCTTGTTACTGGAAAGGGGTCTGGATCCAGACCCCAAGAGAGGGTTCTTGGATCTCATGCAAGAAAGAATTCAGGGCAAGTCCACACAGTGAAGTGAAAGCAAGTTGATTAAGAAAGTAAAGGAATGAAAGAATGGCTACTCCATAGACAGAGCAGCCCCCAGGACTTCTGGTTGCCCATTTTATGGTTATTTCTTGATGATATGCTAAACAAGGGGTGGATTATTCATGCCTCCCTTTTTTAGACCATGTAGGGTAACTTCCCAATGTTGCCATGGCATTTGTAAACTCTCATGGAGCTGGTGGGAGTGTAGCAGTGAGGACGACCACAGGTCGCTCTCGTGGCCATCTTGGTTTTGGTGGGTTTTGGCCCACTCCTCCACTGCAAACTGTCTTATCAGCAAGGTCTTTGTGACCTGTATCTTGTGCCAACCACCTATCTCATCCTGTGACTAAGAATGCCTTAACCTCCTGGGAATGCAGCCCGGTAGGTCTCAGCCTCATTTTACCCAGCCTCTATTCAAGATGGAGTTGCTCTGGTTCAAATGCCTGTGACAGGCTGAACGCAGTGAGACGCTGTCTGACACTGAGAGAGTCCTGGTCCCTGATAAGTCCTTACTCAACTCATGTCCAGCTGGTTATCCTGCCCTTGACATCTGATTCACACCGAGAATGACACAAGCCCTCTACCTCAGTGGCATCACCGATCACCCATGTGTTCTGGCCTGGAGGGTCCAAGAAGGTCTTACAACCCTCTAATCTTTTCTGTAGCTACCAACGTCTGTCTGAAAGCAAGTGGCCAGCATTTGACTCTTTGGGTTACCAAAGGTTGGCGTGCATTGCAAGTTGGGGCATAGTGTCAGGAAAGCCCTGTTGGGGTGGACGTAAGCCTGTGAGGGAGATGTAGGGCCTCACTCTCTTTGTTTGGGAAAACAGAGCAGGTGTCAGACAGGGCCTGGGGAGTCAGAGGGCCTGGATAGGACACTGTAGGGGCAGGAGGGACAGAGGAGGCTGGCCTGGGGTCTGGGGAACTCTTGGAATTATTCAGGGGACAGAGGGGAGAATCAATCCGTGAGTGCTTGTCTGTAACATTAAATTCTGAAATCTAACACAAAAGAGTGGACTAATATATTTTTTTTCCAGGTATAAACACTACTTTACTCAGTCTCTATTTTTCTTCTACACATGATGGATGCCATTCCAATTATGAAACAAACAAAACTGTCAATATATAAGGCAATCAACAGAACCAGACTCAGAGATGGTCCAGATATTGCAGCTATTATACAGCAACTTTAAACATAACTATAATTACTATATTAAAAGATATACCAGAAAAGATAAGCAACATATATGACAGTGAATTTCAGCAGAGAGAAAGTACAAAAAGGAGTTAAATAAAATGCTCGAAATACAAACAAATCAGATACAAAGGATTAGTATTAGAAGCCCATGGATCCCTATCCAAAATTTAGTTCAGATGGGAGTGGACTAATAATACTTTATTTTGAGTGCTCAAGGGGCAGGGGTTCACTTTTCAGAGCTAGTATTGCATCTCAGAGACTACTCCAGGCTAAAGGCTGAGGCTCAGAGGGAGGGTGTGACTTGGCCGTGGTCACAGCATGAGTGTGACGGGTCAGAGGTGGGAGCCTGGACTTTCCCAGTCTGGCCTTCCTCCCTACACACCTCACAGCTCCCACCCCGCAGAGCCTGAGATGGCAGCAGATGTCCTGAGAGCTTCCCAGCTTCTCAACCCCAGAAAGAGGCCTGACCCAGCGCCCTGCTCAGGGAGTACTTGCATTCATCGTTCCCCGAATCCCCAGCCTACCTGCCTCCTAGGAGCTCACAGCACAGGGCCTCCCCGGCAACCTCTCAGCAGGGAGGAGGAAAGCAGGCTTGCTGGGTGCAGCACCCTTTCATCCCTGCCTGAGAACTAGGCTTCACCCGGGCCAGGAGAAGCCCGTGACCAGCCACCGGACCTCACCTGTGGCCACTCTGCCTTCCCTGACGTCCAAGGAGAGGAGGGAGACAATGGTGAATGCTAGCAAGGACGACACACACACAAAAAATCATATCCCAGGACACCAAACTCACTATGCCAAAGGGAAAAGTTCAGCTAGGAACTGAGTCACACAAAAACTATCCTCCTTTTGTTCCCAAACGCAAAGCTGTAATGGCACATTCTTACTTTACCTCATGTAAAATGTAGATTTACTTTCACATGTGAAATATGGATTGGCTGGGCACAGTGGCTCACGCTTGTAATCCTGGCACTTAGGGAGGCCGAGGTGGGTGGAGCACTTGAGGTCAGGAGTTCGAGACCAGCCTGGCCAACATGAGAAAACCCCGTCTCTACCAAAAAAATACAAAAATTAGCCAGGCGTGGCTGTGCATGCCTGTAGTCCTAGCTATTTGGGAGGCTGAGGCATGAGAATAGCTTGAACCCAGGAGGCGGAGGTTGCAGTGAGCTGGGATCACACCTGGCTAATTTTTCTATTTTTTGTAGAGACAAGGTCTTACTATGTTGCCCAGGCTGGTCTTGAACTCCTGGGCTCAACTGATCCTCCCACCTTGGCCTCCCAAAGTGCTGGGATTACAGTCATGAGTCAACACGCCCGGCCTATTTTGTATCCTTTAACAAATCTCCCCTTATTTCTCCCTTCACCTGCCCTTCCCAGCGTCTAGTATACTCTATTCTACTTTTTGCTTGTATGAGATCTTTTTTTTTTTTTAGCTTCCATATAGGAGTGAGAACATGTGCTGTTTAGCTTTGTTCCTATCTCCAGCCTGGGTGACAGAGGGAGACCCTCTCCCAAAAAAAAAAAATAGGATTCAGTGAGTGCTAACCAGAGCCTCAGGGGAAGGGAACCACTTGCTCATTTCCTACCCTCAGAATGTGCTTCTCCACCCCCTAGAACACTTTGGGGGTGCAGGCAGTCCCCCCCGGGAAAGACCTCGGTATTAACTGATAACATCAGCTCCCACTTGCCAAGTGCTAACTGCCTCGGAGCCCTCTGCTAACTCTAAGCACATTGCCCCACCTAATCCTCGCCCCCACCTCTCACATTAGGTCTCGTTATTTCAGCTTTCAGAGGAAGATGCGGTGCTTAGAAAGGCCGCCGGAGCTCAGCATTTTCCCCACACTTCTGCCTCACAACCATGTGAGGTGTTATTTCTACAGGATGGTTGGCAAAATTGGGATTCAAAAATCTTCAGCCACTGGCCCTTGCATGTGGTGGAGCTGGGATGAAAGTCCAGACCTGGGGACGTTGCTCCCTGGGTCCACTCTGTTGCTACTGGCAGGGTGGAGGGAAGGCTCACCATGGGAGCCCTGCAATGGCCTGCGGGCACTCCCATTGCTTCACTGAGTGGAGGAAAGGAGGTGAGGAGCTTGTCATTGCTTTCAAGGGACAATGAGGCACATCACATATGATGCATGAGACAATTAACTAGGGGGTCCCAAGACCTGGGAAGAGGTCTTGCTTCTGTTACTAGCTGTGTGTCATGGGCAAATAACTTAACCTCTCTTAGCCTCCTTTTCCTTTAACTCTAATTTGGTGTATTAGGCCATTCTTGCGTTGCTCTAAAGAAGTTTGGGAGGCTGGATAATTTATAAGAGGTTTAATTGGCTCACGGTTCTGCAGGCTGTACAGGACGCACAGTGGCATCTGCTTCTGGGGCAGCTTCAGGAAGCTTCCGGTCATGGTGGAAGGCAAAGGGGGAGCAGGTATGTTACATGGTGAGGGCGGGAGCAAGAGCAAGGGAGGGGGTGCCATACACTTTTAAATGACCAGATCTCATGTGAACTCAGAGGCAGAGCTGACTTATCACCAAGGGGATGGCCTAAGCCGTTCATGGGCGATCTATCTCATCATGCAAACACCTCCCATCAGGCCCGACCTCCAGCACTGGAGACTACAATTCAACCTGAGATTTGGGCAGGGACACACATTCAAACTATATTACTTTCTTCCCGGCAAGAAGCAGAGCGGGAAATGGTGAGCAAGTAACAATCAAGATGCTTGCAGATAGTGATAATGTGATAACTGATATGGAGGAGAGGAACAGATTTGGTAGGGGGATGGGAGAGAGAGAGGGAGGGGATCGCATCAGCCTGTCCCTGCTGAATCTGTCCCTCACCCCCACTCCCGCCAAGCTGGAGCCAGGACTGACCTTTCTCCCCTGTGCCTGAGTCATGGGTGATTTGCCTCCTCTTGTACCCTGGGCATGAAAATCTCCATCCTATGTTTCTTCCACCTGCCTCCCCCTTTCCCTGCCCGGAAGGCATGAAAGCAGTGGCCTTGCTGGTGGTCATATTCCAGTTCTCCTTCCAAGGGGATTCCTTTGCTACTGGGATAGAATTTTCAGCTCTGTGGACAGTTGTTTAGTGGCTGGCTCACTTACCTCACAGCCCTGGCTGTGACCGCAAGCAAAGTCCAGAAACCAGGTGCAAAACCACATCTGCATCAACACAAGGAAACGCCAGGCAGCCAGTTCTCCCCACCTCCCATTCCATACCCTCCCCCAAAATATGAAGATTAGAAAGCCATCTACAGCCAACACAGCGTACCCAAAGTGTGAATTCTAGGCCATGGGGAGCCTGGGAGGGATGGGGGGTGGGGCTGTCCTGGTTTGCACCTTTGGAACATTCTGGAAAGTAAGACTCAGAGCTCAACTTGGAAATTGCAAAAGTGTGAGGGGTGTGGTTCGGCAGTGGAATCGGTGGGGAGGTGCTGACCTGGGGATAGAAGGTGCGCTGGGCCCAGTGGGGGGCCGGGTGGGGGAAGGCTGGGTTGCTGCTATTGGATCTTCTGTTTCAGAGCAGGGTCTTGACCTGGAAGATGGCTGGGGTTTGCACAGCTGGAGCAGACGAGGAGAACCTTCTCCCAGGGGTGGCACCTGCCTCCTGCTCTCAGTTCTCTCTTCTTCCAGGTAAGAAGATGGTATTGTAGTAGCCTCCACTGGGTGGACTTCTGGAAGGCGCAAGCGGCCCCTGAAGGGCCCTGGAGCCATTTTAGAATCGCTCATAATAAAACTGGATGGAAACACAACAGAGTATGTAATTGAGTTCCTCGACTTCACAGATGAGGAGACCGAGGGCCGTTCAACTAAGATCACGCGGGTAGAAAGTGGCTGTCTTGTGGCTGTCCCGTGATTCAACATAGATTTTTGGCATCTAGTTTGGTGGCTTTTTTTTCTACCACACTTCTCATCTGCCTTACGCCCGGCAGCCCTGAGCCTGACACGCCTACAGACTGAAGGATGGAGGAGAGACAGGCTTGCATCCTGCAGAGTCTAGCAGAGGCCCTGGGTCACTTTGCTTCCCAGAGGCACATCCGATTTCCCATACTTGTTGTAAGAGAAACTAAAGTCGTCCAGTTCCAGTGGTGCTTCAGAGCCCAACAGACTCCCCCAGCGTGGCCAATATTCAGCTGGCCTGGGATCTTCTGGGCGGTGCCACTGTGCTAGGCTGCAGACCTGACTTTTTGGCCGAAAAGACAAAAGATGGTCTCTTCCACTCATTAGTTATGAGAGTTCTGACAACCCATGTAACTTCTATGAGCCCCCGTGTTCTTATCTGTACAATAATCTATACTCTTCTTACATCAATTAGTCGCTAGAACAAAAATAAAATGTCTGCTATGAAAAGTCCATAGCTCCGCATTCAGCCTGAACTGTTTATCTGTGTCTCCTCCTCCTGATCATGGCCTGGGGGAGCTGAACATGTGCATTATCTTGGATGTCATTACTCATAACTCTAATTAGTGATTACCAAAGGCCTCAGGGGACTAATAAGAATACCCATCAGATACTTGGACTGCCCAGAGTTGGAACTTGTATTCCCAACAACTTCCTCTTTTTGAACCAGCCTTATATACCTGGGATAAATTCCACTTGGTCTAGGTATATAATTCTTTTTGTCCAGTGTTGGATTTGATTTTCTGATATTTAATTAAGGATTTTTGCATCTATGTCCATGCAAATATTGGTCTGTAGTTTTCTTTTGTTTTGTAGTATCTTTCTGGTTTTGGTATTACGGTAACACTGATCTCATAGAATGCACCCAGGCTGGAGTGCAGTGGTATGATCTTGGCTCACTGCAACCCCCGCCTCCCAGGTTCAAGCAAATCTCCTGCCTCAACCTCCCAAGTAGCTGGAATTAAAGGCTCGTGCCACCATGCCTGGCTAATTTTTGTATTTTTTGTAGAGAAAGGGTTTTGTCATGTTGGCCAGGCTGGTCTTGAACTCCTGGCCTCAAGTGACCCGCCCACCTTGGCCTATAGGCATGAGCCACTGCACCCGGCCTCAGAACAGTTTCAGTGAGAGAATTGCTCTGCTCCCAGTAGTTTCTGTAAATACTGATTTCTTGACTTACAAACCTCTCCTGTAGGTGGAACCCAGAGAAGCTGGGCATGGAGGTGGTTATATTTAGGGCTCACAACTGGAGGTTCTACCACCAGCCCTGGTGATGCTACAACAGCTGGATCAGCACAGTGATCCTTGTAGAGGTATGCCTCCCAGACACTGCAGGCTCTGTTCCAGGCTCTGTTCCAGGCAGAGGCACGCCTCAGAGACACTGCAGGCTCCATTCCAGACCATGGCAATAAAGTGACTACCGAGCTAAAGCTACTCACACTAATTTTTGGTTTGTTTGTTTCCCAGCACATATAAAAGTTATGTTTCCAGCCAGGCGCGGTGGCTCATACTGTAATCCCAGCACTTTGGGAGGGTGAGGCGGGCAGATCACCTGAGGTCAGGAGTTTGAAAGCAGCCTAGCCAACATGGTGAAACCCAGTCGCTACTAAAAATACAAAAATTAGCTGGGCATGGTGGTGACACGCCTGTAATCTCAGCCACTCGGGAGGCTGAGGCTGGAGAATCACTTGAACCCAGGAGGCAGAGGTTGCAGTGAGCTGTGATCACGCCATTGCACTCCAGCCTGGGTGACAAGGGCAAAACTCTGTCTCAAAAAAAAAAAAAAAAAAAGTTATGTTCCATTGTAGTCTGTTAAGTGTGCAATAGTGTGCCACAAAAAGCCATGCATATACTTTCATGTGCGTCCGTGTGAAGAGACCACCAAACAGGCTTTGTGTGAGCAATAAAGCTGTTTATTTCACCTGGGTGCAGGTGGGCTGAGTCCGAAAAGAGAGTCAGCGAAGGGAGGTAGGGGTGGGGCCGTTTTATAGGATTTGGGTAGGTAAAGGAAAAAGGGGGGTTGTTCTCTGGCAGGCAGGAGTGGGGGTCACAAGGTACTCAGTGTGGGAGCTTTTGAGCCAGGAGAAGGAATTTCACAAGACAATGTCATCAGTTTAGGCAGGAACAGGCCATTTTTACTTCTTTTGTGGTGGAATGTCAACAGTTAAGGCAGGAACCGGCCATCTGGATGTGTACATGCAGGTCACAGGGGATATGATGGCTTAGCTTGGGCTCAGAGGCCTGACATTCCTGTCTTCTTATATTAATAAGAAAAATAAAACGAAATAGTGGTAAAGTGTTGGGGTGGCGAAAATTTTGGGGGGTGATAGGGAGAGATAACGGGCGATGTTTCTCAGGGCTGCTTCGAGCGGGATTAGGGGCGGCGTGGGAACCTACAGTCGGAGAGATAAGCTGAAGGAAGGTTTTGTGGTAAGGGGTGATATTGTGGGACTGTTAGAAGAAACATTTGTCATTTAGAATTATTGATGATGGCCTGGATACAGTTTTGGATGAATTGAGAAACTAAATGGAATAAGAGAAGGAGAAAAACAGGTATTAAAGGACTAAGAATTGGGAGGACCTAGGACATCTAACTAGAGAGTGCCTAAGGAGGTTCAGCATAGCCTTGCCGGAAAAGATTATTTATTTACTTTAAGAGTTAAGAGTGGAGGTTTGAGGGTAGCACCAGGAGATAACAGCTGCGATGGCTTGGAGAAACAGTGTAAACCGGCAGTGTAAACAAGAGCAGGGCGTGTATGAGTAGTTGAGAATGGTGAATAGGAGTATGGCTAGACAGAAGACAATAGGGATGACAAGTTTTTTGGGGCATAGTCCAAGTTGGTCTGTTGTCTGGAATGAGACTGGGGCCTAATAAAAAGGAGCATCTATAGGGGAGCTTAAATGGGCTGTACTTTGTAGCATTCTGAAGACAGGCCTGAATTCTGAGAAGGGAAAGTGGTAAAAGTATTGTCTATTCTTTTTTAAGTTGGTGGCTGAGGTGGGTGAGGTGTGTTTTTAAAAGACCTTTAGTCTGTTCTACTTTTCCTGAAGACTGAGGACTGTAAGGGATATAAAGGTTTCACTGAATACTAAGAGCCTGAAAAACTGCTGGGCTGATTGACTAATAAAGGCTGGTCTGTTATCAGACTATATAGAGGTGGGAAGGCTAAACTGAGGAATTATGTCTGATAGAAGGGAAGAAATGACTGCGGTGGCCTTCTCAGATCCTATAGGAAAGGCCTCTACGTATCTAGTGAACGTGTCTACTTAGACTAAGAGGTATTTTAGTTTTTGTGACGCGGGGCACGTTGAGTAAAGCTAATTTGCCAGTCCTGGGTGGGGGCAAATCTCTGAGCTTGATGTGTAGGGAAGGGAGGGGGCCTGAAGAATCCCTGAGGAGTAGTAGAATAGCAGATGGAACACTGAGAAGTTATTTCCTAGAGGATAGATTTCCAAGATGGAAAGGAAATGAGAGGTTCTAAGAGGCGGGCTAGTGGCTTATACTATAGCATAGCCTGCATTTGCTGGTGTGTGGCGATTAGGCTTGGTGGAACTGCCATCAATAAACTAAGTGTGGTCAGGGTGAGAAACAGGGAAGGAAATATGGGGAAATGGGGTGAACGTCAGGTGGATCAGAGAGACGCAGTCATGAGGGTCAGGTGTGGTATCAGGAATAATGTGGGAGGCCGGATTGAAGTACTGGCCGGGAACAATGGTAATTGTGGGAGACTCAACAAAGAGTGAGTACAGCTGAAGGAGCGAGGGAGCAGACAGTATATGCATCAGGTGTTTGGAAGAAAATAGATTTTGGAAATTATGAGAGCTGTAGAGAGTGAGTTGAGCACAGTTTGTGATTTTAACGGCCTCTAAAAGTATTATGGAGGCAGCAGCTGCTGCACGGAGACATGATGGCCAGCCTAAAACAGTAACGTCAAGTTGTTTGGACAAAAAGGCTACAGGACGCGATCCTGATCCTTGTGTAAGAATTCTGACTGCACAGCCCTGCACTTCACCTGTATGTAATGAAAAGGGTTGGGATGAGTCAGGGAGAGCTAGAGTGGGGGCAGTCTCTAAAGCTGTCTTCAAGGAATGGAAAGAGGAGTGGGGAAAAGATTTAGGATCTATGGGGTCAGCTAGGTTTCCTTTTGTGAGTTTATATAATGGTTTTGTTAGGATGGCAAAACCAGGTATCTAAAGGCGAAAGTATCCAACTATGCCCAGGAAGGAAAGGAGTTGTTGTTTTGTAGAAGGGATTGGGGTTTGGGAGATTAGTCAGACACGATCGGCAGGGAGAGCACGTGTGTTTTTATGAAGAACTATGCCAAAGTCGGTAATGGTTGGAGAAGAAATTTGAGCTTTGGAGGGGGATACCTGATATTCTTTGGAAAATAAATGCTGAAGGAGCAGAAGTGTGTCTTGTTGAGACGATTCAAAGGAGGGTCTACAAAGAAGAAGGTCATCAATATATTGAATAAGGTGAGAAGCGGAGGAGTGGAAAGAAAGTAAATCATGGGAAAGAGCTTGGCTGAAGTAATGAGGGCTGTCCCTGAAACCTTGCGGCAGTACAGCCCAGGTAAGCTGCTGGGACTGATGGGTGTCAGGGTCAGTGCAGGTGAAAGCAAAGAGAGGCTGGGACGAGGGGTGCAGAGGAATAGTAAAGAAAGCATGTTTGAGATCCAGAACAGAATAATGGATTGTGGAGGGAGGTATTGAGCATAGGAGAGTATATGGGTTTGGCACCATGGGGTGGATAGGCAAAACAATTTGGTTGATAAGGCATACATCCTGAACTAACTTGCAAGGCTTGTCTGGTTTTAGGACAGGTAAAATGGGGGAATTGTAAGGAGAGTTTATCGGCTTTGAAAGGCCATGGTGTAGCAGGCGAGTGATAACAGGCTTTAATCCTTTCAAAGCATGCTGTGGGATGGGATATTGGCATTGAGCGGGGTAAGGGTGATTAGGTTTAATGAGATGGTAAGGGGTGCATGATCGGTCGCCAAGGAGGGAGTAGAGGTGTCTTCTACTTGTGGATTAAGGTGGGGGAATAGAAGAGGACGCAAAGGAGGTTTTGGATTGGGAAGAAGGGCGGCAATGAGATGTAGCTGTAGTCCAGGAACAGTCAGGGAAGCAGATAATTTAGTTAAAGTGTCTCGGCCTAATAAGGGAACTGGGCAGGTGGGGATAACTAAAAGGAGTGCTTAAAAGAGTATTGTCTAAGTTGGCGCCAGAATTGGGGAGTTTTAAGAGGTTTAGAAGCCTGGCTGTCAATACTTACAACAGTTACGGAGCCAAGGGAAACAGGCCTTTGAAAAGAAGGTAATGTGGAGTGGGTAGCCTCTGTATTGATTAAGAAGAGGACGGACTTATTTTCCACTGTGAGAGTTACTTAAAGCTCGGCATCCGTGATTGTCTACGGGACTTCCGAGGCGATCGTGCAGCGTCAGTCTTCAGCCACTAAGCCGAGAAGATCTGGGAAGGAGTCAGTCAGACAGCCTTGGGCCAGAGTTCCAGGGGCTGTGGGAGTGGCTGCCAGGTGAGTTGAACAGTCCTATTTCCAGTGGGGTCCTGCATAGATGGGACACGGCTTAGGAGGAATCCTAGGCTGCGGGCATTCCTTGGCCTGGTGGCCAGATTTCTGGCACTTGTAGCAAGCTCCTGGGGAAGGTGGTTCTGGAGGAATGCCTGGACACTGCGGTTTAGGCGTTTGGAAGTCCTCGTGTGCTGGAGATGTGGCTGGGGTTTGTCTCACAGTGGAGGCAAGGAATTGCAACTCAGAAATATGCTGCTACTTGGCTGCCTCTATTATTGTACACCTTGAAGGCGAGGTTAATTAAGTCCTGTTGTGGGGTTTGAGGGCCGGAATTTAATTTTTGGAGTTTTATTTAATGTCGGGAGCAGATTGGGTAATAAAACGTATATTGAGAATAAGACGGCCTTTTGACCTCTTAGGGTCTAGGGCTGTAAAGCGTCTCAGGGGTGCTGCCAAACGAGCCATGAACGGGGATGGATTTTTATATTTGATGAAAAAGAGCCTAAACACTATCTGATTTGGGATAAAGAAAAAAGAGCATTAACCTTGACTGTGGCTTTGGCTCCAGCCACCTTTTTAGGAGGAAATTGCTGGGCAGGTGGGGGAGGGCTAGTCACGGAATGAAACTGTAAGCCGGACTGGATGTGTGGAGGGGAGGTGATAAAAGGATTATAGGGTGGAGGAGCGGAGGCTGAGGAAGAATTGGGACCTAGCTCGGCCTGGCAAGGAGGGGAGAGGTCAGATGGGTCTGTAGAAAAGGAAGATTAGAAAGACTTAGCGATGCTTGGGGTTGGGACTGAGGGGACAGGTGGGAGGGAAAGAAGGAAGATTTGGGAAGAGTTGCATGGGGAACAGAGACTAGGTAGCGACTGATGTGTAAAAGAATGCCTGAACGTCAAGCACTCCAGACCATTTGTCCATTTTACAGCAAGCATTATTTAGATCTTGTAGGATGGAAAAAATGGAAGTGCTGTTTTTTGGCTATTTGGAACTACTGTCGAGTTTGTATTGGGGTCAAGCGGCATTGTAGAAGAAAATAAGGCATTTAGGTTTTAGGTCACGTGTGAGTTGAAGAGGTTTTAAGTTCTTGAGAACACAGGCTAAGGGAGAAGAAGGAGGAATGGAGGATGGAAGATTGCCTATAGTGAAGGAAGCAAGCCCAGACAAAAGAGAGAGTAGAGACACGGAGGGAAGGGGTTCAGGGGTTCTTACCCTCCAGAAAAGTGGGAAAGGGGTCGGGGTGTGGAAATAAGGGGTTGGGGTGCAGAGATAAGACGTCAGGGTGCAGAAATAAGGGATGAGGGTGCAGAGATAAGAGGTCGGGGCGTGGAAATAAAGGATCAGGGTGCAGAGATAAGAGGTCGGGGTGTGGAAATAAGGGATTAATAAGGGATTAGGGCACAGAGCTAAGAGGTCGGGGCGTGGAAATAAGGGATCGGGGTGCAGAGATAAGAGGTCAGGGTGCGGAAATAAGGGATTGGGGTGCAGAGATAAGAGGTTGGTTGGGGCACGGAAATAAGGGATTGGGGTTTCTTGTCCCCTAGAAAAGTGGGATTTGCCGCTAAGGGGTTGAGAAGGAGAAGGGGTTGAGGGGTTCTTGCCCCTCCCCCAGAAAAGTGGAGAAGGGGTAGAGACACGGAGGGAAGGGATTGGGGTACTTGCCCCTCCCCTAGAAAAGTGGGACTTGCTGCTAAGGGTGAAGGACCAAGGCAGGCGTCCCTGCGTGGTCTGACACCTCTGAAACCTGGGTGAATAATCAGAGAGGTTGTCCCTGCAATGATTAAACACTAAGGGAAGGCTGCCTTCCGTAGTCCGTGAGCAGCGCTGGAGTTTTGGGTCCACGGATAAAACGTGTCTCCTTTGTCTCTACCAGAAAATGAAAGGAATTGAAATTAAGAGAAGGGAGAGATTGAAGTGTGGTGCCAAGATTGAAACGAGAAAGAGGTTGAGGGATAGTGAGGGAGGTTGGAGAAGAGAGTAAAAAGAGGCTGCTTACTGGATTTGAAATTACTGGATTGAAATTAATGGATTTGAAATTGGTGAGATGTTTCTTGGGCTGGTCGGTCTGAGGACCTGAGGTCGTAGGTGGACTTTTCTCACAGAGCAAAGAGCAGGAGGACGGGGGATTGAGCTCCCAAGGGAGATCCCCCGATCTGAGTCACGGCACCAAATTTCATGCGCGTCCGTGTGAAGAGACCACCAAACAGGCTTTGTGTGAGCAATAAAGCTGTTTATTTCACCTGGGTGCAGGTGGGCTGAGTCTGAAAAGAGAGTCAGCGAAGGGAGATAGGGGTGGAGCCGTTTTATAGGATTTGGGTAGGTAAAGGAAAAAGGGGGGTGTTCTCTGGCAGGCAGGAGTGGGGGTCACAAGTTACTCAGTGGGGGAGCTTTTGAGCCAGGATGAGCCAGGAGAAGGAATTTCACAAGACAATGTCATCAGTTAAGGTAGGAACAGGCCATTTTCACTTCTTTTGTGGTGGAATGTCATCAGTTAAGGCAGGAACCTGCCATCTGGAAGTGTACGTGCAGGTCTCAGGGGATATGATGGTTTAGCTTGGGCTCAGAGGCCTGGCACATACCTTAATTTGAAAATACGTTATTGCTAAAAATGCTAATGAAGTAAGAACATGCTGTTGGAAAAATGGCACTGATAGACTTGTTTGATGCATGGTTGCCACAAACCTTCAATTTGTAAAAAAAATGAAATAGCTATGAAGTGCATAAAGTGAAGAATAATAACACAAGTTGTGCCTATAAAATGTTCTTAGGGACTATGGGGTGAGCTATCCATATACACGAAGCAGGGTCCCCCAGGTGGGGCAGTCAAGAGAGGCTCTCTGGAGGTAAACCTTCTTACCTGGGCTGGGGGATGAATGACCGGTTCCCTGAGCAGGTCAGAACTATGGGTGGTCCAAGATCTCTTGTCCATTCAGCTAGTGTGTGTTGCAAACCATCTGCTGTGTAAAAAGCCAAGTCATTCATGAGATATTTCCTACCTCCAGAGAATGAACCCCCTCTTTGAGAGTGACAGGGAAGCATGTCTGTGAATCTGCTCCCCTGAAACAGTTAAAGCACAGTGTGGACTTCACACCCCAGCAGCCTCCCCAGCATCCAGTGACAGGAAGGCTGTCTAAGTGGGCCCCTCACCTGGTAGCAGGTATATGTTCCGGGGCCTGCATGGTGTTGCAATACACAGACCGTGGACATCTGTAGGAGGGTGGTGGACCCATGCCCTATGGCCCTCATTCCTCCCTGAGGCCTTGTGCCAGGTCGACTTTGCTCATCTGTGTGTCCTGCCTGGTTCACGTGAACAAAGCCTCCCTTTCCCTGTGTGCAATTCCACAGATGTGTGTGTGATTCTGCAGACGTGTGTGCGATTCTGCAGACGTGTGTGCGATTCTGCAGATGTGTGTGCGATTCCGCAGATGTGTGTGTGATTCCGCAGATGTGTGTGTGATTCTGCAGATTGCGTCCTGTGTGGAATCTGGTTTGGGATCATTTCAGGTAGCACTGGGTGAGCAGGCCATCCCCACCTCCTTGTTTGGGAACTAAGGGCCAGCTTTGGCGAGGCAATTGATGAGCTCAAGGTCACAGGGCGAGTTGGAGGCGGCAGCCTGCAGGCTCCTAGCTCTGACTGCTGCAGTGTTCCCCTGGCGTGGCTATGCCTTAGCTCCTGCAGGCAGATGGATGCTCCTCCTCAGCTTCTAATCCAGTCCTCCCTGCTTTGCCAAGGCCCTCTTGACTCCAGTGTCTCTGCCCCCCATCACCTGTGGCCACCTGTCTCCATGTGCAACTGGATCCCCTCTCCTGAGCATCTCCTATGGAGAATGAGGGGGCGACAGACCTGGGGGAGCTGTCATCTGGTGACCACCTTCTCTCTCCCACCCCTCACCATCTCCTTCAGAACAGATCTCACAGAGCTGGGGCCATAGGGATGAAGCCATGCTCATCACAGAGTCCCGGGAGCCCAGGCCCGAGGGGCATCTGGTGAACACGGTGAGGTCACGGGCACGGGGCAAGGGGCCAGGGCTGGGCGGGGGATGATTTGGCCCCAGCGGCCATCCCGAGCCTGAATGGATGGAAGTCCTGGCGGAAACACCTGGTGGGGACGGAAATCCAGGACAACTTTTATTATCCCTGTTCACAGGTCCATTCAGACTATATTGGGGGCTTCCTATTTCCTCTGCTGGCACCTCACACTCATTCATAACAAGAAAGGCCATTGTGCTACTGAGTTATGGGCCCAGGAGCCCCATGGGGCGGGCATTAAACACATCAGCCCCAATACTTATTTTTAAAATCGTATTCCCTGCTGAGTTGCGATTCTTATTTTTTCCTCCTCCCACAAAGAAAACTTTATGGGTGGTTTTGTCCCAACTTTGAGGGTGAAAAATAAGTGAAGTCCTTTTCAGGCACCCTGTGGGATCCCGCTGATTGGGAGGGGAGCTCCCCACAGCTCCACTCCGATTCCAATCCTGGCTGTACCCGCATAGTCACTGCTTGGCGTGGAGTGAGGGATTTAACCCAATGTTCAGTCCGTAACTGTCAAATGAGGGAGTGAGCAAGATCTCTAGTGTCTCTTGCAGTTCCTAAATGCTATAATTACATGGAGTGTGCAGTGAAGAGTGAAATCTTCTGCTGGGATGTGGCCCGTGGAAAGGAGCTCCACTCAGAGAAAGCAAGGAACCAGGCCCGGTGGCTCTTGCCTGAAATCCCAGCACTTTGAGAGGCTGAGGCAGGCGGATCACTTGTGCCCAGGAGTTTGAGACCAGCCTGGGCAACATGGGGAGAACCTGTCTCTACAAAAAATAAAGTTAAAAGAATTAGGTACGCGCGGTGCTCTGCACCTGTAGACCCAGCTACTCAGGAGGCTGAGGTGGGAGGATTGCTTGAGCCCAGGAGTTTGAGGCTGCAAGTGAGCTATGATCACCCGCCTGTACTCCAGCCTGAGCAAAAGAGCAAGACCCTGTCTCAATACA
Organism: Homo sapiens; assembly: GCF_000001405.40. Lineage (NCBI taxonomy): Eukaryota > Metazoa > Chordata > Mammalia > Primates > Hominidae > Homo > Homo sapiens. The sequence goes on from NW_018654717.1 coordinate 2,778,364, forward strand.
CACACACACACACACACACACACACACACACACACACACACACACACACGGCAAGATGTGGCCACAAACCTGGTTGTTCATCTCCATGCAAGAGTCAGCCACAGCTCCAGGAATCACAGCTTCCAACACAGACCCTGGCCAGCACCCCATGATACTAGGAGACTGTCTCCAGGGGCGAGGGTGGCTTTCGGCAGAGGCTCCATTTTCAGGTCAGACCCTCAATAAAGAGGCATCCAGCCTTGGTAACCACCTACAGAGCAGTGGCTGGCACTCTGCTAGGGCTCCCTTCCAGGGCTGCTGCCTGCAGCTGCTCAGACTCTCCTCGCCACAAGGGAATTCCTGCACAACTGGGTCTTCCACCTGCCACAACTCGGTGTTGGTATAAGGCCCTATATTGGCTCCTCGAGTCACCGGGTCAGCTCCATAGCTCATGCAACTCATAGTCAAGCGCGGTATTCAGCTGAGCACCCAAGCAGAGCAGATATGCATTTGTTTGTCTTTGTGTTCGCTCCTAATATTACCTGTTAAAGGAAAAATTATTTTGATGCGTGTTTAAAGGGTAAGGAAGGCTTTACTCAGGACTATCTGGGCAGGTTTCAAGACTGTCACAATAGAGGAGAGAGATTGGCCCAACTTGGAACGTAAGAATAAGTGGGGATTTATCACCAAAGAGCAGGTTAGGGGTTCAGTGGGTGGAAAATCACTAACGGGAGGTATCAACGGGTGGGGATTCTGGCAAAACCGACCTACCAGATTCTCGCTGAAGGCAGAGGCCAGGGTGACCAGACACCACAGAGGGAATGGGGCAGAGGAGGAAATTGACCCGCCGTCAAGGGTGACTAACGGGATTCTTAATTAAACAGAACTCTATAAGGACAGACAAGGAAGCCCAAGGAGGAGTCTGTGCTGAAAAGACAGCCCAGAGGAGCCTGTCTCATGTCTGACCACAGCAAGTGACTTAGTCCTGCCCCTGCCCAAACATGGGAAATGGATTTTCCAGGGAAAAACCATGCCTTTCTCTTCTGGGTCTTGATGATCCTGCAATTGATGAGTTCTCTCCTTTCTTTTCCTGGCAGGGAGAGGGTCCTGGCTTTGGGGGGAGTTGGGTCTGGATCCTGACTCAGTTGCCTTTGGATTCCGAGTCCATGATGGGAGAAGTGCTTTGGGAATGACGGGGAGAGCCCAGGGCTACCGGGTGCACCAGTTCCTCCCCCAGTGCAAGTAGGCTGCAGGAAGCTGGCTTTCTTCTTTTTCTTTCTTTCTTTTTTTTTTTTGGAGTCTTGCACTGTCTCCCAGGCTGGAGTGCAATGGCATGATCTTAGCTCACTGCAATCTCTGCCTTACAGGTTCAAGTGATTCTCCTGCTTCAGCCTCACAAGTAGCTGGGATTACAGGCACCCGCCACTATGCTCAGCTAATTTTTAGTAGAGACAGGGTTTCAATATGTTGACCAGGCTGGTCTCAAACTCCTGGCTTCAAGTGATCCACCTGCCTTGGCCTCCCAAAGTTCTGGGATTATAGGCATGAGCCACTGCTCCCAGCAAAGCTGTCATTTTTCTTTGTCTCCTTTTCTTCTTCCTTACTTAGCTGCTTGTAGCCAAGGGGAGGTGCCACATGGATTGTCAAGCCTGGGAGGAAACGGCTGGGGTAGGACCTGTTCTCTGTGCAGAGACTCCTCGAACAGTGCCTGCAGGAGTGAGCCAATGAAGAGCAGACGGGATGGGGGCAGAGACACAGGGTGGGCAGGTCCCTGGGATGTGAGGCTTTGTGAGGTTGTGGGACCCTCGGCCCACTGTGGCTTCTGAGAAAGGTCCAAGTTCCCCTTGTCTGCCTTCTTAGCTCTGATCTTGGGTTTTGCTAGTTTGGCAGCCATTGGAAGTGAAAAATGGAAAAGACAAGACACTGATAACCCTAATTACTCCTAGTCCCAGACCTCAGTGTGTCAGATTAGAGCCAGCCTTGTGGTGGGACAGCTGGGCAAAGAGGCCTCTGTAGACCAGCTCTGCTCTCTGCGGTCCTGGGCTGTCTCCCTGCCCTCTTGGAAGGTCAAGGAAGCAAGGAGGGGCTGCCACATCTATCTCCAGTTGTGCTTCATGGTTTACTTACTTTGTCTCATCAACCACTGCGAAAGTCCTTTGATAGATTCCAACATCCCCATTTTACATCTAAGGACATTGGGGTTCAGGGAGGTTAACCTTGCCCTGAGTCACACAACTGCAAAGAGGCTGAGCCAGGATCCCTGCCCTGATCCCCACCCATGCTGCCAAACCAGGCAGTACTACCCGCTCTGCCACAGCGCCACTGTGAGAACCCCATGGGCGCATCTTTGTGTGGTGTGGAAGGGCTTCCTAGGATGATCTGTGTCTCTCCCAGTCAGAAGATTCTTCTTCTCTCAAATCCCGATCACCTCTGTCTCTTTAAAATGGGGGGCTTCCTGGAGAAAAGCAAACAGACCAGCAATGAACCAAAGGAAACCTCTGAAGAAGGAACGGGCCGTAGGGGAGAAGCACATGCCTCCATCTCTCTGGGGTGCAGACAGTGCTTGCTGTGCTGGCCCCACTCACAAGGAACCCTGCAGCCTGAACTGCAGACTCCTTATTCCTCCTGGGCCCAAGGGCCTTTCATCCCCTCATCCAGAGCACTCAGCCACTTGTAGTGCATGAGGGTGCACACACACACATGCAAACCCACGCACGCACATGCATGCATGGGGACACATGCGCACACATGCACACACATGCATGTCCACACATACAGGCACACGTGCACGCACACATGCATGCACATGCATGGCACACACATACATGACACACACATATGCACACACACACATGCACAGACACACTACGGAGTAGAAGCCTAAATCTCAGGAGCCACTCAGGGACACCCAGGACACCACACAACTGCAAGGCAAGTGACTCGTGCTAAGTGGAGTTGTGGCTGCCATGAGGACAGAGGCAAGCGCTCCTCAGAGCCTTCAACACCCCTCAGAGAAGCTTCCTCAGGGCAAGTGAGCTGTACAGCAGTTACCAGGTGGACTCATGGGGACATGGGGTGTGTCGGGGGCAGGTGGGAGGTAGAAATCCCCAGGAAGAAGGAGCTAGTTCCAGAGAGGGGAGCCCCAACAGCTCATGGATTTTCTGAGCTGGAGCCAGGTGGGCCAGAAGACAGGAGGTGAGAGGGATCAGTGAGGGATGAATCGGATTTAAATGCACGGGCACTTGTAATGGGGGAGTGGGAAGAGTGGGGTGGGGGCGCTGAACAGTCCTCAAAGACTGCCTCTGAGTTCGGAGGAGCCCTCGGCCCCCCTGGCCTCCCCTTCTTTCACAGGTTTGACCTGGGGGGCTCCTTGACAGGGCAGCTGGGCTCCAGTTGAACATGAGTGTGGGAGGGGACTCCCTGGGTTCTAGTTTTAGCTCGGTCCAGGCTCCCTGGGTGGCCTGGGGTGGTCCCAGGGTGAGCTGAGCCCCAGCTTCCTAGCCCCGTCTCAGTGGTCTCCAGACACCCTCTGGCTCCTAAATGCCACTGCTCTGCTTCTCGGGGTGGGAGTTTACTGCCTTCCCGGGGTTGTATGTCCACCTCCAGCATAGGGGAGCATCCTTTATTGACAGGATCTAGGCTTCCAGGAGTTTCCACCCTGGTTCTAGTGTCTGCCCTTGAGTTACTCAGAGTAAATGTGCCCCTCTGCTCCATGGCAGCCCCTGATAGATCAGGAACCCCCATCCGCCACCGCCCCACCGGCATCACGGTGCCGTGGTCTTCTCCAGGCCTGGCCTCTGGAGTCCACTTGACTCCTTTGCCTTCCATGGAACTTCCAGGCCTTTCCAGGGCCTTCTCTCCCCTCTGCCTGGTTGGTCAATGTTCCTTTGAAGATGTGCGTGTCTCATCAGCTTGTGTCCCTGTGGCTGCAGAGAGTTGGCCCTTTCTCAGGACAGCCTCAATTTCTAAGATGCCACCCTCTTCCCCTCCTGCCTCTCCCGTGTGCCACAAATCACCCAAACTGTTCTTTGCCCAGGCCCTTCCTGGAACCCCGTGTCACTGTCCCCAACCAATACCGGGAAGATGGGGCCGGGGTCTAGGCTGGCTGAACCTGTTGTTAGAGGAGCCCCATTCCTTCTCTTGCTCTTTGAAGGGTTAACAGAACCTCGAGACCAGAAGGCCAGGGTAGGAAGCTGGCTCCGGGGCAAAGAGAAACCCCCTGAGATCTGACTTTCTTATCCAGGCCACAATGCTGAAAGTGAGCCAGTGGGGGAAGGGCCACAGCCAAAACCCAGCCACCCCAAGCAAAATTCTCAATGGGCTGCTCCACAGTGTGCAAAGTTTGGTGGGGGTGGGGGGCCAGCCTGTTGACAAGTAGCAAGGTCACGGCCCCCGTTAGCACTGTAAACAGGGGCGCACAATGCCCTCCCTTCCTCCGGAGAGGCAGCTCCTCTCCGGGCCGGTCCCCTGGGTCCAGGCCTCCCTGTCCCCCATCCTTGCGGGAGTCTGACACTGAAAAGCCGCTGCTGCTTCCTCAAGGAAAAGCCGAGCCTTTTGTGAGCTCTCGCTTCCTCCTTCTGTGGGAACCACTCCTGGGCCTATGAACATCTGCCTGGGGCGTCTTTCTCAGAGGCCCGAGGTGGGAAAAGAGGAGGGGTGCTGATTGCCAGGGAGGGGGCTGCAACCCGCAGGCCTGGGATTGTCATCACCAGGCTGGGGAAGAGAACAATGGGGGACCCCCAGCCCCCCCTGGCTTGGCTTCCCTCTTCCCACAAGCCTGCTCTTTTGTGCTTAGAGGGAGGCCGGGGGAATTCTTTTGTTTGCTTTTGTTTCCCTTGTTTTGTTTTGTTTTTGTTTGGCATTTGGCTCGCCCCCCAAGGTAGGGGGTCGGGCGTGCAGAGGGGGTGGCCCAGGCAGAGGGGCAGCGATGGGGTTGGTGGGAAATCCCACAGCTCCTCTGGGAGGAAATGTTTTGGGGGCTTCACGAGGTGAGGAGAGTCAGATGCTGGGAGTCAGTGCCAGATGTTTCACTGCTGGGCAGACCCGGCCTCCGAGGCGTGTGCTCTCATCTGGGTAGCTCATGGAGACCCTAGGCAAGTGCAGCACGGGTGACAGGTGCCCCATGGTCATCCGAAGGGCCACTGGAGGTGTGGCCTAGAGCTGTCTCTGGAGGGGAAGCTGGAAGCAGCTCAGACTCAGGGACTCCGATCCTTGCTTTCAGGCTGCATTCCAGGAAATGTGTCCAAGGAAGTCCTGCCCATGCTCCCAGGGTGGCTGTCCCAGGGGTTCACCTTGCCTGCTGGCTGGACAGAGCTGATTTATCAAGACAGGAGAATTGCAAGGTAGAAATAGTAACTCACGCAGAGCCAGCTGTGTGGGGGATCGGAGTTTTATTATTACTTTCTTGAAGAAGAGAGTCAAACTCTGTAAAATATTTGAAGAGATTTATTCTGAGCCAAATATGAGTGACCGTGGCCTGTGACCCAGCCCTCAGGAGGTTCTGAGAACATATGCCCAAGGTGGTCGGGGCACAGCTTGGTTTTATATATTTTAGGGAGGCACGAGACATCAATCAAATATGTTTAAGAAATACTTTGGTTTGCTTCAGGAAGGCGGGGCAATTCAAAGCTGGGGGCTTCCAGGCTATAGATAAATGTCAACATTTTCTGGTTGATAACTGGTTATCTGAGGATCTGAGACCAACGGAAAGGAATGCTTAGGTTGACGGAAAGGATTGTGGAGACCACGTTTTATTGTGCAGAGGAACCTTTCAGGTTGCAGACTTCAGAGACAGAGCAGGTTGTAAAATGTTTCTTATTAGACCTAAAAGGGTGCCTGGCTCTTAGTCAATTATCTACTGGATCTGGAAAGAAAGGAGGGAAGACAAAGGGGGAAGGGGATTCTCTATAGAATGTGGATTTTTCCCACAAAAGACTTTGCAGGGCAATTTCAAGGTACGAAAAGAAATATATTTTGGGGTTAAATATATTTTCCTTGTCTCATAATGTTATGCCGGAATCAGACTGAAAAGTAAGTCACAATATATCGTGTCAAATAAAACGCATCTGATGAGAATGTATGGTTTGTAGGGCCTGACTCCCTAGCCCCCTTAGGTAGGAATTTGGCTAAGATAAAAAATCAGAGCTTAGTCCTCAACTTAAATCATTCTCCCCAAGCATTCAGGGATTTGCGTTTTTAAGGATAATTTGGTGGATAGGAGCTCAGAAGAGGGGAGTGCTGATTGGTCATGTTGGAGATGGAATCAGAGGGGGTCCGAAGTGAGTTTTTCTTGCTGTCTTCTGTTCCTGGGTGGGACGGCAGGACTGGTTGAGCCAGATTACCGGTCTTGGTGGAGTGCAGGGTCTGCGAAATACCTCCAGCACTGATCTTAGGTTTTACGATAGTGATGTTATCCCCAGGAGAAATTTGGGGAGGTTCAGACTCTTGGAGTCAGAGGCTGCATGACCCCTGAACTGTAATTTCCAATCTTGTAGCTACTTCGTTAGTCCTGCAAAGGCAGACTGGTCCCCAGACAAGAAGGGGGTCTCTTTGGGAAAGGGCTGTTATCAGTTTTGTTTCACAGTCAAATCATGAACTGAATTCCTTCCTAAAGTTAGTTTGGCCTCTGCCCAGAAGTGAACAAGGACAGCTTAAAGGTTACAAGCAAGATGGTGTCGGTTAGGTCTGATTTCTTTCACTTTCGTGAGCTCTCACAAGTTATAACTTCCTCAGTTATAATTTTGCAAAGGCGGTTTCACCAGCTACAAATGCTATTTGCTCCTCATGGCTGCAAAAGACATGGAACACACATCCCAGAACACCCAAGGGTGCCCAGAGAAGTCACACCTCTTGGGAAAGAAACTGCCTTGACTTCGATTCTTTGCAAGCTCTAGCATGAGGCTCAGGGCACAGGAACACTGGGCTATGGCAAAAGAGCACTGTTCTGCAGAAAAACCCCTCAGCCTCCAAGACACAGTGCCAGCAGTCAGAAAAACAATTGCCCCCAGTCACAGAGCTCAGCCAGACGCCCCAGTCAGCTGCATTTTAGGCCAGTTTGCTACCCCTGAGACCTGTGTAGATGTCAGTGTGGACACTGACATTCTCTTGAGCTCACACCCGAGTGGCCCACACATAAGTACATTAAGAAGACAGAGGAAACGGCCCACTTCAGTAGCTGGGAGATGATTCAGAAAGATTTCCCAGGAACTATCCCTGAAAACAACTGAGTACCTTGTGTTCTGTGTGGATGAAATGAAGACCTCAGCTTCATCAGCTGACGTTCCTGCCACATCTGGGATGCCCCAGTTTGGCTTCCAGAGCAGCAATGCTCAGCCCTGACTACACAAGAGAGTCATAGGAGAGTTAAAACAACAACAACAACAAAACCCATCTCTACAGAGAGAAAGAGAGAGAAATTAGCAGGGCACAGTGATGCAACCATGGTCCCAGCTACTTGGGAAGCTAAGGGGGAGGATTGCTTGAGTCCAGGAATTCGAGGCTGCAGTGAGCTATGATTACACAACTACACTCCAGCCTGAGAGACAGAGCGAGACATTGTCTCAAAACATGCCCCCCAAAACCAAAAAGCAACAACATCAACATAGGCATGTGTTGTAGACAAGAGTTAGGCTGTATCTTATAAAACTGAAATGCAATTATCACAGAAGCTAGCATTTGCGCTCTTGGGCATTTATTCTAGAGAAATGAAAAGTTATGTTCACATGAAAACCTGTACCTGAACGTTCATGGCAGCTTTCTTTGGGACAGCCCCAAACTGGAAACAATCTGGATGTTCCTTCATGGGTGAGGGTGAAACAAACTGTGCTCCGTCCATGCCAGGGAGGTTTGCTCAGCAGCAAAGACGATGAACTCTCGTTGCGCATGACAACTTGGGAGGATCTCAAGGGAATGATGCTGATTGAAAGAAGCCAGTCTCAAAAATGTTCTTGGAGAATGTGTGATTCCATCTAAATAACATTCTTGAAATATCAACATTAGAGACACAGAACCTGAGTGGCTGTTCAGGGTTAGGAATGGGGATGGAGCCTGAGGGGTAATGAGGGATGTCATTGACCTGTGGTCATAAAGCAGTTTTGGCTGTTGTCACTTGTGATGGTCACATGAATCTGCACACATGAGGAAATTGCACAGAATGATACACACCCACACCCACAGGCATGTAAACCAGTGAAATCTGAAGAAGTTAGGCTGGGTGTGATGGTGTATGCCTGTAGTCCCAGCTACTTGGGGGCTGAGACAGGAGGATCACTTGAGCCCAAGAGGTTGAAGCTGCAGTGAGCCATGTTCCCAACAGTGCACTCCAGGCTAGGTGGCCAAATGAGACCTTGTATCAAAAAGAAAAAGAAAAAAGAGAAAAAGAAATATGAAGAGGTTCTGTGGATGGTACCCAGGTCGCCCTCGTGGTTTTGACGCCATCCTGGAGTTCTGCACAGCGTTACCATTGGAGTTGAGGAAAAGACATACAAGCCTGCTGTTCATTGTTTCGCAAATTTCTTTGCATCCATAATTGCTTCCAAATAAAAAGTAAAAACCAAAACCTCAAACAAAGCATTCTAGCCTTCATCCCTTCCTGCTGTTGCGTCCGATTCTTGTCAAGTACACCCATTGAACAAGGCCAAAGCCTCGCATATGAGCCACTGTTAGAGCCTTTTATTACACACAGAGACGGAGAAAAGAGTTAGGCCAAAGGTGCCGTCTCCCCCGGAGCCTCGTCCCACACACTGGAAACCCTGACCAGGACACCACCAAGACAATGGGCTGGATGGCTGGGATAGGAGCTATGGGACACCCCATTGCTAGGGAGCTGGTTCTAGACTGCAGCAGAGTGGTTTTGTATCCTGCACCTGCACTCTAAGCACTGAAAGTGTGGGAGAAGACCTTTACTTCATTAGCCCTGAGGAGAAGGGAGGGGAGGTGAGGGTGGCTCCGGAGCAGCTCGTCATGGGCTCCCATCCTCTTGCGTTCTGGGGAATCACAAACTGTTCTGCCAAGATCCAGATAGGCAGTACTTTGATGGAGCCTGTGTGGATCCACACAAGGTTGTCCGGGCACCACGGCAGAGCAATACCCATAGAACTCTGTTGGAGTGGGCCCTGGCATCAGTATTTGTAAAAGCCTCCCCTCTAATTCTGCTGGGAAGCTGGGCTTGAGATGTCCTGTCTAGCCTGGCAGTAGGAGGAGCCAGAAACCTGCTTTTGGCTTATGCCTGCAGCGTGGCCCCAGGCAAGTCAGCATCCTGCTCCACTTTGGTTCCTCACCTGCAAAAGTGCGGGCCTGGCCAGCCTGAAAGGGAAAGCCACTGGGCGTAGGATTTGGAACTTGCTCCTTGGCCACTCTGGCACCTGCTGCTATGAGCTGCAGCACAGCCTCCCTGTTGATAGAGAAATGGTCAGGACATGCAAAAGCCACAATCATCAACTATAGGCCCCAATGAGGCTTTTTCCTGGCCATAAGCAGGACAGTGAGAAAGGCTGGAGAAAGAGTGCACCTGCTATCATATGCCACAGCTGCATGCTGTGTCTAGAGCTTTCTAGAGCAACTCCTCCCTCAGACTGGGAGAGTCTTTTGCACATTCCCATACATGCGTCTAAGAGGGGAATATGATGGTTTTCACCTACATATAAAAATACATTAGAACAATGTCCTAGATCCTAGCTTATTAGCTTTCTCATTCATTCAGGTAATCCACGTGTCCATTCAATCCCTCATTCATTCAGTCCACGCACACTAAAATATGACTCATCATCACCGAGCTCTGCTTATATCAGGTTTCAACTTCTCACTTGGGATTTCATGTTCAGGCTGGAACTCTGGGGCCTCTAGAAAAGTCCCAGCTCCTTGAGTGACAAAAGCAAATAAAAAGAAAGAAAAGAAAGCCCCAGCTCCTTGCTATTAGATCAGGGCTTGAAATATAATGAAGTAACCAGGATAAAGACAAGGCTAGGGGCTTGGGGAAGAAGCAGGGAGTGGGCTTGGGGTACCTAGGAAGAAAAGGGCTGGTGCATGTGCTGGTAGCCAAATTATTGGTGCTTGGCTGGAGCAATCACACCTGCATGGCTGTGTCAAATGTCTGCATCTGTCTGCATCATTCGTGGCATGTTCACAAATGTTATGTGGACATGGGCGTCCAGGTGATGAAGGTTTAGGGAAGGCCCCTTTCACCAGATGGAACAGTAGCTTATACTGCAGAACTTTCCAGAAACTTTACTGTGCTAACACAGTGAATCTCCAGTACGAAGATGGAGATGCAACCAGGAGTTTCCCAAACATGCATCGATAAGGTTTGGATCTGTGTCCCTGCCCAAATCCCATGTCAAATTGTAATCCCCAGTGTTGAAGGTGAGGTCTGGTGGGAGGTGATTGGATCATAGGGGTGGAAACTTCATGAATGGTTAAGCACCATCACCTTGGTGCTGTCTTGTGATAGAGTTCTCAGGAGATCTCATTATTTAAAAGTATGCGCCACCTCCCCGCTCCTGCTCTTTCTTGGTCCTGCTCCGGGCATATGAGATGTGCCTGCTTCCCCTTTGCCTTCTGCCATGATTCTAAGTTTCCTAAGGCCTCCCCAGAAGCAGAAGCCACTGTGCTTCCTGTACAGCCTGCAGAGCCATGAGCCAATGAAAGCTATTTTCTTTATAAATTACCCAGTCTCAGGTATTTCTTTATAGCAGTGACAGAATGGATGAACACAGCCATGAACACGAAGCATCTCATGGGACCCTTGGAAGTGTTACCTGAGGGCAATGACAAGATCTGTTGGAAGGGATGGCTGACTCTGGGTCCCCGGAGAGGCCAGGCTCATGCCAAGAGCCAGGCAGCCAGGTCAAGGGTGGGGACAGGAGGAAAAGGAGTCAGCTGGGATGGCAAGTGTGTGAGCTGGGAGGTTTTTGTAGGATTTGGGACTAGGAGTGACCTGAAAGTGACAGGAACACATTCTGTCGACTCTAGAGGAAGAGGCAGCTGCTTCTCCCTGGGTTCTGAAGGACTTGGGGCAACCCAACTTAGAGTGAAGGCCGACTCTAGAGAGCAGGAAGAAGAAGCCAGATATCTCATCTGCAGGGAACAAAGATCCTGGCAAGAGAAGGAGCAGCCCTGGGGGGTTGCAGAGGCTTCTGTAACAGAGGCTTCTTCTAGACTCACAGCCCAGGCAGGACGGGGCCTGGTTTTCTAGTCTGAACCAGAACCTTCCCTCCCGTGGTTAAACCATCAGCTTAGCAGTCATAAGAAACCATAACTGGGGGAGCTGTTGGTAGAAGTCTCAGAATCCAAAGGCCCACGAATCAGGATCTCCAATGTTCAAGGGTAAGAGAAGATGGATGTCCCAGCTTGAGAAGAGAGAGAACGAATGTACCCTTCCTCTGTCTTTTTGTTCTATCTGGGTCCTCAGTGGATTTGGTGATGCCCACCTACACGGGAGAAGGAGGATCTTTCTTACTCAGTCTTCATATTCAAATACTCATCTCTTCTGGAAACAGCCTTGCAGATACACCCAGAAATAATGCGTTCCCAGCTATCTAGGCATCACTTAGCCTAGTCAAGCTGATACATGAAATTAACCATCACACCCTCTTTCAGCCTCTGAGATCCAGCATGTCCTCTCTTGCTACAAGGGTGTTGAGCACATTGTCCCCTTTGCCTGGAATGCTCTTTCCTTCATTGTTCTCCTACTTGTCACTTCCTATTTTGGTTTTAAAACTGAGTACTTCCATCTTTCTAAGAACAAGAGAATGAGTTTATTATTTGTTTTCTTCTTTTCTCTTTCCTGCTTTTCCTCTGCTCCCCACTTCCTACTTAACTCTTTAGAAGTGCAGTTATAGCCTTTTACCTCCACTTCACCAGGTACTGTCTACAGGGCAAGTTCAGCTAACTAGGTGCTTAGTAGCTCCAGCGTGGAACTCTCTGTCACCTTGAGAGAGAGCAATCCATCTACAACTCAAAGTATCCCCAACATGAAACTCTCTCCCACCTGGAGATTGCCTCAAGACAGCAGTCTATCCACAACTCAAAGTATGGCCAACATGAAACTCTCCCACCTTGAGATGTTCAATCACTTTTACAACTTAGTTCTGCCCGTGAAGGTGCCAACTGGACCACCTAGTAGATAAAGCACCAAAGTGAGTTACACAGACCCCTACCTGCCTGCTTCCTCCACTGCATGCCATTTATGTCAATTTTCCTTTTTTTTTTCAAGACAGAGTTTCGCTTCTGTTGCCCAGGCTGGAGTGCAATGGTGCGATCTCTTCTCACTGCAACCTCCGCTTCCCAGGTTCAAGCGATTCTCCTGCCTCAGCCTCCCAAGTAGCTGGGATTACGGGCAGGCACCACCATGCCAGGCTATTTTTCTCGTATTTTTAGTAGAGATGGGGTTTTGCCATGTTGGCCAGGCTAGTCTTGAACTCCTGACCTCAGGTCATCCACCTGCCTCAGCCACCCAAAGTGCTGGGATTACAGGCATGAGCCACTGTGCCCAACATGTCAATTTTCCTTTTAAAAGCACCTGCTTTCTGTTCCAAAAGGGAAGCAGCACCCTTAAGGCAGAAAGCCTGTACTTCTTCCCCTAAGCTAGCTCTGTCATAAAAAGTCACTTTCTTTATACTCTTGTTAATGAAACTCTGCCAGCAAAGAACAACCGAGCCTGTGTTTTGGTTACAGTTTCAATGCCATGTTCACAGGAAGACTTCTAGGAGACTGTCCAGAAACCAACTCCTCCTCTCATCTTTGTTTTCTTTCTGCAAAGTCATGTTGACAAAAGGAGACAAACTAAAATATTTGAAGAGATTTATTCTGAGCCAAATATGGGTGACCATGGCAGATGGCACAGCCTAGGAGATCCTGAGAACATGTGCCCAAGGTGGTCGGGCTACAGCTTGGTTTTATACATTTTAGGGAGACAGAAGACATCAATCAATACATATAAGATGTAAATTGGTTGGTCATGGGGCTTCCAGGTCATAGGTGGATTCAAAGATTTTCTAATTGGCAATTGGTTGAAATAATTAAATTGTTATCTAAGGACCTGGAATCAATAGAAGGGAGTGTCTGGATTATGATAAGGGGTTGTGGAGACCAAGGTTTTTATTATGTAGATGAAGCCTCCAGGTAGCAGGCTTCCGAGAGAATAGATTGTAAATGTTTCTTATCAGACTTAAGAAGAGGCCAGACTCTCAGTTAATTCTCTCCTGGATCAGAGAAAGATCTGGAAAGGGAAGAAAATTATAGAATGTTGATCTTCCTCACAAGAGACAGCTTTGTGAGACCATTTCAAAATATGTCAAAGAAATACACTTTAGGGTAAAAAGCTTCAATTTCTTTCAGGGCCTGCTATCTGTCATGTTGGTATCTTATTGCTACAAAGAGTCTGTTTCCTCAGTCTTAATGCCTCTGTTTTCATGTGAATGCTGGCCAGCTGTGCCTGAATTCCAAAGGGAGGAGGGCATAACGAGGCATGCCTGATCCCCTCTTCCCATCATGCCCCGAACTAGTGTTTCAGGTTAACTTTGGAATGCCCTTGGCCAAAAGGAGGGGGTCCATTCAGTTGGTTGGGGGGCTTAGAATTTTTGATTTGCATTCATGATCATTGCAGATGCAAGTTACATATATTTGTGTAGTGATTTCATAGATGCCAGGCTTCCCCATACTGTATATGCTCCACGGAGCAATGCCTGTTCCTTTTTGCTCACTGCTCCATTCCCAGCCCCACGCCCATGGATGGCTTCTCAGGAGGCATCTGTTAAATGGTTGTGAGACAAATGGAGGACGTCAGGACAAACAATAGGGGCAGGTTGGTGGGGCTAAGCATTCAGAGTGAAAGGGATTATAATTAAAACTTGTCTCACCATTGGATCCTTTACAAAATAATTGTTGGGTTATTTTCTTGGTGATGCAGTGATCCATATTGATTTTAGAAAATGCATGCATCTTGGCTGGGGGATCTGGAAGTCTGGAGGGTGGCCACAGGAGCAAAGACCGTGCAGTGCAGGCAGAAGAAGTCCTTGGAGCCCTGTTCCCTAGCTTAGGAGACCACATGCCCCAAACCTGGCTGGCCACCAGGGCTTGCTCTTTTCCTGGGTGGTTCTCAGCAATTTCATGGAGGATGACCCAGAAGGCAGGAAGTCTACTGCCAGTTCCTGTGTGCCCTAGGGCAAGCTATCTAAACCCTTTTATGTCCCATTTTCTTAATCAGTCAATAGGTATAAATAGTAGGGCCTACTTCATTTGGCCATATTGAGGATTAAGTGAGATTTTACATACAGTGCTTAATAGTACACATAAAAAGTGTTAAATAAGTATCATTATGAAATCAGTCATCATTCAAAGGTCCATCAAAGCAAGCAGACTCCTGGCCCCCTCTCTTGCCATGAAATAAAACCAGTAGTCACAATCATGATGAGGCCTAATCCTCCTACCAAGGCAACTTGTTCTCTTTGCTAGTAATTGCCTGGATTTTCATTATTACACAAGAAAAGGGAACCCTTTAGCAATAATTTGAGGCTACTCCCATCACAAAGCATAAGCATCATGAAAATGGGGAGGCTTTTATTCATTTTTTCAGTCATTTGGACAGAAAACACCCTCAAAGATTTTCAACTCAAGGCTATGCCCAAGGGTATGTTTTCTGCCCCAAAAATGGCTCCATGTAGAAGAAAGAGCAAAGCATCAGTTTTGCAGATGAAAGGTGTGAGACCCAGGCGGCTTTGTTTGAGAGCTTCCGGTGTTCATTCTTTGTAAAGTGGGAAAATAGCTTTGCTTTAAAAAAAAAATTAAATTGACAAATTAAAAAAATTTTATGTATTTATTGTACAATGTGGTGCTTTGATTTATGTATACATTGTGAAATGGTTACTCCAATTAAACTAATTAACATATCCATCACCTTACATATTGCTTTTTCATGATGAGAACATTCAAGATCTCTTCTCTTAGCAATTTTCCGGTCTATAATACATTATTACTGTATTAACAATAGTAACCATGCTGTGCAATAGATCTTCAAAATTTATTTCTCCTGTCTAACTGAAATTTTGTGCCCTTTGACCATTTCCCCCTCCGGGTCTCATAACCACCATTCTACTCTGCGATTCTATGAGTTCAAATTTTTTAGATTCCATATGTAAGTGAGATAATGCAGTATTTGTCTTTCTGGGCCTGGTTTAATTCACTTAGTCTAATGTCCTCTAGGTTCATCTGTGTCATTGTCAATGACAGAATTTCCTTCTTGTTTAAGGCTGAGTAGTATTTTATTGTGTACATATATATCACATTCTCTTTATCATTCATCTGTTGATGGACACATAGGTTGTTTCTATGTTGTATTAGTCCATTCTCACACTGCCATAAAGACATACCCAAAACTAGGTAATTTATTAAAAAAAGAGGTTTAATTAACTCACAGTTCCACATGACTGGAGAGGCCTCAGGAAACTTACGATCATGGCAGAAGATGAGAGTGAAGCAAAGGCATGTCTTACATGGCAGCAGGTGAGAGAGAGAGCCAGCAAAGGGGGAGGAGCCCCTTATGAAACCATCAGATCTCGTGAGAACTCACTCACTATCATGAGAATAGCATATGGAAAACTGCCCTCATGATCCGATCACTTCCCACCAGGTCCCACCCTCTACACTTGAGAATTATGGGGATTACACTTCAAAATGAGATTTGGGTGGGGACACAGAACTAAACCACATCTCATGTCTTGGCTATTATGAATAATACAAGCATGAGAGTGCAAATATATTTTCAACATACTGATTTCATTTCCTTTGAATAGATACCCCGAAGTGGGATTGCAGGATGATATGGTAGTTCTATTTTTAGTTTTTGAGAAGCCTCCATAGTGTTCCCCATTTTGGTTGTATTAATTTACATTCCTACCAATGGAGTACAAACATTCCCCTTTCTCCACACCCTCACCAACACTCACTATCTTTTGTCTTTTTGACAACAGCCATTCTAACAGGTGTGAGGTCATGTGTCTTTGTGGTATTAATTTGCATTTCCTTGATGATTAGTGATGTTGAGAAGTTTTTCATTTAGCCACTTATGTGTCTTCTTTTGAGAAATGTCTATTCGGGTCCTTTGCCCATTTTTAAATTGGGTTATTTGTTTTCTTACTACTGAGTTGTTTGGGTTTTTTGTATATTTTGGGGATTAACCCCTTAAAAGATGCATGGTTTGCAAATGTTTTCTCCCATTCCAAAGGTTGTCTCTTTACTCTGCTAATTGTCTCCTTGGCTGTGTAGAAGCTTCTTAGTTTAGTGCAACCCCATTTGTCTGATTTTTTGCTTTTGCTGTCTGTGCTTTTGGGGTCATATCTAAGCTTTGCTTTTTCAACCCGGTGCTCGGTAGATTAAAGTAGGAAGATGTTTCCTGGAGGCCTCCAGCCATCCGTAGCTTTGCCATGATTAACACTCCCATGATTTCACTCTCTCAAAGAATGGGATTCTTTAAAAGTTCCAATCTTGAGGGCATCAGTAAGTTAGAAACGGGCTCTCTGCTTTCAGTCAAATGGATCCCAGCGTTTGTTCTAAGAGAAAGATGAGGAGGTTCCTCATAACCAGTAGCTTCCAGTATTCTTTATTCTAAGCATGAAGACATTTCCCTTTGCACAGAGCACATGAAGGCTTACTGAGGCAAGGCAGGAAACGGTGCCCTTTCCCCAGTAACTTCCGGCACGTTCTGCCGTGCATCTCCACACCCGGCTGCTCTGTAGCGCTATTAGCCAAACGGGCAATGTTTCTGTCGTTTAACTGCCTCTTTGGGCAGGAACATTTGAAAGCAGGGATTTTGCAAAGGTTCTGCTTTTGGAAGAATTTGTTGGTTCCTATTAAATGGGCAGATGGAAAGCACAGGGAATCTGGAGGTGCTTTGCAGTGAGGACAGCACGGGGCTTGACACAGGAGAGGGAGGAGTGCGATTTTTTGTGCCCCCACTAAAAGGATGGGGTGGGAGCTTCTCCCCATCACCAAGTGCTCTCAGAGCCCGTGCAGATGGAGAGACATGGTTCCAATGTTCTCAGCTGTTCCCTTCAGCCGCTGTCATTGGCACATCGGTCAGCGTTGCCAGGGTTAGGAGGTGAAGCCCCTCTGTGGGGTGCCCCTACCTCGCACAAGATGACCTTGCAGGACATGCAGTCACAGGGAAGCTGGTCCTCGATCTGCTGGGATTTGTGTCCTCAGTTCATGCCTCCACC
The DNA here is from genome assembly GCF_000001405.40 of Homo sapiens. NCBI lineage: Eukaryota > Metazoa > Chordata > Mammalia > Primates > Hominidae > Homo > Homo sapiens. Next base: position 2,795,553 of record NW_018654717.1, read on the forward strand.
TGTGCTGCACGTCACAGCCTGCAATGCTGCCGGTTACCCTGCCGTCCCCACCAGAGGTCGAGCTCCCTAAGACAGCCACCGGGCACTGCCTGTCTTTGTGTTTCCCAGCACAAAGAAAAGAACTGAACACTTATTCTGATTCAATAACAGGAAGAATAAGTGAATGAATGAATGAGTGAGTGAGGGCATTTTAAAGCCAAGGGTGTTTCTGCCTCACAAGCTCATTGTCTTAGAAGAAAAGAAGGCAAATAAGGAGATCAGTAAGAAGTCCTGTGTGCCCGATTGCTTCCTGTGCCTTTCAACCTTCAGCCATGAAGCACGACCTTTATTGCTTGTTGAGCACAGACAGCTTTTAAAGGATATCCTTCCACTGCCCTCTCAGAAGGAAGGGGTCTTGGAAAGTGCTCAAAGCTCATCACTTGCAGGACCTTCTGAGTATGCTATGAATAAGAAGATAGTAAGAGAAGGTGGCGGCAACAGGGGATTTCAAAATGTACTGGAAGCCTGGGTCCATGTCAGCTGTTGGGGCAGAAGAATGTTTTAGTGGGAGTAATTGATTTATTCAGTGTCATCTGAATGTGAAAGAAGACAGGATAGCTGAGCAAGCAATCCTCCCTCCAGCTTTCCATGCACTCCTACAGATGTGTTTGTGCTCACGCACACACACGTGCACACACACGCATGCACACACACACCTGCCATGTCTTTTGCATGTACATCAGGTGATTAACACAGGTATCGAATGGAAAGCGACATCTTCAGGAGAAGCTGATACAGTAAAAACCAAGGTAACACATCGCAGGGTAACACAGTTATCATCAAGCATTGTCTCGGGGCAGGCAGGCAGGAGAGGGGAAGGCTGGTTGGGAAACTTCAGGCAATCGGTCTCAGAAGTGGGGAGGCAGAGATTGGGTCCCTGTGCTCCAATTTTCTCCAGTCAACTCAACAAAACGGCATCAGCTGGGAGTGTGCTGGAGTTTGTATCTGTCTTGGAAGTCCCATCAAGGGTCCCAGAAATTCTTGTTGTTTAAGGCACAGCAGCCAACTGCCACCAGGTGATGCTACACCAGAGCCAGGACTAGTACAGGCTTATGAGGCCAGGGACGTGAGGCCAGGCTGCTGACTCCATAGGCTCGGCCCCTTCCTTCATTGACTTGGCCATAACCAGCCTTGCATTTCAGGAGCTGGGAGTTCTAGACCCCCACTTCTGTGTTATGGGGCTCCCTAGGTAATTCTCTGTGGATAGTGATGACTTGGATAGCTAAAATGCCCTGTGGGCCGGGCGCAATGGCTCACACCTGTAATCCCAGCACTTTGGGAAGCCGAGGTGGGTGGATCACCTGAAATCAGGAGTTCAAGACCAATCAGCCTGGCCAACATGGAGAAACCCCGTCTCCACTAAAAATACAAAAATTAGCAGGGCATGGTGGCGCGCACCTGTAGTTCAGCTACTTGGGAGGCTGAGGCAGGAGAATCGATGGAACCTGGGAGGCGGAGGCTGCAGTGAGCTGAGATCACAGCACGGCACTCCAGCCTGAGCAATAGACTGAGACTGTCTCAAAAATTAAAAATAAAAGATAAAAATGACTTATGGGTTATCAGTGCTTCTCTATGCATCATTTCACTACAGAAAGACTGAGAGCCAGGCCGGGAACAGGGCCTTACCACCACCTTGCAGATAAGAAAATTGCAGTTTAGAGAAATGACAGAGCGGGGAGCTGCTGGCTGTGCCTGTGCTGTTTCATGGTCCCAAGCACTCCGTCTTTCTCCAAAGTCAGGGGGAGAGACACAGCTGAAAAGGGGCACTGAGCGTTGGAACCGACGTCAGGAAGCCCCTGCCTGGTACCCTAACATGGCCACTGAACAGCAGGTGGGCTGAGCTCCTGGGGCCTTGTTTCGCATCTTAGAACCAGGGTCTTTTCTTGATGATCTGTGGGGTCTCATCACTGTCACATTTAGCAGGGCTTGGTGAGCCCCTGTGTGACCCCCAGTGTGCTGGACACAGGCTGTACGTGGGCTTAGCCCCGTACCCAGCCCACATCCCAACATGCCGATGCCATCATCCACCCTCTGAAATGCCATCAACTCGGGCCATCCCTACAGGCCACCCCTCCTAGGCTCTTACAACCATCTCCCACCGGGGCACTGGCTCTGCAGCTGTCCCCTCACTCCCACTTCCCACACCAGAGTTTCTGGGATTGGATTACATCACTCTTGCTCAAGCCTCTTCAGTGGCTCTCCGCGGCCATGGCCGCTGCAGGGACCTTTCAGAGGCCTAAAGGACAGGACCCAGCTCCATCCTTCATCTGCCCCCGCCTCCATCCTAGCACTTATTATGATGAGGTGACTATCCGTTTACATCCATCTCCCCCTCTAGACCAGGGTAAGCGAATGTTTTCTGTCAAGGGTCAGGTAGTAAATGCTCCAGGCTCCAGGGGCCACCTAGCCTTGGTTGCATCTATTGAGCTTATGCCTGTATATACAGCAGCACCCACAGACGAGATGCCAGGGAAGAGGCGTGGCTGCGTTCCGATAAGACACACAGTGGGCTTGATCCAACCCCAGCCTCAGTCGGACCCCTGCTTTTGACTTTGATCTCTGGGGCTGGCCATTCCTAGTCTGTCTCCCCCACCACCAGGTCCCCAGCACAGTGCCTGACACACGGGAGATGCTTTAATAAAAGGCTTTTGAGTGGATGTGTGACCAGGAGGGCTGCCTGGAGGGGGGCACGGGAGCCCTGTGGCTGCCCTGCGGATCCAAGTCTGAGGCTTTGGAGCCGTGGGTGCCTCATGCTGCCGGGTCCCACCTTGTGCCTGGGCTTCTGTCCCAACAGCTCCTCGTCTGCTTCCGCAGGAGACTTGCAGGCAGGGGGAATGGCCGGGGCTAAGGTGTTGGCCCAGATTCCTGGCTCACCGTGTCAGGAAGGAAAGGGTCCAAAGTGACCCCAGCCTCAGAGTGAGGGAAACCGTCTCCCAGCTCCCAGGACCCAGTGCAGCCCCGCGGTGCCACAGCCCATCGGATGCAATGCCTGGGCCCAGGGCCCCACCCGTGAGGGCCCAGCAGGGTGGCAGCCACCGGGAGGGTGGGGACAAGCCTCTCCTGGAAGGCTCCAGCCAGCTCTCAGGGAACCTCTGCTTCCCTCCCCCTCCAGGGCTGTGTCTGTCACCTGCCTGGCTGCCCCAGGTCTCCAGGCCTGACCAAGCACAGGGAGACACTGAAGCCCTCGTGCCTGGTCTGGAGTCACTCTGCCACCTTGAGGCGACATCTGGGAACTGCACCCCACTCCAGCCAGGCCCACCTGAGCGCTCGCTGCCTGAGCCCCCTCTCCAAAGCCCGCCCCAGCTCCCTAAGGAAGCCTGTTCATTCTGCAAAGCTCTGGGAATCTCTGTTCTGGAAAGGCCCAGAGATCCCCGAGACACTCTTTCACACGGAGCAGTCCTGTCCTGAGCCTCCTGTCCTCCAGGTCTCTGCTCTCATCCGGGCCTTCCCTGTGACCTGGGGTAGGAAGGAGTCCCTCCTCCGCCCACACTCCTTCTTCCCTGTTCTCCTCTGTGCCTCTCCACCAGTCATGTTCAGTAAAGCTGTGTGTTTACGGTGTCTGTTCCCCTAGAGTGTCGGCTTCTGAGGGCGTGACATGTTGTTCCCTGCTCTTCCCCGTGACTGGAACAGCAACGGCACATAAAAGACTCTCGGCAAATGTTTGATGAGTGAATGAGCAACACCAGATCCGGAACAAGCCACCAAGACTGGGGCGGGGCGGGGCGGGGGGTGGGGGAAGGGGAGAGGGAGGAAGGAAGGGAAGGAAAGAAAAGGAGGAAAAAGGAGTGGGAAGGGAAGGGAAAAGGAGGGACGGGAAGGGGAAGGTGCCAGCTTGGGATTTCGAGCCTGGGTAGTGCCTGCTAACGGGGTTGGCCGGAGCAGCAGAGCACCGGGAGGCCCAGGGATGTGGCGAGGCAGCCGCGGTGTCAGAAAGAGGAAGGCAGGAGGCTGAGGCCGAGGGCCCTGGAATCTCGCACATTCCAGGGTTCAGAAAGATCACGGTGGGGTCCACCTCTGGAGTCCACAAAAGGTAAGTGCGGGGTGGGGATAAGTCTAGAAGCAGCTCTGCAAAACAGTGCAGGCTTCCAGTCCACCGGAAGCTCAAAGAGGAGAGAAAAGACATGGGCTCTCGGGGAGGGAGGGGGCGTTGTTGGAGGCCCGGTCTTTGGGTGAGGGGTGATGCCCCTGTGTCAGAGGCCACCGGCTGGCGCACGCCTGGACCACTACGCTCACCCCTCGGCGGCTCACTCTGGGAAGAGTGTTGCAAGAGAGGTTGTCGAGTGACAAGGGTGGCGGGAATTGCGGAGCTATAAATAGGAGCGGTGACTGCAGTAGCTGAGATGTGTGGTTTGGGGATGTCATGGCTCCGTGAAGCCAGAGCGTGGTCTTCCAGCCTGCCCACTGCCATCTGCTGGGCTACAGCGAGGCTGATGTGGCTCAGCATAGGATTCTGTACTCTTGGTCAAAGCTGAGGGCTGGGTCGGACACCGTGGCTCACACCTGTAATCCCAGCACTTTGAGAGGCTTGAGGTGGGAGGATCATTTGAGCCCAGGAGTACAAGGCCAGCCTGGGAAACATAGGGGGAACTTGTATCTACAAAAAATAATTAGCTAGGTGTGATTGCACACTCCTGTGTGCAATCAGCTACTCAGGAGGTGGAGGTGGGAGGATCACTTGAGCCTGGAAGGGTGAGGCTTCAGTGGTCCTTGATTGGGCCACTGAACTTCTGCCTGAGCAACAGAGTGAGACCCTGTGTTTTTTGTTTGTTTGTTTGTTTTGTTTGTCAAGAGGAGGCAGCAGAGGGCTGCCTGTAGGTGGTGAGTTCTCCATGTGCGACCAGGAGGGCTTCCTGGAGGGGGCAACAGGAGCACCGTGGCTGCCCTGCAGAGCCAAGTCTAAGGCTTTGGAGCTGCCTGAGGCTGGGTTGACAGGGTGTGTGGTCAGTTTTCGGATGCTGGATGCCTTGTTACTGCAGAGGCATTCAAAAGTGCAACTAGCTGCTGGGATTGATGTGAAGAGCATCAAGGGGACTTGATCCTGTTGCAGGGAGGGATTTAGGGGTGAGATAGGGAACTGGCTAGCGCCGAGGGTTATAGGGGTCTGTGGCAACCCTGGGGTCATGCGGCTAAGCTTTGTCTGGGGCTGTTTAGTTCCCTGAGTGTTCAGTGTATGGCAGGCTTTGCTCATGGCTTTTTCTGCATCGTTACAGCCTCAATAGCCTTACTCTGTCCATGCAATGATTCTCATTTTACAGGCAAGGGACCTGGGACATAGAGGCTCACGTTCTTGGGGCTAAGTTTTGAGCCATGGCCAGCTTCATTCTGGAAGCTGGCTCAGCTCAGGGGAGCCTAGTTCCCCTGGGCATAAGTGACACCGAGCCCTGCCTTTGCTCCTTGGACCTCAGATGGGGGCTGTCTTCCTCTCCCCATCTGTGCCCAGCAGCTGCTCACGCAGCATCTGAGCCTCAGGGTAATCTGAGGACAGCGCTCTGGCAAGAGGCTCTGCAGGGAGGGGCCCAGCATTCACACACGCAAGCAAAGAGCAATAAGCCAGGACTAAAGATAGAAGATGCCTCTTACTGGGCCGGTTCTGATGTAAAAATGCAGAACTCAGAATTAAACATGCACTTTGCATTGCAGAGCAACAGTGCCCAATTAAGCTATTCTGGGCTAGGACGCTGAGATGCTTTGTGAGTTTTTACTGCTCAAGACAATGAATAACACATGTCTCTACAGTCTCAATTCAAACGATGATTTACGAGCCACACCGAAAGCTTCATTCCAATCCAATGCATATTCTAATGTGATCCTCTTATACCTTAGAAAGCCTGGGCTTGGTAGCCAGGTGGCCTCTATTTCTTGGTGATTAAAGTCTGGGTCTCGTAGGGAAATGCTTCTGAAGTGTGGAACAGGGACTACTGCTGGTCTGAAAACTGCTTGTTACTGGCCCAAGAAGAGATAAGCATAGAAATGGAGAGTAAATGCTTAGAAACCTTTACAGCAACTTAAAGTTAAGTGGGTTATGTGGTTGACTGTAATAATAAAGTTTGCAGCCTGGGCAACATGGTGAGACCCCATCTCTCCATAAAATAAAATTAGCCAGGCATGATGGTGCACACCTGTGGTCCCAGATACTTAAAAGGCTGAGACAGTAGGATCACTTGAGCCTGGGAGGTTGAGGCTGCAGTGAGTCCTGATTGCACTATTCCCCTCCAGCCTGGGTGATAGAGTGAGACACTCTCGGAAAAAAAAAAAAAAATAGTGTGGGCTTGCATTTTATTTGTTCATTTTCGATTTCATTTTTCGAGTAGTTCAATTTTATGTTTTATGAAAGTATTGGTTTGAAATAAGTTGGAAATTTCGAAGCAAAACCAAAAACCAAAAGCCCTGGTCTTTTTCCTCACAGATGGTCTGAGAAGCACAGGTGCAGGCCACCATGTCCTGTTTGTTGAGGCTGGGTCAACAGAGCACACAGTCAGTTTTCTGTCCCTGTTAAAGTTAATATAAAAATTCTATAAATACATACTTTATCTCCTTTCTTCTCTTAAAATCTATGAGACATAAAGTTAAATAATGTAACAATTATAGTGAGGTATTTTTGGATTTATAACATATGTAGATGTAAATATACGAAAATAATAGCAAAAAAAAGAGGAGGAGGAAATAGGACTACGTAGGAAGAAAGTTTTGATCTCTTACTAGAAATAAGTTAGTCTAAACCAGAAGTTAATTCTAATAAGTTGAGATGTGTATTATAAGTTCTAGTGCAACTACTAAGAAAACAACTCAAAAATATAATTAGCATCATTAAAAAATTAAAATGTTACACTAGAAAATATTGACTTGACACAAAAGGCTATAAAGGAAGGTCAGAGGGACAAAAAGGAAAAGCATCATACAGGAAAACCAACCAAAATGGCATATGTAAATCAAACTATATCAATGATCACATTAAATGTGAGTGGACTAAAAATGCAATTAAAAGACAGAGATTGTCAGACTGGATAAACAAACAAGTTCTATGTGTTGTCTACAGGAAACACATTTAAATTCACATATATAAGTAGGTTAAAAATAAAAAGAAACAGATAAACTATGCAAATGATAATGATGAAAGAGCTGATATGGTGCTAATGATATCAACAAAATAGACTGTAAAACAAAAAATTCATTAGAGATAAAGGGAGACATTTTATAATGACTAAAGGGTCAATGATTCAGAAAGCTATAACAACTGTAAACATACGTGCATCTAACAATAGAACATTCAAATATTGGAAGCAAAAAATGACAATTGAAGGAAGAAAGAGACAATTTAATAACAGAAGTTGGAGACTTAAATCTCATGTTAAATAATGGATAGAACAACTATACAGAAGATTAACAAGGATATAGAGGATTTTGGCAATACTATAAACCAGCTAGACCTAATAAACATCTATAGAACACGCTACCCAATAATAGCAGAATATACTTTTTAAAATACAGTACATAAAATATTCTTTAGGATAGATCATATTCTAAGCCATAAAGCAATTCTCAAATTTTTAAAAGGATTGAAATAATACAAAGTATGTTCTCCAACCTCAGCGGAATTAAATTAGAAATAAATAACAGAAGAATAATTGCAAATATATGAAAATTAAACAGCACACTCTTAAATAATCAATGAGTAAAAAGAGCTTACATGGGAAATTAGAAAATACTTTAAGGTCAATGAGAGTGAAAACATAACACACAAAAACATATGTGATGCACTAAAGCAGCACTGAGATGGAAATGTCTAGCTGTAAATGCTTATATGATGTAGAAACTAAAAGATGTTCATCTCATAAAAGTAAAAATTAGAACAGAGAATACTAGAAACCAGGAAGGATAAGGGAAAGGGGAAGATAGGGACAGATTTGTTAAAGGAAACAAAATGGTGCCGCTGCACTCAGCCTGGGCGACAGAGTGAAGACCTTGGAAAAAAAAAAGAGAGAAAGAAAGAAAGGAAGGAAGGAAGGAAGGATGGAAGGAAGGAAGGAAGGAAGGAAGAAAGAAAGAAGAAAGAAAGAAAGAAAAAGAAATCTGTTGTTCAGGCATGCCTGGCTCTAGGGGCTATAAAAATGTCACCAGGATGTGATGTCTTCATGCTTTGACTTCACTCTCAGGGCAGTCACTTCCGCATGGGGCCCCCAGAAGCTCCGGGCTTACATTCTCCAAGGGTCAGTCCTAGCAGACAGAGAGCTGCTAATCTCAAAGAGCCTGTGCATGTCCCAGGTGAAGTTCTGGGACTTGCCAAGATTGCCAAGCTTGGTTCTTAGGGCCATCCTGAAAGACATCCTGAGGCCCTGGGTTGAGGGCCTCACATTGGTCAGGCCTGGTCCCATGCAACCTCTGGAGTCAGAGGTAGGGTCTACCTGTCCATAAGAAATGGATCTTGAGAAAGGTGACATCAGAAACTTGCAATAAGGAAGAGGGTTCCCCCAAATAAACTGGAGCCACTGGGTGCAGAGCAGACAAAACAGCCACAGACACCTGAGCCTTGATTCTTGATTTCATATCCCTCCAAGAGGTTGTCTTTTTTTTTTTTTTTTTTTTTTGAGACAAAGTTTTGCTTTTGTCACCCAGGCTGGAGTGCAATGGCATGATCTCGACTCACTGCAACCTCCGCCTCCCGGGTTCAAGCGATTCTCCTGCCTTAGCCTCTCAAGTAGCTGGGATTACAGGCACCCGCCACCACACCCAGCTAATTTTTTTTTTGTATTTTTAGTTGAGATGGGGTTTCACCATCTTGGCCAGGCTGGTCTTGAACTCCTGAACTCAGGTGATCCACCTGCCTCAGCCTCCCAAAGTGCTGGGATTAGACATGAGCCACCGTGCCTGTCCAGGTCATCTTTAAGGAGACGTTTGGGCTACTCTCAAATTACCCACCACAAAACTATTGTAAAAACTCACCCTTTATTCTTAAATACAAAACATTAACATCAGCAGTTATCCTTGAGGCCAAAGGTTTTCAAACTTTCCCTTATTGTCTTAGCTTTTTTTTTTTTTTTTTCCCCCCGCATGGTGCTTCTAGGCCAAATGAAATACCTAACAATTGCATTTATTACGTTGTTAAGTTTAAACACCTTAGCAGCAGTGGTCAACTCCATGTCCAACAGACATTGTTGTTTCCCTTGATGTCCAACAGATGTCTCTGTGTGTCTGTTTTGTCCCCACACATCCGCACTGGGGCACCACAGTGCAGTTTACACACTACACTGTGTGACTCTAGGTATGAAAACTCTCTTGGGACACACATGATAATCCTGTAGCCTAACTAATCACAATTGACTGGATAATGTTTAAACTGACAATTTCCATATCATGACAAAACGTTGCTTTCACGGGTGAAACAGGGCCAGGTGCGGTGACTTAATGCCTGTCATCACAGCACTTTGGGAGGCCATGGCAGGAGGACTGCTTGAGCCCAGGAGTTTGAGACCAGCCTGGGCAACATAGTGAAACTCCCATCTCTACAAAAAATTTTAAAAAATGAGCCAGGTGTGGTGATGTGCGCCTGTAGTCCCAGCTATTAGAGAGGCTGGGACTCAGCTATTAGAGAGGCTGAGTTGGGAGGATTGCCTGAGATGTAGGTGGCAGTGAGCTGTGATCATGGCACTGCACTCCAGCCTGGGCGACAGAGTGAGGCCATGTCTCAAAAAAAGAAAAGTGAAACAGCAACATTGCTTCCACCTCATTTTCTAAGAAGCCCCTTCACAGTACAGAAGCTCTTCCCCCATATTAGTCAGGTTTTCCAGAAAAAACAGGAGAGATAGATTAGATAGATAGATAGAGCTGATACAGAGATGAGATATAGATGATATAAATATAGATATAGGTACAGATATGAAGCTGTTTATTATAAGGAATTGGCTCACCTGATTACAGAGACTGGCAAGCTCAAACCTGGGGTGTGGACTGGCAGGCTCGAGATGCAGGAGAGCTGGTGGTGCTGCTCTGGTTTAGAGACTGGCAGGCAGAGCCCCAGAAGAGCTGACAATGCAGATGAAGTCTGAAGGTGGGCGGCTGAGGAATTCCCTCTTGTGTGGGGAGGCCAATCATTTTTGTCCTACTCAGGCCTTCAACGGATTGGATGAGGCTCACCCCATTATGGAGGGCAATCTGCTTCGTCACAGTTTACCAATTTAAACATCAATCTCATCCACAGATCCCCTCCAAGTTGACAGACAAAAGGAACCACCACACTCCCCAGCAGCCTTCACATGAGCAGTACCTTCAACATGCACCCTACCATGTTGGGAGTCCCAGGAGAGTCAGTCAGTCTTGTTCCTGATAACTCCAGCAGAAGTCTTGGTCTTGCTCTTGTGACCTATAAAGCCCACAGCCCATTGCTGCTCCCATCCCTGTGGCCAAAATCAATGTCCTTCTAGGCCAGGCTCGAGTTCTATGCCCACCCCAGCCCCCAGCAAAGGGCCAGCCATCCAGAACTATGCAAATTGGAGAGTGGGTGAAAAGGGAGGGCCCCCACACAGAAGTCAGAGGGCGGTGAGCAGGAAAGTGGAGTGGACAGTGGTGATGTCCTGAGATGGTGAACACTCCAGCTGGCCACCCTCCACTGGGCCTGCCTGAGTCCCAGGTTCTTAGGAGCTTCTGAAAAAATGGCTTCTAGACATTGTAGCTGTAGGACCTCTGGAGGAGTAGGGTTAGAGTGGGAAAAAGGATAACTAGGAAGCTTTTTTTCTTTTTTCTTTTTTTTTGGAGATAGAGTTCACTCTTGATGCCCAGGCCGGAGTGCAGTGGCGTGATCTCCGCTCATTGCAACCTCCACCTCCTGGGTTCAAGCCGTTATCCTGCCTCAGGATCCCGATTGGCTGGGATTACAGGTGCCCGCCACCACACCCGGCTAACTTTTGTATTTTTTAAAGTAGAGACGGGGTTTCACCGTGGTGGCCAGACTGGTCTTGAACTCCTGGCCTTAGGTGATCCACCCATCTCAGCCTCCCAAAGTGCTGGGATTACAGGCATGAGCCACCTCGCCCAACCAGGAAGCTTTTCTTCAGTCTCTTTCTGGAGAACACTCAGCCAGGCTGTAGGTCCCCAGGAAAAGCCCAAGCTTCCATTTAAGGATTTGCATTTCCTGAATTTGCCTTTGCATCTTCGGTGGTGGCCCAGGAAATTCGAATCCAGAGGAAAGAAGCACGCGGCAGCGCTGGGTCTACATGAGGGGAAGACAGGAACACGTTCTCAAGGGACTTCTTGTGAATTGTGGTCCGCCCCACACCAGCCCGTGCAGTTGCATGCTGCAGGGTGGGGGAGTCCTGCCTGGTGCGAGCGGCGGGGGCATCCCACACGCTGGTGGAACACAGCAAGCAACTCGGAGGGGCTGAGCCATGGAGGGAGGTCAGCTGAAAGCAGAGGCGAGAGCCTCTGAACATGAAGGAGAGAGCAAGAGAGGAGCGCCATCAGCTTGGCTCCAGGATGAGCCAGAAGGGAGAACTGGTGACAGCTTGAGAGGCGAGGGAAAGGGGAGCTCAGGCCTGCCTGCCTCAAAAGAGAGAAGGCCCAAGGTAGGGAATGGAAAAAAGGTGATTTTGAAAAGTGGGTGTGTTAGTCCGTTTTCACACAGCTGATAAAGACGTACCTGAGACTGGGTAATTTATAAAGAAAAAGAGGTTTATGGACTCACAGTTCCATGTAGCTGGAGACGCCTCACAATCATGGTGGAAGGCAAAAGGCACATCTTACATGGCAGCAGGCAAGAGAGAACAAGGGCCAAGCGAAAAGGGAAACCTCTTATAAAACCATCAGATCTCGTGAGACTTACTCACTACCATGAGAACAGTATGGGGAAACCTCTGCATGACTCAATTATCTCCCAGTGGGTCCCTCCCACAACACGTGGGAATTATGGGAGCTATAATTCAAGATGAGATTTGAGTGGGGACATAGCCAAACCATATCAGTGGGGTCCTCAGGAAACATGCTCCATAGAAGGGTTACAGTAAGCTGTTGTCTTTAAGGTAGGGTGAGCATAAGCACATCGTTCGTTTTTATGGACAGGAGTAATGTAAAACACCATGTGAAGGCTGCCTGGGCAGCGTGGTGGTTCATCTCATATGTCAACTTGGAGGGTATCTTTGGATGAGATTGACATTTAAATTGATAACTTTTGAATCAACAGATTGCCCATCATAATGTGGGTGGGCCTTGTCCAATCCACTGAAGGCCTGCGTAGAACTAAGAGACTAACTTCCTAGAACAACAGGGAATTCTTTGTTCTCATCACCGCTGAGAAGCCCTCTTGAGGGTAATGGCCACAGACAACAGTCACTGCCTTCACCTTTCAGCCCCTGGACTCAGCCACGCCTGAAGTCATCATGCCAGCCCTGGATATTTGTTTGTTGGCTTTTTTTTTTTTTCTGTTATATGTATCCATAAATGCCTCATTTTGGCTGAATTCAGTCAGAATTAGGTGACTGTCACCTAGAATGGAAAAAGTCCTGACTAATCCACAGACCCAAAGTGCAGTCCCCAAACCAGGGACCCAGGGTGACTCTCTGGTCCTCCGGGTCCCAGCCTCAATTTCCATCCTTGAGCCCTGAGCTGCAGACAGAGCCTCTGCTGGAGACGCACTTGCATGCACCCTCCCTCGGTTGAAAGAATAGCCTCTATTTTATTATCAGTACAAAATAGCTCTGAACAACACATGGGACAGGGGACAGAGCAGGAGCCAGGATCTGGGGCTGCCTGGCTCTGGGACTCCCGAGACTGGGGAGCCCATAGGTTTCTGTTTGACAGAAGTCCTCCTTTTCTCTGCATTGAAGGGCCTGCCCTCTAGCTGGGTCACTTTCTCGATCCAGAGGTTGTAGTTCACCAACGAGGTGTATATCCCTGGGGTGTTCTTCTCTCCACAGCTCTTTCCCCAGCTGATGATGCCCACCTGGTACCACTTCTCACCAGGCTCTGGGGTGCAGACCAGAGGCCCCCCACTGTCACCCTTTGGGCAGAGAACACAGCTCAGCAGGGAGTCCGGTTCTAAGCTGCCCATCTGAGGCTGGGCACAGCTCATTCATGGAAGATTCCTCAGCCTCCCCAACTCTGGCTGCCAACCCACCCCATCCCTGCTCCACGGGAGAAGCATGTGGCTGCCAGGTTGGCTCTGGAGGTTGTAGGGGTGTAGAGCGTTGGGGGTGGGGTGCTGTGGATGAGACAGGACTGAAGATGGGGAAGGAAGGGGGAGGACTTGGTAAGAAAAGACCACTCCATCTGCAGCACAGAGAGATGCAGGCCAAGGGATGAGTGGAGACTTGTTTTGAGGGTCTTATCAAATGAGAGGCTCTTATCAAATGAGAGGCTCTGGAAAGGGCAGGAAAGGGAATGGGACATGTGAAGTGTTGCAGGGCTAAGAACTGGGTCTCCTTTGTGTTCTTGCAGAAGCACAGAGAGAAGGACATTCCTTTTTAATTCAGCCACGCTTTTCAGAATGTATGACCCTTCCAGGATGGAATCACATGGTCTGTGACTCGCATAGTTATCCATTTATGTTGAGCTTCTGAACCAAGTCCCTGCCATGCCCCACGTCTACATAAATCAAACAAATGCCCCACATCCTTCCGTCCACCTTCACACAAGGCAAATGAGCCTGCAGGAGGAGAAAGGGCTTGCTGAGGGTTCTATGGTAGACTGGCTGGGATTGGAACCCAGGATTTTCTTTTTATTAATTTTAAATTAATTATTATGGGTACATAATAGTTTTGTATGTTTATGAGGTACACGTTTTGATATAGGCATACAATGTGCAGTAATTAAATCAGGGTAATTGGGGTATCCATCCCCTCAAGCGTTTATCATTTCTTTGTATTAAGAACGTTTCAATTCCACTCTTCCAGTTAATTTTGAAATATACACTTGTTGTCTATAATCACTTTATTGTGCTACCAAATACCAGACTTTATTCATTCTAACTAACTGTGTTTTCGTGCTCCTTAACTGGAGTCCCTACCTGCTTTCCTCCCCAGCCTCTGGTAACCATCATTCTTTATCTCCATGAGTTTTTTTTTAAGCTTCCATTTATAAGTGAGAATATGAATTGTCTTTCTGTACCTGGCTTATTTTACTTAATGTAATGTCCTCCAGTTCTATACATGCTGTTGTAAAGGACAGGATTTCATTTTTTATGGCTGAATAATATTCCGTCGTGTATACTGCCTAATTTTCTTTATCAATTCATCCATTCGTGGAAACTTAGGTTGGTTCCAAATCTTGGCTATTGTGAATAGTGCTCCTATAAAAATGCAAGTGCAGATGTCTCTTCGATATACTGATTTCCTTTCTTTTGGACGTATACCCAGAAGTGGGGTTGCTGGATCATATGGTAGTTCTATTTTTAATTTTTTTAGTACCCTCCATCCTGTAACCCAAGATTTTCTTATTTTCTTTTTCAACTTTTATTTTACGTTCATAGGGTACATGAGCAGATTTGTTATGTGAGTAAATTGCATGCCACTGGGGTTTGGTGTACAAATGATTTAATCACCCAGGTAGTAAGCAGAGTATCTGATGGGTAGTAAAAAACTACCTTACTTACCCTCTTCATACCCTCTACCTTTAAGTAGGTCCTGGTGTCTATTGTTCCCCTCTTTGTGTCCATGTGTATTCAACATTTAGTTCCAACTTATAAGTGAGAACATGCGATATTTGGTTTTCTGTTCCTGCACTAATTCACTTAGAATAATGGCCTCTAGCTGCATCCAAGTTGCTGCAAAGGATATGATTTTGTTTTTTTTTTGTGGCTTCGTAGTATTCCACAGTGTACGTGTATCACAATTTCTTTATCCAGTTCACCATCGATGGACATCTAGTTTGATTCCATGTCTTTGCTACTGTGAATAGCGCTGTGATGAACATATGCATGCATGTGTCTTCTTGGTAGAATAATTTATATTCCTTTGGGTCTGTACCAGTATTGAGATTGCTGGGTTTAATGGTAGTTGTGTTTTAAGTTCTCTGAGAAATCTACGAACTGCTTTTTACAGTGGCTGAACTAATAATTTACATTCCCACCAGAAGTGTAGAAGCATTCTCTTTTCTCTGCAACCTCACCAACATTTGTTATTTTCTGACTTTAATAACAGCCATTCTGACTGGTATGGGATGATATCTCATTGTGGCTTTGATTTGCATTTCTCTAATAATTAGTGATATTGAGCTTTATTTTTTTTTCATATGCTTGTTGGCTGCATGTATGTCTTCTTTTGAGAAGTGTCTGTTCATGTCCTCTGCCTTTTGAGACAGAGTCTCGCTCTGTCACCCAGGCTTGAGTGCAGTGGCAGCAGTCTGGGCTCACTGCAAGCTCCGCCTCCTGGGTTCACGCCGTTCTCCTGCCTCAGCCCCCCGAGTAGCTGGGACTACAGGTACCCACCACCACGCCCGGCTAATTTTTTGTATTTTCAGTAGAGACGGGGTTTCACCGTGTTAGCCAGGATGGTCTTGATCTCCTGACCTCGTGATCCGCCGGTCTTGGCGTCCCACAGTGCTGGGATTAGAGGCGTGAACCACCGCTCCCGGCCCCTCTGCCCATTTTTTAATGAGGTTGTTTAGTTTTTGCTTGTTGAGTTGTTTAAGTTCCTTATAAATTGTGAATATTAGACCTTTGTCAGATGCATAGTTTGCAAATATTTTCTCCCATTGTGTAGGTTGTCTGTTTACTCTGTTAATAGTTTCCTTAGCTGTGCAGATGCTCTTTAGTTTAATTGGGCCAACGTTTTATTTTGTTGCAATTGCTTTTGGAGACTGCCTCATGAAATCTTTGCTAAGGCCTATGTCAAGAATGGTGGTTTGTAGTGTGACTTTCTTTTAGTGTTTTCACAGTTTTGGGTTTTATATTTAAGTCTTTTATCCAACTCGCATTGATTTCAGTTGATGGTGAAAGGAAAGGGTCCAGTTTCAATCTTCTGCATATGGCTAGCCAGTTATCCCAACACCATTTATCGAAAAGGAAGTCCTTTCCCCATTGCTTGTTATTGTTGACTTTGATGAAGATCAGATGGTTGTAGGTGTACAGCTTTATTTCTGGGTTCTCTAACCTATTTCATTGGTCTATGTGTCAGTTTTTGTATCAGCACCATGCTGTTTTGGTTACCATAGCCCTGTAGTATAGTTTGAAGTTGGATAGCATGATGCCTCCAGCTTTGTTCTTTTTGCTTAGGATTGCCTTGGCTACTTGGGCTCTTTTCTGGTTTCATATGAATTTTAAAATAATTTTTTTCTAATTCTGTGAATAATGTCATTGGTAGTTTGATAGGGATAGTATTGAATCTGTAAATTGTTTTGGGTAGTATGGCCATTTTAATGATATTGATTCTTCCTATCCATGAGCATGGAATGTCTTTCATTTGTTTATCTTGTCTCAGATTTCTTTCAGTAATGTTTTGTAATTCTTATTGTAGAGATCTTTCACCTCCCTGATTGTCTGTATTCCTAGATATTTTATTCTTTTGGCGGATATTGTGAATGGGATTGCATTTTTGATTTGGCTCTCAGCTTGTGTGTTGTCTGGTGTATATAAATGTCACAAATTTTTGTACATTGATTTTGTATCCCGAAACTTTGCTGAAGTTGCTTATCAGCTCTAGGAGACTTTGGGCAGAGACTATGGGGTTTTCCAGGTATAGAACCATATCATTTGCAAAGAGGGATAGTTTGACATCTTCTCTTCTTATTTGGATGCCTTTCATTTCTTTTTCTTGCCTGATTGCTCTGGCTAAGACTTCTAGTACTATGTTGAATAGGAGTGATGAAAGAGGGCATCATTGTGTTGTTCTGGTCCTGAGAGGGAGGCTTCCAGCTTTTGCTCATTCAGTATAATGTTGGCTGTGGGTTTGTCATAGAGGGCTCTTATTATTTTGAGGTATGTGTAACCTAAGATTTGCTGATGCCAAAGTCCATGCCCTCTCTACCTTTGTTATATTACTCTCTTACCAAAGGAGCTGAGCAGCTACAACCTTGCAAGCAGTCTTCAGTGGAGAGATGATGTCTCATTCCATGATCCTTGAGAGGTGACTAGAGTAAATGGAGTATTATAACAAACTCTAATCAGGGAGGACAGTTAATGTTTTCTGGTCAAGATGTGTGTAGTGCGTTCTTGCATCGCTATAAAGAAATACCTGAGGATCTCCAGCCAGGCCACTTTCTCTTCACCTTTCAGAGCCTTTTTGTTTTTATTTTACAAGATACTATCCCGTGCTTTTAGTTGTACTTAGTAGGAGGGGCTGGGAGAATTGTGTTTACTCCGTCTTGTCTGGAACCAGAAGTCTCAATTCTGTGTGCATGTTTTTTTGTTTTTTTTGTTTTGGTAATATTTTAAATTGCCCAGAAAGTGAAGAAAATACAAGGTTCATGTGTCTTTTTGGTCCCCACAGTATTCACCACATGGGGGGCTCCTAAACCTAGTGCTATGCTGCCAGGGTCTACTTCTTACCTCAGAATGCCTTCTCCTTTCTCTTTTCCCTTTCTGCCTCCAACCCCTGTTCCAGTACCCACCTCTCAAGGCTCTCATAGCCTATCAGGGAAAACTACCAATTTTCTCACATTAAACCATAACAGATAGATAAATATCTTTCTTTTCCGTGGGGCAGCCTCTCCATCACTGTTCAGAATATTTATCATCTTCATTTGTGGTTTTATACCAACGACAAGGTCCACTGCCTGGCCAATGAGCAGGTCCCTAGTCTTCAGCTGAGACTAAGCAGGTTCATCAGGGTGGCCACTTTTAAGATGAAGGGAGCACCTCTGAGCATTAAAGACAAATGTCATCATTCATCCTTTGAGCCAGAGGAAATTTATGATTTTTTTTCTATTTTTCTGGCTATCAATAATTTTTTAGAAAGAACGTGTATTCATTTTATTAAAGAGAGGCAAAGAGACCAGTCTTTGGTTCAGTGAAACCCACATGCAACACCCAATATTTTATCATTGTTTGTTTATCCACTGCCTGTCCAGGAAACTGTAGGGTCCCTTAGGTAAGGAACCATATCTCATTTATGGGTCTCTAGGGCCTTGTATGCTCAACAAAGGTTTCTAAGTTAATGAACTAAAATGACTTCTTATATAGATACCAAATCCTCCTTGGATTTTTAAAAAGAATTCCCAGAAATGAGAAAAGCCTGGCGTCCTTTTTACCTAGTGTACCTGAAGAAGATCAGAAATAGTTAAGCAGGGTTGCAGCATATTGACTCCCAGGGTGCTCACTCACAGCTCCAGAGGATCTGAAATCCACATACTCATTCTCATGGCTGCAGGCCCTAATTCCCATACATTTTCCAGACTCAGAATTGTCTATTTGCAGCAGAGAGAGAATACCCTTGCACTGGCAGTTCCCAGAGGGTGAGGACCTATAAGGTGAGGGAGGGTACCCCCTAGTTACCTTGCAGGCATCATAGCTCTCATTCTTGTATCCGGCACACAGCATATTTTTGGTAAGTTTTGGAAACATCTTTGAACACTCCTCCCAGTCCATGATGACCATTGGCGCTTTCATCAGATCCGTTTTCACAGAGTTTTTGTCAGCTGGCCCAGAGAGAAAGCGCATTAGAGAAGCCACTGGGCCTCATGTCCCCACGTTCGTGATGCAGCTGACTGTGCCCTCGGCCCTGTGTCCCCCAGCCCCCATCCCCTTCCTTCACAGGCTCTGCAGCCCCTCACTTCCTTCAGGTTACCCCATGCCTGCAACTTACCCACTCCCCCAACAACTCCCACAGCTACTGGAACTATTCTTCTCATTCAAAACCAAATTTCTACTCCCAAGAAGACTTCCAACTTGACCCCAGTCAGCCCCACAGACTCAGCTTCTTGGAACTGGCTACTGACTGTTTCTCAGCATAATCCTGCCACATCAATACATTTGCCTATTGTGACATTTTATTACATGAGGATGGCATTTCCTTCACACAGGGCCTTGGAAAGTGGGTTTGCACTCCCGGTGAAAAAACTTTAGGTCCTCAGCAAGGGCAGGTTGGCAGAGTGTTTTGAGATGGGATTAGAGGGGATTTGCAGAGGCCCTTTCTGGGCCGCCAGATGCCGGGAATTCACCTGAATTCCTCTCCATCTCATTAACTCTGACCACAAAGAGATTTCACATTTCTTCCCCTGATTGAAGATTTTTAAACTTGTGCATGCCCATGTGCCTCCTCTCCTTCTTCTACCTTTCCAGGAGTGCCTGGAGCCCAGAACTAAGGTCCCACCGCTTCCCCCTCTGGTTGCTAAACTCCTGAAACACCCACGGTTGTCCAGGCCCAGGCTCGCTGCAAATCATCCCTGTGGATCGAGAGCCTCCTTCAGGCTGACGCAATGCTTTGCTGTTCTCATCCCCTCCCCTCCCCTATCTATTTGCTTTTGGTTTTGTTGGGTTTTTTTGGGGGACAGTCCAGCGGGCCCTTCGTCATATTTTTCTGTCCCAGTAGAGTTTCTTCTATTTTGGCCAAGTAACAGCATAACAACAAGTAACAACAGATTCATTTCTAAGAAGAGCCAGGCAACGCTCCAGGACCGTCAGAGCCTAGCCCAGGGTGGGAATCTCCAATGCCTGGAGGAGCCAGGTAGGAAACATACCCGTGGGAATCAGGGAAGATGTTTATGAATACAGAGTAGAGGGGCCTCTGGCTAACTGCAGAGTTTAAATTCAATTAAACACACAAACCACACTGCTCTGTGCTAGCTGGATCAGACTGCACTAGGGGACTGGCTCAGACCTGGTGTCTCACCTTGGGGTTTCGGCACCCAAAAGGAGCTAAACTTTGGGCACTGTGAGACTCCACTGAGCGGGAATCTGCTCCAATGCAAGTCTTGTCCTCACTCCTTCCTTAGCTTCCTCCCCTCTCCTTCACATTGCAGTGGCTTTTTCCCCAGGGGAAGCTGAGCAGTCACATACCAGCATTGGTCTGGCCCCAACCTGCCACCCAGCATTCGCGCCATGTGGCAGGGCCGGGCTGCGTGGGGAGGCAGATGGGCACCTTCAGGTCATCGAGCTTGATGGGCGAAGCCAGCAGCAGCAAGGCAATGTCATTGTCCATGTTGGCTCTCTTAAAGTCTTTGTGAAGAATGATGCTGGCGACCTCCTTTATTTCCATGGATGGGCTAGTTAAGTCGTTGGTCCCCAGCACGACACTCAGTTCTTCTGGACTGGTGGCAGAGAACCAGAGAGGGGCAAGTGGAAGGGGAAGGGAAGTCTCAAAAGTGGCAGAATTGGCTGTGCCCAGAAACCTAAATCCCATGTAGCTCTAGGACCTTTAAACCCTACTGGGGCTGTTGATCAGAAGGTGTGAGGATTGGAAAAAGGTAGGAAAAAACAAAACAAAACAAAACAGAATAGCTGGTGTGCAGACCACAGCCAGACCACTGCACCATCAGGGGCCCCAGGGATATGAATGAGGTGCTTCTGTCTAATACAGCAAAGGCCGAGCTGGGTTTAGAGCACTCTACAGAGCCCACAAAAAGCCACTTGGCACGGATCAAACTGACCTTCAGATAGATAAGGCATTCATTATTATATCTGTTTTGTATCAACTGGTCTACCAGCACTTTAGAAACTCAGGACCAGAAGTTAGTCTAGACCTGCCACTGACCAAGCAGACAGGATCTTCAGTAATAAGCCCACATTCCGAACCCCAGAGGATATTTGATATCCCACGACAGCGGGTGCCACAAAGGTCTGTGGTTATGCCATGAAGAAACTGTCCCCGGGTTTTTGATTAACCTTCTAAAATCAGTGTGTGTGTCTTCAAACTTCCTTGAGCTGGTGTGGCAGAAAGCACAAGTGCTAGAGCCAGAATTTGAATTCTGTCTCTATATACTAGATGGGTACTGTGGGTGAGCAGCCTCAGTGTATTGGACATCAGTTTCCTTATCTATAAACGAGGGCTATTCATTCTACCTGCTTCAGGGGTCACTGTGTGATTAAATGAGTTAATAGAGGAAAGTTTATTTTTCTTTTTTTGAGATGGAGTTTCGCTCTGTCGCCCAGGCGGGAGTGCCAGTGGTGCGATCTTGGCTCACTGCAACATCTGCCTCCTGGGTTCAAGCAACTCTCCTGTCTCAGCCTCCTGAACAGCTGGGACTACAGGCGCACGCCACCGCGCCCAGCTAATTTTTGTATTTTTAGTATAGATGGGGTTTCACCATATTGGCCAGGCCAGTCTCGAACTCCTGACCACCGAACTCCTGATCCACCTGCCTCAGCCTCCCGAAGTGCTGGGATGACAGGCGTGAGCCACCGCACCCGGCCAATAGGGGAAAGTTTCTTAGCAGGGTCCCCAGCACATAGTTAGTCCTTGGTGATGCCAGGCATCCATCCACATGCTGTCACACAGAGAACGCTCTACAAGGAGCAGGAGAGTAGGGGGTCAGGTGGCCCAGGAAGTCAGGCTTCCAGAATTACAAGGATTTCCCCCTAGATGGACTTGAATGCCCTAGGAGAGGCATTTGGACCAAGCCGCTTGGCTCCATCAAGCCACAGGTGTTCCGGGAGAGGGTAGGTGTGACCTCAGGGAGGTTGTAGTCACTGGCTCTGGTGATGTGAGGAGGACACAGCCTCAGGCTGGCTACCTCCACGTCCCCACAGGCTGGGGGGTGGGTGGATGGGTGGGAGCCATTCATGCCGACTGGATACCGAGCAGTCGCAGGTTCCTCTCAGCCACCAGGTGTGGGTGAGGGGGAGGGTGCCCCAGGGGTGGGCGCCCTGAGAGGTGGCAGTGGGAGGCCCATGGTACTTACAACAGCTCCTCGGAATATAAGCAGTGAGCCGCAGTGAGAATCCACCACTTGTTGAGGATGGAGCCGCCACAGAAAGGTTCACTTCTTGCCTGAATACTCACCTGCCACGGAAACTCACCCACCTCCGCCTCCATCCCCCCTGTGATTCTGGAATACCGAGTTCTTCCCTCGAAAATAGATCTGTCACCACATTCTGGTGGAAAGAAAGAGAGTGGAAAGGAAAAGGGGAAACACTTAGTCAGCATCCAGTGTGAGCTGGGGACCGGGCTGGGAGGAGCAGGCTTCCAAGTGGATATCCTCATCCCCATTCTAGAGAGGAGCTCACTGAGGCTGCCGAGCGGGGCAGCCCTTGTGACATCAGCCGGCAGATGGTTTATTTTGTCTACACAGAGCTCAGCAACAGATAGAGTCAGAAGCATTGGCTCTGACTCTATCCAGCATTTGTGACCTCAGGAGAGTCACTTCACTGAGCTTGTTTCTGCTCTCGTCCAGGAGAAATCGGAAGAAAACAGTGTCCAAGGCTAACCCCCCGTGGTGGGCAGGACAATAGCCCCCAAAGAGGTCCAAGTTCCAATGGGCCATGTCCCCAGAACCTGCGAATATTTTAGCTTGCAAGGAAAGGGGGGCTTTGGAGATGGAATTTGGGTTGCTAAGCACTGCCCTCAGAGTGGGAACGTGATGCTGGCTTTTCTGAGGGGCCAGTGGAATCACTGAGGCCCTTGAGAGGGGTGGAGGGAAGCAGGAAGTCAGGCAGAGGGAGAAGTGACTGCAGAGGAAAGGCAAAGAGACGCAACATAGCTGGCTTTGAAGATGAAGGCAGGGGCCCAGAAAAGTTTCTAGAAGCTGGAAGTGGAAAGGCAAATAATTTTCCCCTAGAGCGTCCAGTAGGAACGCAGACCTGCTGCACCCTGAATTCAGCCCCAGAAGGCCTTTGCTGGAGCTCTGTCCCACAGTACTGTAGGATAAGACATTTGTGTTGTTTAAGCCGCCAGGTGTGTGGTCATTCATTTCAGCAGCCCTAAGAAACCACAAGGGGTGGGGCATAGAAAGTGCCAGAATCTACCGGAAAGCCCTGGCTGTTGTAGGCTAGTCAAGGCTGAGCAGCTCCTTTACTTAGGGGACTGAGAGCAAAGCTGTAGTGCCTGTGCTGAGGCAGGAAATGCCCCTTCCGGACAGAGGCCGGGTCCAGCTCCTCGCCCCAGGAAGAGGAGATGCTCCGTGAATATTTGCTGACTTGACTGTCTGCCTTGTGTTCTGGAACAAGGCATGAGTTTGACTCTAAAAAGCCCAAGACCCTAATCTTGTCTCTTTCTTGCTGCTTATTTTCCAACCATCAGCTCAACAGAAGCTGTGAGTGTTTTGTTGTTTGGGTGACCCTGTGGTGGTCATTTTTGGTTTAAAAAAATACGGGAGTGAGAACTTAGCAATGTGCATCCAGAGCCTTCTGCTCTCAGCAATGCATAAAGGCTCTCTTCGGGACTTTTTTTTTTTTTTTTTTTGAGAGACGAAGTCTTGCTCTATCGCCCAGGCTGGAGTGCAGTGGCACCATCTCGGCTCACTGCAACCTCTGCCTCCCAGGTTCAAGCAATCCTCCTGCCTCCTGCCTCAGCTTCCCAAGTAGCTGGGACTACAGTTTTTGTATTTTTTAGTAGAGACAGGGTTTCACTGTATGTTGGTCAGGCTGGTCTAGAGCTCCTAACCTCAGATGATCTGCCCGCCTCGGCCTCCCAAAGTGCTGGGATTACAGGCGTGAGCCACCATGCCCGGCCTATTCGGTACTTGTGGATCCACACTTCCTCTCTGATTTTATTTACATATGATGCTTACTGTGCGTCAGGCACTGTTGCAAGCACTTTGCAAGCACCGATTCACTTGGTTATCATAACTGCCCTATTGAGGTAGGCCCTCTTATTTTCATCCTCACTTTGTAATTGAGACAACTGACGTACAGAGAGGTTAAGTAGTTTGCCCAGCGTCACACAACTAGTCAGTGACTGAACTATGATATGAGCCCCAGGCCGGCTGGCAACAGAGCTGGTGCTCTCACCACTGCGCCATGTGGCTCTCTGCCTGAAATATTCTTCCCCAGGCAGCTACCTGGCTCACTTCCTCCCTACGCCCAAGAATCCCTTCTTCAGAGTGGCCTTCCCTGACCTGTGTCTATAACAGCCCCTCCCATCCTGGTGACTCCTTATTTCCTACCCTGCTTTATATTTCTTCATTGCATCCTCGTTACATCAACTCCTACATTATCAGTCCCTTTTGCCTGACTCTGGTACCAGAATGTAAGCTCCAGATGGAGAGGGCAACATGCTTGTGGGCTTATTCCCTGATTGAATGACTCCACTCCGGGTGTCTGGAAGGCAGCACATGTGTGCATCTGATGATGTTCACTGCAGCGATCTCTATCATCATGACAAATTGAAAACAAGCTAAACGCTAGGGGTGACTAAAGTAAGCCACATCCATATCATCAACTACTTCTCAGCCACAAAGTTAGGCTCATGGGGCATTTTTAACAACACAGGAAAATGTTTGTGACATTAAATTGAGTGAAAAAGTCAGGATGAAAATCATATTTAAAACTTGTGATTTTATTACGTTGAGAATGTGGGTTTATAAGTATGGAAGGAAGTACATGAACATGCCGAGTGTGTATGAGCTGGGTTGGATGGTGGGCAGCTATGATGGGCGCCCTCTGTCTCTCTGTCTGAGATGCAGAACATGGCACGTGCTCAGGGTAGGCTCTGGGCCAGACAGCCCAAGCTTGAATCCAGGCTCTGTTGCTTATTCACGAAACGATTTAGGGAAAGCTACTTATCGTTGGGTACCCACCCCCCTTTCTTCATTCCTAAAATAAGCATAAGATAATGCCAACTTTATAAGACTGATGTGTGGATGAAATGAGAGGATGGATGTTGAAGCGACCAACAAGTGCTTGCACCAAAGTCAGCTCTCCAGAATGAACTGGCAGAAGTTCTCATATCCATTTTGCATCAATGGGATCCATCCCCCACATTCTTGGTCCTGAGATCAACCCACAACATCTGTATGGAATCGTGTTGACTTTCAGGTTCATGCCAGAGCTGAGAGCCTGGAAGCAGTGATGGAAGCAGAAACGGCTGCTTCTAAGTGATCTGAGCGATCACGCATTAGAGGAGCATATTCTGCTGATGCTCTCCCCTCATGCCTCCCACCCCTTGTTCACACAGAGTGCAGTGGACCCTAGGCTGGACTGAAGGAGGCCAGGTGAACCTGCTGTGTTCTGGGCAAGAAGTGGTGTGCACAGGGCATGCAGCCTGGCGCTGCGGTCACCCAGCGCAGGCCAGGCAGACAGCTCTATCATTTCCCCCTGGGGCAACTTTGGGCAAATCCTCTTCCTCAGGCTTTGAGTTCCTCATCCACACGTTGTCTGAGAGCAGATGCCCCACCGTGGTGGTGTGGGCGTTAAACATGGGGAAATGCTCGACCCCTAGCAGTTGCTAGGTACCCCAGCATCCCTGAAGTCTTGACCACCCCCTTGGAGAAGAAATGAGCCATCAGGGAGCTCTGGGGGGCTGGGCACAAGGACAGAAGCACCCTTGCACTTGGCCTGACTGAGCTAGGCATCCCTGGGTGTCTGTGGCTCCTGGAAGCCTGGTGCTGATGGGAGCCACAGAGGCCCAGGGTAGTGGTCCCCCTCCAAGTGGGAGGACTCAGTCTCAGCTAGTTCTAGGCAAGAGCTTCAGGGCAGCCTGCTATTCCTCTGAGGATAAAGTGTCAGGTTTCAAAACCAAAACTCAGGGTTAGACAAGTCAAACACTGGGCCAGGGGAGAGAGGAGAGAAAGGACAAGTGGTTTGGAGAAGGGGAATGTGGGGACCCCTGGAGCTCTGGCCTTGTGCTCTGCGATCCACCCTCCTGGCAGCCAGTCAGCTGGACCATGAGCCCCCATCCATGCCCCTTCTGCCCCTGTACTCACCACTGACTGGGCTGGGGGCATGACGGGGCTGAGGGCGGTGGGCTCCCCTAGCCCTGCCTAGGATAGCCACTCCAGCCTCTGGGAGAGGAGTCCGTGGACCGAGCTGAGTTCCCGTGACCAGGGACAGGAGCAGCAACACTGAGAACAGGAGCATGGCCCTGGGCTGTGCTGTGGGCCCGGGGGTGACAGAGGCCAGGGCTGAGGCAGTGAGGCTGAGAGCCTCCAGCTCAGATCCAGAGCCCCCAAGTGATGTCACCATGGGCTGTGGAGCCAAGAACTCAGACTGTAGCCACGAAGACTTCTTTTCTGGCTGCTTTGTTTCCGGGACGGCTGCACAGAGGCACCTCATCTCAGAGCCTTTCTTATCCCAGGTTCCCTTCTCTCTGACCTGGGCACCACCCAGCTTCCTGAGTGTTGCTGATAAAGCCATACCTGAGACTGGGTAACTTATAAAGAAAAAGAGGTTTAATGGACTCACAGTTCCAGGTTGCTGGGGAGGCCTCACAATCATGGTGGAGGGCAAAAGGCATGTCTTCCATGTCGGCAGATAAGAGAGAATGAGAGCCATGTGAAATGGGAAGCCCCTTATAAAACCATCAGATCTTGTGAGACTGATTCACTACCAAGAGAGCAGTATGCGGGAAACTGCCCCCAAAATTCAAGCATCTCCTACCGGGTCCTTCCCACAACGCGTGGGAATTATGGGAGCTACAATTCAAGATGAGATTAGGGTGGGGACACAGCCAAACCAAATCATTGAGCCCTTGGTGGGCACAATGATGCTGTCAGCCATTGTCACCCCCAAACATTTTTTGAGGCTTCTCTGTGAATGTGGGAGTAAGATATGGGGGAAGGGCTTCCAGCCTGGACCCTCGGGAATGGGGTGGGGCCCGGGGACGCCTGGAGGCCTCTGCCAGCACCAGCACCCTGTGGGGTACAGCTGCCCGCTTAGTTCTCTGCTCAGGACTCTGACCCAGGGCCTCAGGTGTGGCCGCACAGGTCAGGTTGAGAGGTTCTGGCTTCCCCTCGTGCCCAGCATGGCGGGTCCCAATCCTCCTCCTACCACCTTCTAGATGGATCCCACGTGGCCCCAAGTCTCCTGATGGGCCCCTGTGCATTCAAGATGAAATGACCAGCCTCGGATGGAGGTTGCTGGTGTGTGCCCTCCCTGGATGTCAGTGACTCAGTCACGGGCTTTGGACCTTGTGTATTTTTAAAACTTCCACACCCCTCAGCGCGCTGACCCAAGTGGACTTACCCAAGCAGCCTGGGCACTGCCTTCCTGGCCACAGGCTGAGCCTCGTGGTTGGAAGTGACTTATGGGCTCAATCGCCAAAGTGCCTGCGTGTCTACCTGCCCAGTCTTACCTCCTCGGTTTTCTCATCTGCAACAGAGAAACACGATGCTCACTGGCGTGCAGGTTACTGTGAGGCTTAAAGTGAGATCACATGACTGTCGAGGTGGTCTCTCATGGGTGTAGCTCGAGCTACTGCCCAGGGAGGAGATTCCAGGACTTCTCTGCTCTTTCTCCCAAGGCAGCTCCCTGGCGAAGGTTGCTCCTCACTGCTCAGGCATCCCTTCCGAGGCTGAGCCACAGCCTGTTGAGTGGCCCTGGGTGGTGCCCTCCCCACCTGCTCTAAACCATGCCTCACCCGTCTTTTCAACAGGGGATGCCTGGCCCTGATGGAGGCCAGGACTTCCTGACTGGCATGTGGGACAGGAGCCCACAGCACACCCAGGCACCTGGCCCTGGTCTCACCACTTAGTCTCACTCCTTGGCCCTCAGGGTGGCTAATAGGGAGCTCCCTGGCTTTCCTCTTCCCCTCCTTTGGGCTCAGGTCCCCACTGGACCTGCTACTCATGCATCTGCTATATGCCAGTGCTTTCTCCTTCGCTCAGTTTCTATTGGTTCTGGGGGTAGGGTGTGGAGGGGAGGAGGAGTCTGGGCTCCAGGTCTGATGAGGGAATGGAAGATGACAGCTAATCTCACAGATGGAGAGACAGGGGGCACGGGCATATCCACTGCAAACTGCTGCTCATTTTCAATAGAAGTATCTGAACAAAATCATCCATCACCTCCAGAAAGATTGATTTCCTGCTGAAGACCACACTGTAGAGTCTACATCCCTCCCAAGAACATGACTTAGGTCTATTCTTGTGAAATACTCATTCACTGTCCACCATTGCTTTGCAAATCTTCACAGCGATGCTGGGTTGCACCATGTCCCATCTTCTGGATGGAGACATCCCAGCCTCACATGCTGAGCTCTGCACAACTCCAGAGAGCGCCATCCCCCATAGACCACAATGGGAAAGTCTCTCCCTTGGACTGGGCAAACTAGGGGGTCCCGGGTGAGGAGAGCAATGCCAGTGCTCTAGAAGGAATTTGATGAAATTCAAAGAGGAAAGGAGGCACATGATGATATAGGTCGGATATGGGTGGTGTGGGGACTGTTGCCTGGCTGATGCCCGAGAGGCCCCTGGGTAGCATTGCCTTGGGGACTTTACCAAAGTCTTGGCCAGTGGTTCTCTGACTGTCTTAGACTGTTTGTGTTGCTATGACAGAATACCACAGATTGGGTAATTGTTTTTTTTTTTTTTTTCTTTGAGATGGAGTCTCACTCTGTCACTCAGGCTGGAGTGCAGTGGTATGATCCTGGCTTACTGCTACCTCCACCTCCCGGTTCAAGCGATTCTCGTGCCTCAGCCTCCTGAGTACCTGGGATTATAGGTGCACACCACCATGCCCGGTTAATTTTTGTATTTTTAGTAGAGACAGGGTTTCACCATGTTGGCCAGGCTGGTCCTGAATTCCTGACCTCAGGTGGTCTGCCCTCCTTGACCTCCCAAAGTGCTGGAATTACAGGCGTGAGCCACCACTCCTGGCCAGATTGGGTAATTTATAAAGAATGCAAATTTATTCTTTCACAGTTCTGGAGGCTAGGAAGTCCAAGATCAAGGTGCCAGCAGGTTTGGTCTCTGGTTCCAAAATGGTGCCATATTTCTATGTCTTGTGGGGAAGAGGAATGTTGTGTCTTCAAGTTCTTCAGAGGAACAGAAGAGAGTGAACCCACTCCAGCAAGCCCTTTGTATAGTGGTGTTAATCTATTCATGAGGACAGAGCTTTCATCACCCAAACGCTTCCCAAAGGCCTCACCCCTCGACGCTGTTGCATTGGGGATTAAGTTTCCAATGCGTAACTTTTGGAGGAGACACATTCAAACTGTGGTCCTGACTTCGATGTGCAGCCTAGGGAGCTTGTTCAGTGCAGATAAGGGTTGCCAGATTCAGCAAATAAAAATACAGGATGCCTTGTCAAATTTGAATTTGAGATAAACAAATATTTTTAGTATAAATATACTCCATACTGTTTTTAGGACATATTCATCCTAAAATAATTTGCTGTTTATTTGAAATTCAAACATAACTCATGTCCTATATTTTATCTGTCAACTCTAGTACGTGTTTACAGGCTTAGTCCTTCAGATCCTGATCCAGTGGGATGGGGCGGGCCGGGGGTGGGGGAGAGGTCTGAGCATTTGTAACAGCACAGCTTCTTCCAGATGAATCCAATGCAGATCATCTCTGGACATCTTTGAGAAGCATCAGTTAGGCCTCCTGTAGAGAGCTTTGCTGGGATCCCTGGGGTCTAACTCACACTTGGGAAATCTGGAGGTGAGAGAATGGTTCTGGGAGGGATGCTGCTGGGTAGGGACTGTCCTGAACCCACAGTTTTTCCTTGGAATCAGTGTGTGCTGCACAGAGAGAGAAATGCCTGAATTTCCCATGAGGCTTCCTGGAGGGGGCAAGGAAATCTGTTAGAAAGAGTCTGGGGTGTATCACCAGGTGCACACGGGATGACAAAGAGCAGAAAGCAGCACGCTACAGAGAGAGCCCCACCCTGGCCTGGGGACCTCAGGAGAAAGCCACCCAGCAGGGAACCATGGAAGAGCCCGTGAAGATACCACCGAAGAGCCAGTCTTCAATGTCTGCCAGGCCCAAGGAACAGTGAGCTGATGTGTGGGCTCACCTGGACCTGTGCCTTCCCCTAAACTTTCACCTGCTGGGGGCAGGTGAGCAGAGTGGGAGGTGAGAAAGGAACCTTGTTCCTAACTGGGCCCAGGTCTGGAGGAGGCTGAGCACTGAGTCAGATTCTGTGTCGAGAATGTGACAAGGACGAGGGTATTCTAGTACATAAATCACCCTGAATTTGGAACCAGGTGACCGCAGGACTATTACCTAAGAATAATCAGAAAAGCTCCAAGTCTAAGTTTTATCTGGACAGAACATATCATGCCCTCTGAATGGCTTTTTTGTTTTTTATTTTTATTTTTTTGAGACAGAATCTCGCTTTGTCCCCCTAGGCTGGAGTGCAGTGGCGTGATCTCAGCTCACTGCAACCTTCATCTCCTGGGTCCAAGCGATTCTCCTGCCTCAGCCTCCCAAGTAGCTGGCACTACAGGTGCCCACCACCATGTCTGGCTAATTTTTGTATTTTTAGTAGAGACCGGGTTTTACCATGTTGGCCAGGCTGGTCTGAAACTCCTGACCTCAGATGATCCACCCGCCTCATCCTCCCAAAGTGCTGGGATTACAGGGTGTGAGCCACGGCGCCCAGCCTCTGAATGGCTTTTAACAGGACCGTGGGAGACAACGAGCTGTGTTTTGATCACAAGCTACGTCGCAGTGCCCATTCCACTCCTCAGTGCCTTTGCTGCAGTGTTTTCCTTCCAGGCTGGTGGGAAAGGTCTGGCTGAAGCCTCACGATTCCTCCATGTACAGCAGTTTGCTGAACAGCATGTGTGGAAACCTACAAAATCACACAAGCATGGGCAAGTCCCCTGACACAGGCAGGCAGATGTCTGGAACAATGGCCACACTCTACCTCCTCCCCCTCCCCAGCTCTCATGTCGGTCTTGGCCGATGGGTCACAACTGAGCCAAAAACTGGCCTTGGAATCTCTTCCAATGTAGCAGTTTGGGCATCTATCACCCGGTGAGCAGATGAAACCCGCTGCCATTGTTGGACTAGGACCTTACAGACATATAAGGACCTCACAGGGATGAGGGATCTCCAGCAGAGATGAAGGTCAGAGGCTTTGGGAGGATGCTTCTTGTGTCCTCTCTGATATTTACACGGGCACTTGGTGTTCCTAGAAGCTGTTCTTCTATTTAGATTGCGTGCATTGTTTAGGAGGTGGTCTGACTGTTGCTTTAGAGAGTGGGTTCTGGAATCAGTCGTACCTTGCTTCTAATCCTGCTTCTGCCATCTCCACAAGGGGCTGTGGACAGGTTATCTAGCCTCGCAGAGCTTCACTTTCCTTATCACTACATGGGGGATAAGAATAGGCTGACCTCCGCAGTCACAGTGACGACAGCATAGTAAGGCATCCATAACTAGTTTGCTGTGATGATGGCGTTGATGTTCTGCAGCCCAGGTTACAACTTTAACCACCAAGTTGGCATTTTCAGCCAGTGATAGATCACAGCCATAGACTTGGCTCAGGCACATGAGATCTCAGAGGCCATTCCCATCTAACCCTGTCTGATTCCAAGTGAGTCAATGGGGTGTCGGAGGGGCCGGGTGTTGATTGGTTCTGATGCTTTCCTGAGTGCTGATGGGTTTGCATTTCAGAACAATCCCAAGAACCAGACGAAGTCAGCCCCTGCCTCATTTCATGGAGAAGGATACAGCCAGCACCACAGGTCACTGAGCGTCACACCTGGATTCCAGTGCAGGTTGCCAGTCTCAGAGGCCATGCTGCCGTCGCGTGTGCTTTTATACACAATCCTGTTGAATGCTCACATGATTTTCCTTAATCCTCTCAAAAAACCCACGAGGGGGAAGGAGACTCAGACTTTAAATGACTTGGTCAAGAGAATGCAACTCATCAGGGTGAAGCCAGGACCACAACACCTCAGGGTCAACCCCTAGCTTGAGTGGGAGGTAAGGCCTTCTCTTCTCAGGGCCAGCCATGCATGCATGCATTCATTCATTCCGACTATTTATAAGTGCCTAGTATGTTCCAAGCATCATTCTGAAAACTGGAGATAAGGGAGTACATATAAAGGAAAAAGCTCTCACCCTCATCCAGGTTATAGTCTAGTGAGACAGACAGAAAGTAAATACTGAAGGCATAGATGATGTCAGAGGGTGATAACTGCTAGGGAAAAAAATGAAGCAGAGAAGGGCATGGGGAGGGCAGGCTGGGAGGCGCGCGTGCTGTTTTCTGCAGGATGATCGGGCAGGTCTCACTGACAGGGCGACTGGGAAGACACCTGAAGGAAGGCGGGAGTGAGCCTTGGAGATAACTGGGGGGACTTCTGGATAACTTGTGAGCCTTGTAGATAGCTGCTGTTCCAGGCAGCAGGCACTTTATTCATTTCTTCTTTGAATGACAAAGACTGTGGTTGTAAATGAGAAGAGATGGGGAGGAGGCTGTAGGTAAGTCACTGACAGGGAGGGGATTGGGGAGCTGTTTATTTTGAAGGATTTAAGGTGGCATGACTAAAGCACCTTCAAAGGCTGATGAGAAGGATGTGGAAGAGTAGGAGAAGGGGACGATGAGGGAGGGTGCACATAACCAATGGTATCAGATCCCTGAGGCTGTGGGAGGAGCAGAGGGGAGGGATTATCTGTAATCAGAGGCACCTCTCCTTGGAGCGTTCTTGGCCCATTTTCCGTTTTCCACAGCAACTCCCTCTCCTGGGTTTCCTCCAGCTCTTCTGGCAATTGCCAGCTTCCTTTTCCAGCTCTGCCTCCTCTGTGTGGATGCTGAGGGTCCTTCAGGGTCCAGCCTGGGCTCTCTGTGCTCCTCTGTGCAGATGCTCTCCCTGGGCGACCTCACCCATCTCCGGACTTCAATAGGTTGACGACTCCCCAGCTTATCCTTCCACCCTAGACTTTCAGATTGGGCTTGTGGCTGCCTGGTCATCCTGCCGAGCCCATCAACCATGGTGCCTCTCCGCTCCGCCTTGTTGCCTGTGTTTCTCTCCAGGTCCACCATGTCTTTCCTACTTTAGGCCCCTGTCATGTCCCATCTGTATGACTGGAGCCACTTCCTATGTGATACTCTCTTCTAGTTTCATCCACTCCAAAGTATTTTTTTTTTTTGACAGGATTTTGTTCTGTTGGCCAGGCTGGAGCAGTGGAGCAATGACAGCTCACTGCTGCTTCGACCTCCTGGGCTCAAGCATCCTCTTGCCTCGGCCTCCGGAGTAGCTGGAACCACACGCACGCACCACCATGCCTGGCTATTTTTTATTTTTATTTTTTTTTAGTAGAGATCGGTCATCTTTTAATGCAAATGTTACCACATGACCCTCTTTAATTCTATCGCTTCCTCCCCAGCTGACCTCATGGGTAAGATCCAAATGTCTTAACAAGGCGTTTCAGGCTTTCTGTAACGTGGTTCCAGAGAACATAAAAAATCACCCAAAGACCTAGAGCTATTTAACACCAAGGCAGACAAGGAGTAAAAGCATAGCGTCAAAGGTGGGAGGGGAGCAGGCCGACAGCCGCTCACCCAGCCTGGCCCTTCCAGGGTGCCCCGTTAGCGCCTGCTGCAGAGGGGACGCGAGACAGGGAAGGACTGGACATGCGGACTCTGCTCACCCAGGCTGACCTGCATCCCCTGCCCCTCCCTGAGCCCAGGGCTCAATGTGAAGTCACTAGTCCCACTCTGCCCTGCATTGTGATGCCCCTGCCAGAAACCACTGTGGCTGGCATGTTGTCAGCTCTGGCTGGAGGCAAAGTTTTGGCAATTTTGGACTGGAATTGACAAGAAGATGTTCCAGCTTCTAATTCCCCTGCTTTTGGCACTCAAGGGA
This sequence comes from Homo sapiens, assembly GCF_000001405.40. Taxonomy (NCBI): domain Eukaryota; kingdom Metazoa; phylum Chordata; class Mammalia; order Primates; family Hominidae; genus Homo; species Homo sapiens. The sequence continues at coordinate 2,829,137 of NW_018654717.1, forward strand.
CATGCCCAGGACAATCCAGGTCTGTGCCAGGCCCGCTAGGAGCAGAGGTTGGGGGAAGGGATGCCACCTCTTACCTGGCTCCTGGAGAGTTGACTTAGAGGCCCCAGGGATGCTGAGTTAGGGCCAGTGACTCAGGAAATGAAGAGATTATAGTTGACCAATCCAAGTCCATGTATTGGTTCTGCAAAGATGCTGTCTAAAATGATTCCCCAGGGTCTGGACCCAGAGTTCTGGAAGCTCAGGGGAATTGGAGGAATGATTTAGCAACTGACTTTGCTTCTCATCTCCACCTTCCTCTTTGTAAAATCATTAACAATCTTTCCAGGCCCAACACCCTGGGGGAGGCAGCAAAGTAGTGGTGGAGTAAGACCTTATTTAATTTAGAATGCCGGTATTAGATTATATAATCTCATAACATGGAGAACATGATAGGGCTATTATGTGGAGTAAATGAGTTAATGCAGAATTTGTTCTGCAAAGCCTCAGTCCTGGGAAAAGCTCCGGAGGGAAAAGTTCTATGTTAGACATGATTTGGAAATGTTCCATTTGATAATTTTTCTGTAGTATCACTGTGGATAACCATATATAAAAGGCTCTGATATATTTTACAGTAAAGAAAGTGGCCTAAGTTTAATTTTATTGAATCTCGCATTTTTGAGATGTATCCATCCATAAGATCACTCTTGCCCCAACTCCCAGCCTGATTCAGAACATTTTATATTTATTCTTCTGAGAATTACCTGTTCCTAGAGTTTTCCCATTTTTCTTATCTGGGTGAGCTTTTAAAGTTGATTTGTAGGACCGTTTTGAATTTTAATGACATCAGAGCTTTGTCTCTTATAATTGCTGCAAAATCTTCCTAATTCTTCAGTTCTCTTGCAATTTTATTTTGGACGAAACAAATTTAAAACGTGTGTAAAAAACTTGTCGGTATTTTCACTTATGATTCTTGGCTTTTATTTCATGTTTTTGGAAGGGCTTTTTCATCCCAAGAATATAAATCCAGCATATTGGACAGCATAGAGTGAGCTCTGAAGTAAGATTGTGTTCTAATTATATTTCCTCCATGTACCTGCTATGTGACCTTAGGATGAGTTACTTAACGTTTCTGCATTTCAGTTTCCTCATCTGCAAAATGGCTGTATTAAGGTTGTTGTGAAAATGAGTTTTGCACAAAGCTCTGAGAACTGTGCTTGAAACTTTGTACATACTCAAAATTCGTTAGCTTTTATTATTCTAGAGCTTTCGTGACTTCACTTCTTAAATTAATTTTTCTGCATTCTGGATTAGTAAAGATATTTTCCTATGTTATTCTCTAGACGTTTCATACTTTCATCTTTTACATTTAGATTTTGAATCCATTTGGTATCAATTTTCATATACAATAAAAGGATCAGGATGAATTTTTTTCCACCTGGATATCCTACTGACCCAGCTCATCTGGGAACATTTGTTTCCCAGCTGCCACTTTTGTCAAAAATCAGGTCTAATTATATCTATCAGGCTGTTTGTAGACGCTGCTTATTTCATTGGCATATTTATTGATCTCTGTGTCGCACCACACAGTCTGAATTCACACAGTTTTATAAAAGTCATTAACGGCCTATGCGCGGTGGTTCATGCCTGTAATCCCAGCATTTTGGGAGGCCGAGGTGGGTGGATCATGAGGTCAGGAGTTCGAGACCAGCCTGGCCAACTTGGTGAAACCCTGTCTCTAATAAAAATACCAAAAAAAAAAAGAAAAAAAAAGCCAGGCGTGGTGGCAGGCGACTGTAATCCCAGCTACTCAGAAGGCTGAGACGGGAGAATTGCTTGAAGCCAGGAGGTGGAGGTTGCAGTGAGCCGTGATCATGCCACTGCACTCCATCTGGGCGACAGAGTAAGACTCTATCACAAAAAACAAAAACAAAAAATCAACAACACTGCACCAGTGCTTGCTGCTTCACCTGTGCCCCCCTCTGCCCATCACATCCAAGGTGCTCAAGCTGTTATGTGCCATGTCGGTGAAGCTTCTGGGCCGTGTGTTGTTATTGCCTGGTATATTGCAGCAGCTCTTGAGGAGATGAAATATTATTCCATGTGTACACTTGTAGCCCAGTTTACTTGTGAAGTGCCCATACTCCTAGGGTGCAGACCATGAAGCTCCTAAACAAAGCCACAGGAACTTAGGCCCCTCCCCATCGACTGGTCCTAGAGTTACAAACTGCCAAGTTGCCCCCAGGGCATTCCTATTGCCTGGCTCACCTCTTTGGATTTCCTTCTTTTGCTATAAACTGGCCCAGTAACTCTTCATTAACTTAACTCTCTAGTGCTTTCGAGCAAGGGATGTTACATATTTTACACTTTGTAGTTATTCTCAGCAACAAGGTTGTCCAAATTTCATATTCCATCTATTTTGGTTTTAATTTTTCTTTTCTTTTTCTTTTTTTTTTTTTTGAGATGGAGTCTCGCTCTGTCTCCCAGGCTGCAGTGCCGTGGCATGATCTTGGCTCACTGCAACCTCCGCCTCCTGGTTCAAGCGATTCTCCTGCCTCAACCTCCTGAGTATCTGGGATTACAGGAGCCTGCCACCATGCCCAGCTAATTTTCCTATTTTCAGTAGAGTTGGGGTTTCACCATGTTGGCCAGGCTGGTCTCGAATTCCTGACCTCAAGTGATCTGCCCACTTCCGCCTCCCAAAGTCCTGGGAATACAGGGTTGAGCCACTGTGCCCGGTCTAATTTTTCAATTCTGTTATTACCCCTTATTTTTTCTCTGTTCCTGCCAGCTCCTTTTTATTTTATTCTTTCCGCTTATGAGCTCCTGTTTTATAGTGTTTCATCTTTTCTTCAACATCCTTGCATAAAACAGCTCTAAGCTATTTTTTCCCCTGATACTAGCCAAACAAATGTATTATTCATGTGTATGTTGTACATTTTGTTTCTTTTTTTGTAATAGTTTTGCAAGATTTTCCTATTTTTCAGCTTGTTTGTTTTTAACTCGGGGCCAGTTCTAGGAGATCTGCCTTTTGGTCCACATGATCTAGATAGAAACCCACTGCTGTCTTTCCCTTCTGACATGAGCCTAGTCATGATCTTCTCTCTGTACCTGGAGGGCTGTATGCTGGCAATTTATCATCCTGTTCAGCCTGCCTGGGGACAGTGGCGAGGGAGTTGGGGTCAGGATCAGTCACAATCCAGGAATACATTATTGGAATACTTTCTCTCAAAAGGGGGCCAGGAAAGGAGTGAAGTTCTATCAGCTTGGATGGAATCTTTTCATGTGTAGGGGTATCCTTGGATTTTAGGAGGTTCTTCCCTCCTTGTGATGATTTTCTTGAAACTCAAAGCCTTTTTAATTTCCTGAGCCAGATACATATTTTTCTCTGCAAACATGGCTCTAGTACCGCCTGGGAAACTTAGTTGCCTCCTCATGATGCCCCCAGCCTTGTAGAAGCCGTGTCAAGGTTGGGAGGGGAGGCATCATACAGGCAGAGTGTTCACTCCAGCCTGTCCCAACAGAGGTCAAGTGGCTTCCAAGGAGAGCTCCCTGTCCTTTCACTGTCTGCCTAGCCACAGGCTTTTGTCCTCTGAGCTGTAGGTAGTGGTGGGACTCTGTGGACTTTTCTTCATGTTGTTCCCAGGCCTCTGCATTTCAAGGAACTCTAGAATAGCAATGCTACATGTCTATGTGTATTTTCTGGGTCTCCTTTCATCCTGGTAAAATTATAATGAAAACATACAAAGTTTGCAGCAAGAGTTTGGTTCTTCTAATTTCAACACAGATGCTTTTTTTTTTCTTTCATAAAAATGCATTTTGGCCTGGCGCGGTGACTCACGCCTGTAATCCCAGCACTTTGGGAGGCCGAGGCAGGTGGATCACCTAAGGTCAGGAGATTGAGACCAGCCTGACCAACGTGGTGAAACCCTGTCTCTACTAAAAATATAAAAAGTTAGCTGGGCGCAGTGGTGGGCACCTGTAATCCCAGCTACTTGGGAGGCTGAGGCAGGAGAATTGCTTGGACCTGGGAGGTGGAGGTTGCAGTGAGCCGAGATCGCACCATTTGCACCCCAGCCTGGGCAACAAGAGCTGAACTCAGTCTCAAAAAAAAAAAAAATTAAAATATATTTGGTTAATTTCAGTATACACCTAGGATAGATGTATATGTATATTGTGTGCATGATGTATTTATAAGCCATCTTTCCTCAAATGTCACTGTAAAGTTATTTTACAATTCAAAGAAAAGATTATATATTAAAACTCAAACTACAGACCCAATTTTATTTTAAAACAACTGAGGCATATTGAAAATATCTAAATATATTAATAAAGGGTCCAAATCATCAAAAAGAATGGTGGTGGAACTATGGCCAAATATGGCCAATATCTTTTCATAAGGGCCATAGTGTAGAGAATGTATGTCAGGGCCTGGAAACTATTTTCCTGGTTCATCCATGGAAAATGTCCAGATGGTGGAAATCCTTGGTGGAAAAATCTCCAAGGTTTTGCTATGCATAAGGCAAAAAAGTGATGATTTCCCATGGGGGCTAGCGAAAATAAAGCATATAAAATGTAAGTTAGAATGGGGAGCTTGCTTCTTTCAGCTGTGTCCAGAGAGGCAACCCTAAAACGTGAGTCTAGCGTTACAGTGGCCAGAAGGAGCAACGGCACGTGAGTAGGCAGAACTGTGCACTAAAGGCAGTATAGTGTTGTATTAGTCCATTCTCACATTGCTATGAAGAAGTCCCTGAGGCTGGACTGAGACTGGGTGATTTATAGGAAAGGAGGTTTCATGATTCAGTACACTGCACAGGAAGCAACGTGGCATCTGTTTCTGGGGAGGCCTCAAGAAGCTTCCAATTATGGCAGAAAGCAAAAGGGAAACAGGCACTTCACATGGCCAGAGCAGGAGCAAGAGGGAGAGAAGGGGAAGGTGCTACACACTTTTAAACAACAAGATCTCGCGAGAACTCACTATCGCGAGAACACAACCAAGGGGATGATGGTAAACCACTCGCGAGAAATCCACCCCATGATCAAATCCGCTCCCTTCAGGCCCCACCTCCAACTCTGGTACTACAGTTCAACACGAGATTTGAGTGGGGACACAGATCCAAACTACAAGTGTCGTGCTCAATTCCAGTGACTCTAGAACCAGACTGCCTGGCTTCTGTTCTGGGTTCCAGCACTTACTAACAGTATGCTCCCGAGGAAATTGCCTGCCTCTCTGGGCCTCCGTTACTTCTGTGAAATAGATTTAATAATAGAATCCATCTTATAAGTGAAGATTAAAGGAGTTAATATGTATAAGATCAAGAACATAGCACAGTGCCTGGTCTACAATAGGTATTAGCTGTTACTATTGTAATGTCCTGCCCTGTAGGATCCTTGAGGAAGGGGCTGGGCCTCATTGACAGATGGTCTTTGTGGAAGGAATAGCATTGAACTAGGATTGAGAAGACCTGGGTTTGAAGCTCACATTTGCCACTAAGATAATATACAACCTTATGCCTGGTTGATTTTCAGTAAATATTTCTGAGATGAATAGATGAGTGAGTGAATAATGAATAATTAATAGCTCTTTGTTGCTACCCAGATTCAACCAGTTCCTGAGAGAGAATCAAGGTTTCCAAGGTTTTGTGCCAGCAGAACTAAGACTTTCTGATTCAATCCTCTAAACGAGTTGTTCTGAGCACAGTTTGAAGATCTAAAAAGCTTAAAATTGGGATAAATAGAAAGTGAAAATTATGGGTGGTAAACCTCTGTGAGTAATGACTCCAAAAGGCTGCATAAGCTGAAATTATAAAGTGCTCAAAACATTCAGGAAATGTATAGCTTTTTTGTTCACTCATTTATTCAATAAACATTTACTGAAACTTAACATATTCAAAGACTGTTAAATGTTAGCAACACAAAGAGGGCACAGTGTGATTTACAGCCTCAAGACATTTATAGTCTAGTCACGGAGACAGACATGTCAACAGATAATTAATACAACATGGTGCGTGCCCTGTTGACATGTTTTCGAGATGCTTTGGGGTCTCAGAGGGGCTGAATGTTGAGTTGACCACAAGTGGCCAATGATTTAATCAATCATGACTATGTCAAAAAGTCTCCACAAAACCCCCAAAGGCAAGAATTTGGAGCCATTCCAGGTTGTTGAACACGGGGAAGGTGGTGTGCCCAGAGAGGGCATGGAAGCACCACGTCCCTTCCCCCATACCTTGCCCTGGGCATGTCTTCGTTTGGCTGTTCATCTGCACTATTTAAAATATCCTTTGTAATAAATGAGCAACAGTAAGTAAATGGTTTTTCCTGTGTTCTGTGAGCTGCTCTAGTGAATCATGAAACCTGAGGATGGGGTTGTGGGAATCCCCAGTTTGTAGTCAAGTCAGAAGTTGTGACCTGGGAACCTACTATTTGTGATTGTCATCTGAAGTGGGGGGTTTGAAGCGTGAGACTGAGCCCGTACCTTGTGGGGTCTGCGCTAACTCTGGTTTCTATCAGATTGAGTTGAATTGTAGGAGGCCCAGCTGGGGCCCCATGGAAAATTGCTTAGTGTGGGGAAAACACCCAACCATCTGGCATCAGAAACGAACTATTGAGAGTGGGGGCGTATAGAGTAGGAGGAAACAGTTTGTTTTTTCCTACCCTCTGAGCAATGTGACTTTGTCTTGTTTGTGGATGTGGGAAGGGACTGTGGAAGGGTTTAAGGAGAAAATCAGCAAGATCACTCCCACATGCTAGCCAGGGAACTGAGTTGGCCGTGTAGGAGGTGGGAGGAGGGGGTCGAGGGATCAGGGCTAACATGAGGGTGAGGAGACTGCCCCACAGTCCCAAGGAGAGATGCCGAGGGGGCTGACGGAGGGAGGGGCACAGGAAGAGGAAGGACAGGGCCCTCCTCTGCGTGTTGGAATGTGGGGGATTATTGGAGATGCAGGGGCTTGAGGAAGAAGTGGCAGCTTCAATGGGGAAGAGAACAGCTCCAGGCCACATAGGCCAAAGCAATCTCTGATTCACGTGGGGTCAACCTGGGGAAACAGGAGGACTGACAACAACCAACTCAGAGTAAATTGCAATATCCTCACAGGGTGGCAAGAGTAAAAAAAGACAGTGCCAGTTTCTGCAAAGTGACATCTTCTAACATAAATATTACTAATTTATTGCCATAAACTTGGTGTCCTGGGCAGTCTGTGTTTACTGAATTTTAAGCATTGTCAGCATTAAACATAAAGTGAATGTTTACTCTCTGTTTAAATGCTGCTAGCCGTTGGGTTTTCCTTAGTGCTGCGACCAAGACTGTTAAAAATTCTACCGCTGCAACCACGCGTTCTTAAACTTGGTGGCTGTGAGTTCTGAGAATTGAACAAACTCTTTGATGAAGAATTTGGGCACTGAATTCAGATTTGGTTTAAATCTTCAATATAAAAACAAACATTTGTCTATTTTTGTATTGGTGGAGCATGATTACCACTCAGTTTCAGTGTAACAACCAAAACTGAAACCAACCAGGCATCTGTAACAGCAGCTATTGCTACACATTCATGCTAAGCTGGGTTTGGAGCTCACCGTGGGCTTGCATCCTCCGTATATATGTGTTCACTTGGGAATATGAGAAACTCTACAGAGATGGGGAGGGAGCAATGCAGAGAGAATGGGGAGAAAATGAGGAGATCAAGAGTGGAACTGTGAGAAGTATGGAAGACCTTTCCTACTCTGATTTAAATTTCAAGTCTGGAATTGCAAAACGTGAAATAAAAATCTGGGGCAAGAGATGGGATGAGAAATATCCACCCTGAATTAACAAGAGATGAGCCCTAAATAAATTCTCCCAATGATGTTAAAGCATTCTAATGCTGCAGAGTGACATCTTCTAGCATAAATATCTACTAATTTATTGTCATAAACTTGGTGTCCTTGGCAACCTATGTTTATTGAATTTACATTCTAATGCTGTAACATCACTAATGCTGCTTCTCTTAAAGAGAAGATTATTAGAGCAAACGATGGCAATCATGACAGATGGACATGGACAGATTCATTCAAAAGAAGTTTCTTCAATAATTTCTTATAAAAGAGAATGACTTTCTGAGCATTTAAACCATAAGAAGAAATGAAAAGGAAAAGATTTAATCAAGCAACAAATTTTAACTTCCAAACATCAAAACAGAAGAAATTGATACATTGGGTGAGCCGAGTGTTATTCACTGAAAAACAGTTTTTTGTTTTTTGTTTTTTTTTTTTTTTTTTTCAGAAAAAGGACTTTCAAATTTCCTTAAAATTTAAATAACTTTTTTACAAAAACAATTGGTAAATATTATACTTAAAATGAACTTTAAGCAAGTTCATAGGTAAAGTCCTAGGAGCACAGAGGTAGAGAAATGACCTTTCAGAGCAGATTCTTGCGGGGAAAAACCAGGTGGGACCGCAAATAAGTATCCTGAAGGAGCCAGGGCAAGATCACATCCCTCAACTTTAAATACAGTCAGGGGGCCAGGCGCGGTGGTTCACGCCTATAATCCCAGCACTTTGGGAGGCCGAGGTGGGCAGATCACGAGGTCAGGAGATTGAGACCATCCTGCCTAACACAGTGAAACCCCTTCTCCATTAAAAGTACAAAAAATTAGCCGGGCGTGGTGGCGGGCGCCTGTAGTCCCAGCTACTCAGGAGGCTGAGGCAGGAGAATGGCGTGAATCCGGGAGGCAGAGCTTGCAGTGAGCCGAGATCACACTACTGCACTCCAGCCTGGGTGACAGAGCGAGACTCTGTCTCAAAAAAAAAGAAAAAAAAAAAGAAAAAAAACAGTCAGGGTATGCATAACAACGTTTGGGGCAATGACAAACTGCATATATGACAGTGGTCGCACAAGACTACAATGGAGCTGAGAAATTCCTGTCCCCTGGTGACGTGGTAGCTGTCACCAGAGCACAACTCATCACTGATGTGTCGTGGTGCTGCTGGTTTTAGCAAACCTCCCATACTGTCAGTTGTATAAAAGTCCAGCATATACAATTATGCACATCAAATAATACTTGATAAAGATAAGCGATTATGGTACTGATTTATGTATTTATTACACTATATATATTTCATAATTTTAGAGTATACTCCTTCTTATTAAAAAATAATTAACTATAAAACAGCCTGAGACAGGTCCTTCGGGAGGTATCCAGAAGGTATTGTTATCATAGGAGATGACAGCTCCATGCATGTTCTTGGCCCTGAAGACCTCCCAGTGGGACAAGAGGTAGAGGTAGAAGACCGTGATGTTGATGATCTTGACCCCTGTGTAGGTCTATGAAGGGCTAATGTGTGTGTGTGTCTTAATTTCTTTAAAAATGTTTAAAAAGTAAAAATTAATTTTTTAAATCTTTTTTTATTATAGTTTAAGTTTTAGGGTACATGTGCACAACATGCAGGTTAGTTACATGTGTATATATGTGCCATGTTGGTGTGCTGCACCCATTAACTCGTCATTTAACATTAGGTATATCTCCTAATGCTATCCCTCCCCCATCCCCCCACCCCACAACAGGCCCCAGAGTGTGATGTTCCCCTTCCTGTGTCCATGTGTTCTCATTGTTCAATTCCCACCTATGAGTGAGAACATGTGGTGTTTGGTTTTTTGTCCTTGTGATAGTTTGCTCAGAATGATAGTTTCCAGCTTCATCCATGTCCCTACAAAGGACATGAACTCATCATTTTTTATGGCTGCATAGTATTCCATGGTGTATATGTGCCACATTTTCTTAATCCTGTCTATCGTTGTTGGACATTTGGGTTGGTTCCAAGTCTTTGCTATTGTGAATAGTGCCGCAATAAACATAGGTGTGCATGTGTCTTTATAGCAGTATGATTTATAGTCCTTTGGGTATATACCCAGTAATGGGATGGCTGGGTCAAATGGTATTTCTAGTTATATAGATCCCTGAGGAATCGCCACACTGACTTCTACAATGGTTGAACTAGTTTACAGTGCCACCAAGAGTGTAAAAGTGTTCCTGTTTCTCCACATCCTCTCCAGCACCTGTTGTTTCCTGACTTTTTAATGATCACCATTCTAACTGGTGTAAGATTGTATCTCATTGTGGTTTTGATTTGCATTTCTCTGATGGCCAGTGATGATGAGCATTTTTTCATGTGTCTTTTGGCTGCATAAATGTCTTCTTTTGAGAAAGGTCTGTTCATATGCTTTACCCACTTTTTGATGTGGTTGTTTGTATTTTATTTCATAAAAATAAGGATATAAAGAAAGAATTTTTTTGTGTGTGTGTGACGGAGTCTCACTGTGGCTGGAGTGCAGTGGTGCAATCTTGGTTCACTGCAACCTCTGCCTCCGGGTTCAAGTAATCTCCTGCCTCAGCCCCCCAAGTAGCTGGGACTATAGGCACGCATCACCATACCCAGCTAATTTTTGTATTTTTAGTAGAGATGGGGTTTCACCATATTGGCCAGGCTGGTCTCGAACTACTGACCTCATGATCTGCCCGCCTCGGCCTCCCAAAGTGCTGGGGTTACAGGCGTGAGCCACCGTGTCCAGCCAGAAAGAAAATATTTTTACAGTGTACAATGTGTATTTTAAGCTATGTTATGACCAAAGAATTTTAAGATATTAAAAACATAAAAGTTTATAGGTAAAAAAAGTTACAGAAGCTAAGATTAATTTATTAATGAAGAAAGAAAAACTATTCTTTATAAATATAATGTAGCCTAAGTGTACAGTGTTTACAAAGTCTACCACCGTGCAGACTCCTGTCCTAGGCCTTCACATTCACTCACTGCTAACTCACTGACTCACCCAGAGCAACTCCAGTCCTGCGAGCTCCATTCATGGTAAAATGCCCTGGACGAGGGCACTATAATATCTTTTATGTCATATTTTTACTGTACCTTCTCTATGTTTAGATACACAAATACCATCGTGTTACAGTTGCCTACAATATTCAGTACAGTAACTTGCTGTATGGTTTTGTAGCCTAGGAGCGATCGGCTATGCCATACAGCCTAGGTGTGAGCAGGCTACACCATCTAGCTGTATGTAAGTTCACTCTATGATGCTTGCCTTTAACCCCACATTTCTCAGAATGTATCCCATTTTTTTTCTCTGCCATATTTGTGTTTATTGTGCAGTATCATTACGTTCAATGCGTAGGAGATACGAAAATATCACCTAGGTTATATTATCCTATAATTTTCTATATATGACTTCATAGATTTCTTCTGACAGAAGCATTTGTTGATGTGGTATTGTACAGAGGGGATAATGTTTGGAAGAAGATAAATTTGTGTTTAAACCCTGATACGTCTTCCAGTTAGCAGTGTAATTTTTCCTGTTCCTTGCAATCTTCAAACCAAAGTTTTCATATTTGTAAGATGGGCTAATAATACTTGTCTCAGTGAATGTTAGTTATCTCTTTTTTGTCCCAAACTCCTCCCTGCCCTCCCTGCCAACCTGGATCAATAGACCTGGTTACTGTTTGAGGATTATTAAGTTTTGAAAACCTCTGTGACAATCACAGATGATCTGCTCCAAGAAAATATCACTTTTTGTTTAACTACATCAACCCTACAAAGGATCATGTATCTCCATACCCACTTTTCAGTGTCAGGAGCCACCATCAGATTTTCATCCTCCTCTGGCTAATAATAGGAATCACCTGACCTTAAAAACTTCCTTCCTGTGAATGCCTCTTATTTTTCTGTGTTAATGGAATTTGGTTTCAAACTTGAAAGACTTGCCTTTCCCTATGATTACTGTTTACTTGTAAACCAGCTGTTCTTATTAAAAAGATATAATATGCCTAAACATATTTAAGAGTCTTATATATTAAATTCATAATCAAGAGATTGCCTTACCTATTGAGAATATGAAAGTTGGAAGGTCTTTTTTTTCATAGGGAGAGGAAGAGGAGAGAGATGGTAACAATATTGACTTTGGACTAAAAAATATGAAATACGTTTATTTGATAGGGATTTCACTGATTAGATGTTATTTGAAATGAAGAATGTTTTCCTGATAAATTCATATTTTGAGGCTGTATTAGTCCATTCTTGCACTGCTATGAAGAAACACCCAGGACTGGTTAATTCATAAAGAAAAGAGGTTTAACTGATTCACAGTTCTGTGTGGCTGGGGAAACCTCAGGAAACTTATAATCATGGTGAAAGGCACCTCTTCACAGGGCAGCAGGAGAGAGAATGAGTGCCACCAGGGGAAATGCCAGATGCTTATGAAACCATCAGATCTTGGGAGAACTCACTCTGATTCAGTTACCTCTTACGGGGTTCCTCCCATGACACGTGGGGATTACGGTATTACAATTCAAGATAAGATTTGGGTGGGTTCACAAAGCCAAACCATATCAGAGGCCAATATAAAATAGCATCTCATCTTTTCACTGTTCAGCTTAATGAAAATTATACATGTTCTCTAAATAATGCCTTACTGAATTTAACATATTTCTACTGAAAATTTCCTCAGGCCATCGATTCACAAATTTTAATGAACAAAGTTGAAATTAAGATTCCTTTGAAAACACTGAATGTAGTCATAATGTCTTGGAGTTTGAAACTTAGGGTCACCAATTTTCATTTATGAATGAAACATTCTCATGTCATAATAGAGATGAGAGTTTTTCAATGAAGAACTAAGTATGTGTTAGTTAATGAAGAATGAGAATTAAAGTATATTTTGTCAGTGTGATTTTTGTCATTACTGAAAGTGTAAACTAACCTTAACTATAAGGGGAGTTACTTGAAAATCAGTAATATTTACATAGTAATTGGTAAGAAGAGAGTTTATGAAATCTGTACTTTTTAGTTGTGTGTTTCTTGTAAAATTCTCCTGTTACCACTTAACTTTTCTCATTACTTGGAAGAACCTTCCACCTTCTTGTGTTTAAAACGTCTTTCTTCTCATGGGGCTTTCTGTCAGCCTTGCCATAATTTAGTTCATTTTAGTAAATGCTTTTTGAGCTTAGTGTTAGACACTGTGCTAACCATGTGGGATATGCATTATATTTAAATCTCAGAGCAGGTAAAGCAATTGAGAATTTTGTTATTAGAAAGTAATCAAGTGCCTAGCAGTTAGTTCCATCATATTGGTGCAACACAGAGTGTTAACAGGCAAATTCTCTTGTCAGTTATTCTTAATCTGATATAGACATTGCCCTTACGATAGATAAAATGTGATTATATATAATAATATAAAGCTATTTTCAAGGAGACAATTCAGATTTGTGAGGAGGGAGATAATCTTTGATAAATGGTGTTTGGAATTTTTCTTTTTATTATTTTATTATTATTATAGTTTAAGTTTTAGGGTACATGTGCACTATGTGCAGGTTTGCTACATACGTATACATGTGCCATGCTGGTGTGCTGCACCCATTAACTCGTCATTTAGCATTAGGTATATCTCCTAATGCTATCCCTCCCCCCTCCCCCCACCCCACAACAGTCCCCGATGTGTGATGTTCCCCTTCCTGTGTCCATGTGTTCTCATTGTTCAATTCCCACCTGTGAGTGAGAACATGTGGTGTTTGGTTTTTTGTCCTGGCGATAGTTTGCTGAGAATGATGGTTTCCATTTTCATCCATGTCCCTACAAAGGACATGAACTCATCATTTTTTATGGCTGCATAGTATTCCATGGTGTATATGTGCCACATTTTCTTAATCCAGTCTATCGTTGTTGGACATTTGGGTTGGTTCCAAGTCTTTGCTATTGTGAATAGTGCCGCAATAAACATACGTGTGCATGTGTCTTTATAGCAGCATGATTTATAATCCTTTGGGTATATACCCAGTAATGGGATGGCTGGGTCAAATGGTATTTCTAGTTCTAGATCCCTGAGGAATCGCCACACTGACTTCCACAATGGTTGAACTCGTGTACAGTCCCACCAACAGTGTAAAAGTGTTCCTATTTCTCCACATCCTCTCCAGCACCTGTTGTTTCCTGACTTTTTAGTGATCGGCATTCTAACTGGTGTGAGATGGTATCTCACTGTGGTTTTGATTTGCATTTCTCTGATGGCCAGTGATGATGAGCATTTTTTCATGTGTGTTTTGGCTGCATAAATGTCTTCTTTTGAGAAGTGTCTGTTCATATCCTTCGCCCACTTTGTGATGGGTTTGTTTGTTTTTTTCTTGTAAATCTGTTTGAGTTCATTGTAGATTCTGGATATTAGCCCTTTGTCAGATGAGTAGGTTGCGAAAATTTTCTCCCATTTTGTAGGTTGCCTGTTCACTCTGATGATAGTTTCTTTTGCTGTGCAGAAGCTCTTGAGTTTAATTAGATCCCATTTGTCAATTTTGGCTTTTGTTGCCATTGCTTATGGTGTTTTAGACATGAAGTCCTTGCCCATGCCTATGTCCTGAATGGTATTGCCTAGGTTTTCTTCTAGGGTTTTTATGGTTTTAGGTCTAACATGTAAGTTTTTAATCCATCTTAATTTTTGTATAAGGTGTAAGGAAGGGATCCAGTTTCAGCTTTCTACATATGGCTAGCCAGTTTTCCCAGCACCATTTATTAAATAGGGAATCCTTTCCCCATTGCTTGTTTTTATCAGGTTTGTCAAAGATCAGATGGTTGTAGATAAGCGGCATTATTTCTGAGGGCTCTGTTCTGTTCCATTGATCTACATCTCTGTTTTGGTACCAGTACGATGCTGTTTTGGTGACTGTAGCCTTGTAGTATAGTTTGAAGTTAGGTAGCGTGATGCCTCCGGCTTTGTTCTTTTGGCTTAGGATTGACTTGGCAATGTGGGCTCTTTTTTGGTTCCATATGAACTTTAAAGTAGTTTTTTCCAATTCTGTGAAGAAAGTCATTGGTAGCTTGATGGGGATGGCATTGAATCTATAAATTACCTTGGGCAGTATGGACATTTTCACGATATTGATTCTTCCTACCCATGAGCATGGAATGTTCTTCCATTTGTTTGTATCCTCTTTTATTTCATTAAGCAGTGGTTTCTAGTTCTCCTTGAAGAGGTCCTTCACGTCCCTTGTAAGTTGGATTCCTAGGTGTTTTATTCTCTTTGAAGCAATTGTGAATGGGAGTTCATTCATGATTTGGCTCTCTGTTTGTCTGTTATTGGTGTATAAGAATGCTTGTGATTTTTGTACATTGATTTTGTATCCTGAGACTTTGCTGAAGTTGCTTATCAGCTTAAGGAGATTTTGGGCTGAGACAATGGGGTTTTCTAGATATACAATCATGTCATCTGCAAACAGGCACAATTTGACTTCCTCTTTTCCTTATTGAATACCCTTTATTTCCTTCTCCTGCCTAATTGCCCTGGCCAGAACTTCCAACACTATTTTTAAGCGACCCATGACTATACCTCCAACTATCCCTGGCCCAGTCAGAGACTCTTTTTTTTTTTTTTTTAAACAGAATCTTGCTGTGTCTCCCAGGCTAGAGTGCAGTGGCGCGATCTCTGCTCACTGCAACCTCTTCCTCCCGGGTTCAAGCAATTCTCCTGCTTCAGTCTCTCAAGTAGCTGGGACTACAGGTGCCCACCACCATGACTGGCTAATTTTTGTATTTTCAGTAGAGATGGGGTTTCACCATGTTGGCCAGGCTGGTCTTGAACTCCTGGCCTCATATGATCTGCCTGCCGGGCATCTCAAAAGTGCTGGGATGACAGGCGTAAGCCACCGCGCCTGGCCCCTCATAGACTCTTCTAGATGGAAGCCCTGTCTCACTCCCCTCCTGTGTGCGGAGGGATCCTCTGGGCTCCCTCTGCTCAAAATCTATCACCATCTCCTCCTAGCTGCCCGTACAATGGTAACAAGTAGCAGAGGTAGTGGACATCTGTGCTGTTCTTGACTCCGTGGGGAGGCTTCCAGCTTTTCCCCAGTCAGCATGCTACTCACTTGCGGGCCAAGATAGATACACTTTATCATGTTAGGGAAATGCTCATCTATTCCTATTTTTATGTGTCATTTAAAATTCAAGAACAATCATTGCCCATATTCTCTAGCTATCATTTTTCTAATTATTTTTACAAAGATTCATGTTAACCTCACTTTTAGACAAGATATTGAAATTTTTAGTACTCCCAAGAATCCCCTCTATCTGCTCCTTTGTACTCACCCCTCCCCGACCCCCAACTCCTGGCAGCCACTGACCTGTTATCCACACCCAGAGTTTTGCCTTGTCCAGAATGCCATATAAATATAACCCTACACAGTATGTGACCTTCTCAGCCTGGGTTCTCTGACTTAGCATAATGCACTTGAGACTTCTCTGTTGTTGCATGCGCCAATAGTTCCTTTTTATTCCTGGGTGGTATTCCACCATGTGGATAGATTACAGTTCTCTTATCCATTCACCCATTGAGGGATATTTGGGTATTTGCAGTTTGGAGGATTGTGAACAATCCCACAATAAATATTCCTGTGTGTCTGCTACAGTGGGTAAAATAAAAACTTCTGATAGTACCGAGTGTTGGCAAGGATGTAAAGATGTAAAGTGATAGGAACTCTTATCCACTGTTTTTTTTTTTTTTTTTTTTTTTTTTTTTTTTTTTTTTGAGACAGAGTCTTAGAGTCTTGCTCTGTCTCCCAGGCTGGAGTGCAGTGGTGTGATCTTGGCTCACTGCAACCTTTGCCTCCTGGGTTCAAGTGATTCTCCTGCCTCCTGCCTCAGCATCCCAAGCAGCTGGGACTACAGGCCCATGCTACCATGCCCAGCTAATTTTTGTATTTTTAGTAGAGACAGGGTTTCACCATGTTAGTCCGCCTTGTCTCAAACTCCTGACCTCAGTTGATCCAACTGCCTCGGCCTCCCAAAGTGCTGGGATTATAGGCGTGAGCCACTGCACCCAGCCGGAGTTCTTATCCATTGTTGATGGGAATGCAAAATGGTGCAGCCATGTGGAAAGCAACTGGGCAGTTTTGTAAAAGGTTGAGCGTGCACTGACCACATGACCTAGCAGTCCCTATCTATCTAGGTATTTATCCCCCCAAAATTAAAAATTACATTCACACAAAAATCTCTCTTTTAAACTCTGCTTTGATTTGCATTGCTTCTCTAATTTACATACTCCTTATCCCTTACTATGCTGTCCAAAGAATTTTCTGTATTTTATTCTTCTGTTTCTAGCCCGACTTCTGCCAGCTCATGCCCCATCTCCTCCTTTTTCTCACTTTCTCCTCGTGTTTTCTTACAAAGTCTTCCTTGAGTTTCTAATTTATAATCTTCTTTCACATAGGTGATTGCTTTATAAGGTTTTATTTTTTATGATTTATGGCAAAATATACTACTCAGATTTTTTTATTTGTTCTGGGTAACATTTTCCTATTTAGAGTTTCATCTAGTAAATGTTGCTGTTTTTTTCCCATCCCTGTTCCTTTAAAAAAGAATACACATTTATTATGCCTGTGCCAAGTCTCTATTTGCTTCTCATTTTCCTGGGCTATTTCCAGGAGTCCTTCCGGGCATGGATACTTGCTGGAGACTGGTGGCCACAGTGACCATGTCCTTTACTCTGCATGTCTTTTTTGCGCCCCAACCCCCTACAGGCCTTCTTTGGATCCCTGTAAACTGGGTTGGCAGTAATGCAGCTGGACCCTGTAAGAAATTTTTCTTCGTAGCAAGCACAACATTAAGCATTCTCAGCAGTAGGTGCTGGAAGGATACTGCAGGTGGAAGGGGCCTTTCTTCCTGGTCCTCTCCAGCATGCTTCTGTTTGCTGCTTCTTGCTCCTATGGCGTGGTTGCCACCAGCATGTGGGGAACACCTGGTGTTGCTCGGCTCTGCCATGCCTCTCTCAGTGAGCTCGAGCCCTGTCTTCTGTTCAGTGACCTGTTCTACAAATGAGCCAAGGATGGCCCTTAGCTTGTCAATTTCTTCACAGCAGGCTTCTCATTAGCTCAAAAGCCTGCTGGTCCCAAACTCAATGTTTTACACATCCAGCTGTTTTTGAACATAGTCTAAATAAACAGATATTTAGCCATCTAAAGCTTGTCTGCTTTGCATACCCTGTGAAACTGCACCCAACATCTGCTAGCCACAGGTAATATGAAGCCTGTGGCTATAAAAGACCCCAAGCCATTGCTGCCCTTGAGAGCTCTCTGACCCAGAGACTCCCCACTGTGCCAGTGAACCACATCACCTAGACGAGTAACCCCCTGTCAGAGTCCTCTTTCCTCAGAAGTCCCCTTGTCCTCTTCCTCTTCTGGATGGTGTCTCCTTAACCTCCAGATAGTCTCAGGCTGTAAAGGGCTTCTTCCCCCACATGCAACCTCCCAAAGCATTTCTCAAATGAAACCTGTGTATGCTGCCACCACCTCGTGATCATATCTTTTTCTTGGATCAGCCTCGAAATCCCCCGAGCCCTCTACACCTTTTCAGTGCAGCTGTCCCAAGACAGACAGACACACACACCCAGGTCTTGCACCCTCCCTCCCTAGCCAGTGGGCAGGCACCTGTGTGGTGCACCAGTCCACCTGCACTCCAGAGGGGTGTTCCTTGTTGCCAGTCATGGCCACCGTTTCCTGGCCACCTGAACTCCCGAGAGGTGCATTCTGCTTCTCTAGCAAAGGGGATCAGCTCTCCCGGGCAACCCGGCAAATGTCTCTGCCTTCTGCTGGGCTGCAGACACCTTCTTCAATGTGTTGTGAGTCCCACTCCTGGGGAGGGGGAGAGACTCCCCTGCCAAGTTCAGCTCCTCCTCAGATACTCTCCTCCTGCCCTGCTGTATCTTAGAGTGCTCCTGATGCTTCGTAGTCGCTCCCCAGTTACAGTGTGTGATTCTTCCTGTTAAACTTTCCTTGTTCAAATCACTGCACAGCTTCCATCTCGTAAGTGGACCCTGTGTACCTTTGGTGCATCTCCATGGCCACTCTAACCCTATATGCCTCTGAAAGAGCCCTGCTCAAAGTTTACCAGGTCTCTCAGCTCTCTGCGGCTGTGAAGAATGAACACGGAAAAAGGTGCAGGTTGCTGGTGTTTTCTGAGCTCTCCCTCTCCTCGGCCTGTTTGCTGTTGGTGCTACCTTGCTCAGCTTTCAACACTGGTCTTACTTGGGAAGATTCTGGGATTAAGGGATAGGGATCTCTCCATGCTTCTCATGTACAAATGGCTCTTTCCTTTCTCTTTCAGAAAACGTACAATGTGGCCACAGGCCTGCTTTTCCAAACTCGTCATGGTTACCATTTCATGAACGGCTTCAAGTCCAGAATGGTGAGTGCCCGTGGCAAGTGAGTATCCAGATGTCACGGAAACACCTCTGTGGAGACTCAATCTTACATTGGTGGTGGGTTCTGACAGCCGCACACTGCTTCCGAAGAACCCTGTAAGTGTCTTCATCTACATCCCGTCTTGTCAATGTATTGTCTGGGCTAGGCAGCTCAGTAGGCCAGTGCACAGGCCTATGAAGCCCTAGGTTCTATGTGCAAAATGTTGCATGGGCTTTGTACCCCAGGGTCTCTGCTGTACACCCACTCCCTCCCCTTTATTTAGCCAATCATATCCAAATGTGGGCTGTAGTCAGAGCTATGCACCCAGTACATCCAATACACTCTGTCCTGCCTGTCATCTGTGTATGAAGACAACACACTGGAATCATTGATTGAACACCTTCCCGCTGAGCACCTACTATGTACTGTTCCAAGTGCTGTGGACATAGGAGTTGACAACACTGCCAAGGTCCCTGTCATCAATGAGCTTACAATCTCATCTCTCAGAGGGATTCATTCCTCTTCTTTTGTTCAGGAGAGTTTCCCTGGACTGTCAACCCATTGGTTCAGAGATTTGTCAGAGCTTGGGCCCCTGATTCCTACCTATCTGATCCTAGCCATGCTCCAGACCACTGTAGCTCACCCACTGCACTGGACTTCTCCTTAGTTGTCAACTCACTGTTTACAGATGTGTCTACAAATGTGAATTGCACTATCAGTCACCCTTGTTAGCACTGGTGTTTTTATATTCGTTCTTTAGATTAGACATGGCCGTGGTAAATGTCACTGTGGTCATGGGAACGAGAACATTCAGCAACATCCACTCGGAGAGAAAGCAAGTGCAGAAGGTCATTATTCACAAATATTACAAACCGCCCCAGCTCGACAGTGACCTCTCTCTGCTTCTACTTGCCACACCAGTGCAATTCAGCAATTTCAAAATGCCTGTCTGCCTGCAGGAGGAGGAGAGGACCTGGGACTGGTGTTGGATGGCACAGTGGGTAACGACCAATGGGTATGGTACGTGCCCTCTTTTCAGAACTCATAGAAAGCCCCAATGTAGGGTACCCTAGGCTAGAGAGCATGATGCTTTGGGTGCGGTAATGCTTGGGTCTGAACTGTGGTTTTAACTCTCTTGAGCTCCTTCACCTTCCTCACCTTCAGTTTTCTCATCTGCAGAATGCCAGGAACACCTCCTCAAAAAGGTATGGGGATTAAATTAAATGAGGTCCCCAGTAAAAGCCTAGGACATAGAAGAATCTCAAAATATGAGAGCGATGATAATTTTTGTGGTGCCAAAAGCATGATAAGCCAGTTTGCATCTTCCCGCCTGTGGCTCTTTCACGATGGCCATCTCCCCATCTATTGGCCACCCCATGTAAAACACCATCCCAAGATAGCTCTGAGCCAGTGATTCTCCAACCAAGCTCCATCCTTTTCCCTGCAAGGCACCAGGCTGCCTGGCCAGGGAAGATCTCTGGGAGGGTGGGAGTGTTGGGGGGAGAAGGCCAAGAGTGCCCCTGGCATTGTGGTCAGTTCCTTCCTACAAGGTGGCATGACCAGATGTGTCTTCTTTTTGGGTTCTCCATTTGGGTTGGTGAAGACACTGGACAACACCAATTCAAAGGTTGGGCTGCTCTGATCCTCTGCATGGGGCAAAGCCTGGCTGTGAAGAGATGGGGGGGCCAGGGAGGACCTTCATTCCAGGCTGGGGCTTTTGTGGGCTGTTTCTGGAGAGAGTGAGCTTCCCACAGGAAGCACATTTAGTGGAGGAACTTCTTGTTGGGGCTGTTGGAGTGGAGACTGAAGTCATCCCAGGCCTCCATGCCCTGTGAATTTGTCATCTGCTGGACGTTGGTGGCCTCCCAGGCTTCCATGCTCATCGCGTGTGGGCTGTTCACTGTTGCCGGCTGATGCAGTGCTCACTCTCACACCAGCTTTCTCCCTTTGTCAGACCAATATGATGACTTAAACATGCACCTGGAAAAGCTGAGAGTGGTGCAGATTAGCCGGAAAGAATGTGCCAAGAGGGTAAACCAGCTGTCCAGGAACATGATTTGTGCTTCGAACGAACCAGGCACCAATGGTATCTTCAAGGTACTCACCCCTGCCCAGCCTCCTCCTCCCTCCAGGTACACCCTCACTTTCTAGGTTCCCAAATGGGGGGGCCCTAGCCTACACCACTAGGACCCTCCCATTTTCCCCTCCCTGTTCCTGCTGGAGGTGCCATTGACTGCAGACTGTTCTTCCTTTCCTCATTCCCAGGGAGACAGTGGGGCACCTCTGGTTTGTGCTATTTATGGAACCCAGAGACTCTTCCAAGTGGGTGTCTTCAGTGGGGGCATAAGATCTGGCTCCAGGGGGAGACCTGGTATGTTTGTGTCTGTGGCTCAATTTATTCCATGAAGCCAGGAGGAGACAGAAAAGGAGGGGAAAGCCTACACCATAATCTCAGGATCCACGAGAAGCCGAGAAGCTCACTGGTGTGTGTTCCTCAGTACCCCTTCTTGCTAGGATTGGGGTCTCAAATGCTGCTGGCCACCATGTTTACCGGTGATAAACCTAACTGCTAAGCTTTGGACCCACGCTTTTTCCTTCTCTTTCTTCTCTCTCCTCTCTTCCTTTCCATTCTCCCACAAGCATCTGTGGAGCATGTGCTGTGGGGTAGCATCTACACCAGCCCCCAGAAGTTAGACATGGACTCACTTCTCCCAAATCTCACAGTCTAATGAAGGAATGTTAAACACAGTGCTAAAAAGAGGCACGAGCAGTGCATGGGGCCTCCCGGAGGAAAACAATAACCTCCAACAAAGAAGGACGGTTTCAGGAAAGCATTGGAAACTCAACCTTGGGAAATGACTTACGTTTCTTGATCTCAGTTTCCTTGTCCATGAAAAAGCAGATTCCATTAGATGAACTGTAAGGTCTTTCATCACACCAACATTCTGTGACGCTTAATAACTTATTTCTGTCATGGAAGGCAATATTACCTCATCATCATTGCCCCACTCTAATTCCGTCAGTTCAGTGCATGATACGGACGCACACACAGGGAACCCCCATCTGAGGTGCAAATTCTTTCATCTCCTGGGCCATCCATGAAAGAAAGTCTCCGGTAGAGTTAGGATCAGGGGTCTTTTGTCCAGTTTGAACTTGAACATGGGGAGATTATGGCTTGCTACTTATAGACCACACCATCCTTTCTCTATCCTTAATTATTCAAATAAAAAGTATAATGAGGTGGATTGGAGGAAGTGGCAACATCTGCCCTCTCCACATATGTGGGTCACTGAGTGAGGCCCACTGCCAGTCGCCAAAGTCATCATCCAGCCAGTGAGAAAGGATAAAAATTCCAGATGAGAAAGCAGCACATCTTTTCACTGAGTGGAAACAAAATAGCTTGTGTGGCCAGACTGAAATATAAGTGATAAGAATTTGTTTTTAGAAAACTAAGAGACCATGTTTATTTAAAGATTGGTGCCATGAAGGACAGTCAGGGACTGGTGGTAGTTTTCTGGGAGGTCCTTTCTTGGTTATGTCTACCTGGCATAGCTACAAAGGAGACAATCATATGTGGCCCCATAAAAAAGAAAGACATTCAGCTGCTCATTCATTCATTCAGACACTTTGTGAAACAGGCACTGGAAAGATACAGGAATGTAGATGGTATGGGTGGTTCATGACATCTAATGTATATGTCACAGCCAAATTTGTGCCTCTTCTCATAGGGTCCCCTCGCAATTAGTAATTAGTTTCATTATATAAATGCAGTTGTCCCTTGGTATCTGTGGGAAATTGGTTCCAGGACCCTTCTTGGATACGAAAATCCATGGATGCTCAAGTTCCTCATATAAAACAGTATTTGTATATAC
Source organism: Homo sapiens (assembly GCF_000001405.40). Lineage (NCBI taxonomy): Eukaryota > Metazoa > Chordata > Mammalia > Primates > Hominidae > Homo > Homo sapiens. The sequence continues at coordinate 2,852,178 of NW_018654717.1, forward strand.
CCTATGCAATCCTTCCATATACTTTAAATCTTCTCTAGATTACTTATAGTGCCTAATACAATGTCAATGCTATGTAAACAGTTGTTACACTGTATTGTTCAAGGATAATAATTTTTAAAAAGTTCGTGCATATTCAGTACAGATACAGCCATCCATATTTTTTCCAAATATTTTCTATCTGAGGTTGGTTGAATCCACAGATGCAGAAACCATGGATATGGAGGGCCAACTGAACTTGTATACATACATGTATACATATACTTATGTATGTATATGCGTCTGTATACTTACCTATGTATGTATGCACGTGTCTGTATACATACATAATTTTATATATACGTAAGTATATAAAAATATATATTGTTTTATTTCTAAATACATATCATTTATTTATGGATAGTTTCCTTTCATTACATATATGTCAAGAGACAGGGATTTATTTCAAACAACTGGCCCATGTGATTGTGGGGGCTAGCAAGTCTAAATCTGTGGGGAAGGCAGGTAAACTGGAGACCCAAGGAAGAGGTGATGGTGCAGTATCAAGTCCGAAGGCCATCTAGGGGAAAAATTTCTTCTTTGGGGGACTTAAATCCTTTCTCCTAAGACCTTCATCTGATTGGATGAGGCCAACTCACAAATGGAGGGCACTCTGCTTTCCTCAAGGTCTACTGATTCAAATGTTAATCACGTCTAAAAATAGCCTTCAGAGCAACATCTACACTGCTGCTCAAACAAACAACTGGGCACCAGAGCATGGCCAAGTTGGACACATTAAATTAACCATCAACAGTGTCATAGTCCCATCTCTTGGACTACTGGGAACAACATGAAATACAGGACTTCCCTCTTTGAAGTTTAACGGCTTACCAACCAAAAAAAGTCCAGAACCACATGGATTCACAGCTGAATTCTACCAGAGGTACAAGGAGGAGCTGGTACCATTCCTTCTGAAACTATTCCAATCAATAGAAAAAGAGGGAATCCTCCCTAACTCATTTTATGAGGCCAGCATTATCCTGATACCAAAGCCTGGCAGACACACAACAAAAAAAGATAATTTTAGACCAATATCCTTGATGAACATTGATGCAAAAATCCTCAATAAAATAATGGCAAACCAAATCCAGCAACACATCAAAAAGCTTATCCACCATGATCAGGTGGGCTTCATCCCTGGGATGCAAGGCTGGTTTAACATATGCAAATCAATAAACAATCCAGCATATAAACCGAACCAAAGACAAAAACCACATGATTATCTCAGTAGATGCAGAAAAGGCCTTTGACAAAATTCAACAACCCTTCATGCTACAAACTCTCAATAAATTAGGTATTGATGGGACGTATCTCAAAATAATAAGAGCTACCTGTGACAAACCCACAGGCAATATCATACTGAATGGGCAAAAACTGGAAGCATTCCCTTTGAAAACTGGCACAAGACAGGGATGCCGTCTCTCACCACTCCTATTCAACATAGTGTTGGAAGTTCTGGCCGGGGTAATCAGGCAAGGCAATCGGGGCAATCAGGAAGGAAATAAAGGGTATTCAATTAGGAAAAGAGGAAGTCAAATTGTCCCTGTTTGCAGATGACATGATTGTATATCTAGAAAACCCCATTGTCTCAGCCCAAAATCTCCTTAAGCTGATTAGCAACTCAGCAAAGTCTCAGGATACAAAATCAATGTACAAAAATCACAAGCATTCTTATACACCAATAACAGACAAACAGAGAGCCAAATCATGAGTGAACTCCCATTCACAATTGCTTCAAAGAGAATAAAATACTTTTAGGAATCCAACTTACAAGGGATGTGAAGGACCTCTTCAAGGAGAACTACAAACCACTGCTTAATGAAATAAGAGAGGATACAAACAAATGGAAGAACATTCCATGCTCATGGGAAGGAAGAATCAATATCATGAAAGTGTCCATACTGCCCAAGGTAATTTATAGATTCAATGCCATCCCCATCAAGCTACCAATGACTTTCTTCACAGAATTGGAAAAAACTACTTTAAAGTTCATATGGAACCAAAAAAGAGCCTGCATCGCCAAGTCAATCGTAAGCCAAAAGAACAAAACCGGAGGCATCACGCTACCTGACTTCAAACTATACTACAAGGCTACAGTCACCAAAACAGCATTGTACTGGTACCAAAACAGAGATATAGATCAATGGAACAGAACAGAGCCCTCAGAAATAATGCCGCTTATCTACAACCATCTGATCTTTGACAAACCTGATAAAAACAAGCAATGGGGAAAGGATTCCCTATTTAATAAATGGTGCTGGGAAAACTGGCTAGCCATATGTAGAAAGCAGAAACTGGATCCCTTCCTTACACCTTATACAAAAATTCATTCAAGATGGATAAACCATAAAAACCCTAGAAGAAAACCTAGGCAATACCATTCAGGACATAGGCATGGGCAAGGACTTCATGTCTAAAACACCAAAAGCAATGGCAACAAAAGCCAAAATTGACAAATGGGATCCGAGTAAACTAAAGAGCTTCTGCACAGCAACACAAACTACCATCAGAGTGAACAGGCAACCTACAGAATGGGAGAAAATTTTTGCAGCCTACTCATCTGACAAAGGGCTAATATCCAGAATCTATAATGAACTCAGACAAATTTACAATAAAAAATCAAACAACCCATCAAAAAGTGGGTGAAGGATATGAACAGTCCCTTCTCAAAAGAAGACATTTATGGAGCCAAAAGACACATGAAAAAATGCTCATCATCACTGGCCATCAGAGAAATGCAAATCAAAACCACAATGAGATACCATCTCACACCAGTTAGAATGCCGATCATTAAAAAGTCAGGCAACAACAGGTGTTGGAGAGGATGTGGAGAAACAGGAACACTTTTACACTCTTGGTGGGACTGTAAACTAGTTCAACCATTGTGGAAGTCAGTGTGGCGATTCCTCAGGGATCTAGAACTAGAAATACCATTTGACCCAGCCATCCCTTTACTGGGTATATACCCAAAGGACTATAAATCATGCTGCTATAAAGACACATGCACACGTATGTTTATTGCGGCACTATTCACAATAGCAAAGTCTTGGAACCAACCTAAATGTCCAACAATGATAGACTGGATTAAGAAAATGTGGCACATATACGCCATGGAATACTATGCAGCCATAAAAAATGATGAGTTCATGTCCTTTGTAGGCACATGGATGAAACTGGAAACCATCATTCTCAGCAAACTGTCACCAGGACAAAAAACCAAACACCACATGTTCTCACTCATAGGTGGGAATTGAACAATGAGAACACATGGACACAGGAAGGGGAACATCACACACTGGGGACTGTTGTGGGGTAGGGGGAGAGGGGAGGGATACCATTAGGAGATATACCTAATGCTAAATGACGAGTTAATGGGTGCAGCACACCAACATGGCACATGTATACATATGTAACCTGAACATTGTGCACATGTACCCTAAAACTTGAAGTACAATAATAATAAAATTAAAAAAAAGAAAATGTGGTACATATACACCATGGAATACGATGCAGCCATAAAAAATGATGAGTTCATGTCCTTTGTAGGGACATGGATGAAGCTGGACACCATCACTCTCAGCAAACTATTGCAAGGACAAAAAACCAAACACCACTTGTTCTCACTCATAGGTGGGAATTGAGCAATGAGATCACATGGACACAGGAAGGGGAACATCACACACTGGGGCCTGTTGTGGGGTGGGGGGAGGGGGGAGGGATAGCATTAGGAGATAAACCTAATGTTAAATGAAGAGTTAATGGGTGCAGCACACCAACATGGCACATGTATACATATGTAACAAACCTGCACATGTACCCTGAAACTTTAGATGGCAAAAGAAAGTGACTTCCCCTATGCCACTAAAACGCCACTCTTCTTGATGCCCTTCAGTTCACAGAAGAAGACACTTGGTTCTTTTCTCTCATGACCCTGAGATAGGGTTCCCTGTTTAAGTCCAAATCACAAAGGTTAACTTTTTTTTGTTTTTTTTTTTATCTCTACATTTAAAAAAATGAATAGGCTTTTGACAGTTACAGGTTTATAAAAAAACTGAGCATAAAGTATTATACAATGGATTCCCATATGCCCCACCTCCTCCCAATTTCTATTTTAATATCTTGCATTAGTGTGGCACATTACAATTAATAAGCCAATAGTGATGCATTATGATTAACTAGAATCTAGAGTTTATGTTAGGATTCACTGTTTGCATTGCACATGCTATGGGTTTTCATGGGTGTATGATGACATGTGGCCACCATTGTAGTAATCACACAGAGTGGCTTCCCTGCCTAAAAATCCTCAGTGCTTCACTTGTTCATCTATACCCTGGCAACCACTGATATTTTTACAGTCTCCCACAGATTTCCACGAATTAAGTTTGGCCAAACGTGAGTACAAAACATACAACTGCTAAATTCATAAACGGAAAACAAACCATCATGAAAAAGAGCAGGAAAGAAGATTACACACCCAGAGTTCAGACATTTAAATTATTAGATAGTAAATATAAATAATTATGTATAAAATATTCTTTAAAAGGAAGAAACTTAAAATGAGACTGAAAACAAAATACCATCAAAAAATGGCCAGGCAGAATTGAAAAAGAATCCAGTGAAATTTATGGAAATAAAAATAGTAAACCAGGAGATGGATCTGAATATTGCTCAGGATGCTAAAAAGCAGTATGGGAAAACATGAGAGAGAAGTTACGAAACAAGGCAGATGGAGTTAAAAGGACTAACATATGACTACTGAAGTTTCAGAAGAAAAGAATAGAAATAATGGAGAAAAGGAAACATTCATTCAATGAGTCCATGACCAAGAATGTTCCATAATTAATGAAAGACATTGATCTTCCAATTCTGGAAGCACAATAGAGTCCAAGCAGAATTTATATATCTCTAAACATATTTTAGTGAAATGGCAAAACAATAAAGGCAGAGAAGATCTCAAAATTAGCATATGCGAGGAAAAAATGGATTACTTACAGCGGAGTATGAAATCAACAGACTTCTCAACGGCAGCAAGGGAAGCTAAAAGATGTTGGAATAATATCACCAATGTGCTGAGAAAAAATAACTGCCATATTTAAATTGTTGACACTAAAAACTATCATTCATGTAAAACAGATTTTAAAAACTGGTTTTCCACTAAAAAATTTTAATACAGACGTGCCGGAGAATGCCATTTTGGTCAATGACGAACTACATATATGATGGTGGTCAGAGCAACACACTACGCCATGTGGTCTAGGTGTGTAGTAGGCTATGCCATCTAGATTTGCATACATTGATGTGTGCCTAGCAATGAAATTGCCCAATGATACATTTCTCAGAATGTATCCTGACATGACTGTATTTTAAAACAGTTGAAATTTTACAATTTTGAAGGTGGCATATACAGGAATATTCGTAGCACCATAGTTTATAATAACAAAAAATTAGAAACACATAATTGCTAAATTCATAAATGGAAAACAAACCAATCTAAATGCTCATTATCAGAGACCTGAATAAATTTTGGTATAGTCAAACGACAGAATAATCATCAGGGATCATTACATACATCAGCTGGAGTTAAACAGATCAACATAGCTGAATCTCACAATGCAGTGCAAAGGCAAGTTACAGAAAAATGTATTCAGTGTGATATTTCTATAAATTTTAAAAACGTGTAAGGATATATTCAGATGTAGAAAAATTAAGCAACCGCAAAGGGAAAAGAAACGTAAAGTTCAGGGTATTCGTTATGGCTGGAAGAAATGGAGAGATCCTCAGAGGGCTTCAACTATGTAGTGTTTTATTTTATGGTATTGTTGTTTTGTATAAATACAACAATATTTTGTATAGTTAATATTTTACTGTAATTTTAGAAAGAAATGGAAAGGAGTGAAACAGACGGAGAAAATTTGAAGTATTTATAAGCTCTTCTCATTTTGCAAAACAAAATGCGTATTTAATGGCAAAATTAGTACTTGCGCGAGACAGCTGAAAGGGGAACAAGGGTGAAAGAATAGAGCAGCTCCAGGTTAGTAAACAGAAAGCCTTATCTTAGAGCAGGCTTGGTTGCAGGGCTGCTCCTCCAGCTTGCCAGGGATTGTAGGAGGTCACGTCACTGTGGCTGCGACCTAAGGCCAGGAGGCTGGTGCACCAGCCAGTGGTTGGGAGGTAGTGGGAAACATGGCTATCCTGTCTCCCCCAGGCTGTCTCACAGCCTGTAGCTGATGACCGTGAGGAAATATCACACTGAAGAGGTAGGTCACTGTAAACATCCAATCCAACTCTACCAGAGCTCAGCTTTAGCTGGCGCTGCTGCTGCCTGCATTGTACACTGCAGATATTAGTAAGTGCATCTCATTGGACCCCAAATCACATCCAGAATACTAGAGTGAGGCAGCTGCAACATGACACAGAAAAATGGAATTAGGATTTAGGGGAATTGGATTTCAGTGCCTATTGAGACACGATCTAGGAAGCCTACCACTTTGGCTGCTCACTGTATGCATACAACCTTATTAAAATTTCTAGAAAACAAGAATAGTAACAGCATGCTCCTAACACAATGTGACTATTCTCTATGCAAACAGAACACTCTGTTCCTCTCTGAAAAGTCTCATAAAATCATCATATCCATCTTTGAGTGAGATTGTTTAATCACAATCTCAGCTTCACATCCCCGTCAGTTTGGGTCCTCCAAGAGCCGATGCCAAGACTGACTTATACATGAAAGAGATTTATTGGTGGAAATGCCTGGCAAGGATAAAGGATCTTGGGAACAGGAGGAGGCAGAGCATCTTCAGACCCCATTGCAAGTCTGAGTAAGTCTGGACCAGGTTGATGAGAATTCCTGAGCAAAGGGTGCCAGGTTGAGCAGTAATGGTTCAAGAAAAGTTGAACCCTGCCACTCTCAGCCATTGGCTGGGTATACTCCGTAGAAATGCAGTGTTAGTGTGACAGCTATGATGGATCTGGAGGAGCAGTAGCTGAAGGCCGTCATCAACTATGCTTCCCACAGCAGGTTCTTTTGAAGTAGATCTGGGTGGTACACCTCCATGGCCACCACAATCTTATATCCTAAAGATCAGTAATAAATGTAACCAATGTGAACACTTGGGGAAAAGAAGGAAAAAACAGAAATTGGTATATACAAATACATAAAACATCATGAAAATCCAGGCCGCTGCAATTGTTCTCAAGTCTGCAACTGATCCTGAGGCCACAGTTGGCCTTCTTCCAATTTGAACCTCAGCTGATCGTTGTTCTTTATTTGTTGGGGTGACCATTCATTTCTGAGCGCTTGATGGTTTTTCCTGTATGGCGTTGCTATAGTTTTCCACTGATTTCTCCCTTTGGACAATGAAATAGAAAGAGCATCTTCAAAGGATGTAATGGATTTCAGACATATTCCTCCTTGTCCCCATGTGTGGAGCAAATCTCTGTTCTTTGATATTAGGGGTCAGTCTTCTCAGCCAGGACACTAACCTTCCCCTTTGCCTATTGGCTTAGTGGTGTAATGAACTCCAAATGTCCAGGTGGCAGTCTCAACTCTCCATGCAATAAACCATCGTATTCCCTGGTAGAGACATTCTTCCCTTGGGAACTAAGGTCTCTAAACTTCCAGAGCTCAAAGTTGCAGTGGTAAGAAGCAGAACTTTATTGGGTGTGGATCACTACGTGCAATAGTAAATGAAGCCAGTCCCACTCTTATCCCTTGGTTCCCAAACCCAAGTATTCTGGCCATACAAGAATCAGCTCCTATTGAATGTGCTTCATAATAGACACAGTACTTTGTAAAAGAGCACTCCATCCTCACATGTCATGAGATCTCAACAGGCTCAGTTGCATAACCTTCATTGGGCCATTCCACTGTTCTATCAATCAGGCATGCTGCTTCTGGCTGGTAGGACCTATGGGAAGATCCGTGAATCCCATGGGCACCGAGTGCATTGCTTCAGGTCTGTTGCATTTTAATCTGTCGCGTTTTAATCAGTTTGTAAGAAGTAATGCCAAATGCAAAACCATTGTGATGAATAATCAGGCATTTGGGGAAGTTTTGTGTGATGAGGCAGCAAAGGCCTTGTGGGCCTCGGAGACACATCCATAGACAGAATAAATAAATATCTACTACTGTGATGGAAAATTGCTGACTACTCCATGAGGGAATGGGTCAACTGTGATCAGTTTTCCACCAGATGGGTATGTGCTACATCACCCCCAGCCTACAGACGATGGCCACAGCAGGGCCTTCCAAGGATGCTGGTGCTCTCCTTGGAAATGTATTTTTCGATGCCTGATATAACAAAGCATCCTCAGGAATCTCATAAACTAGAGTTAGAGGATGGGGGAGCAGGTCACAATAAATCCATTCTGGCATTCTTATCTAAGACTTTGGATTCCTTCTTTTATATTCTGGAAAGCAATTCTGTTTAACGGAGGCCATTTTTTTGGTCCAAGGTTTTAGTTCTTCAACCAAATAGAGCCACTTCCAGCTGCTCTAGGTAAACCACTGAATTCAAAGTTTCTCTTAAGTGCACCTAGACTGATAAATTTGGCCCAGTCAAATCAAATTCTAAGTCCCTTAGAATCCATTCTTGGACATAATCATCAGATTTCTACAAATATATGTTAGAAGAATGTTGCAGTTATTTTAATGTTTTCTATCTTCTCCTGGGTCAGATTTGAACTGATTTCTATGAATTCTACTGGGATGACTGTAATGACTGCTGTGAGAGGTGATGGGGGGTAGTGGGCTATGGGAGAATCAGCATTCCCTGGGTAAGTATTTTCTTCAGGTGAGTCTTTACAAAGTCTTCAAGCAAGAAGGGACTAGGTTCCCAGAAAGGAAAGGAAGGGAAACTCAGTGGACTTTAAGGTTGTGAAGTACGTTGATTCATCTTAACATACCCAAGTTTCTCAGTGCAATACTCCTGGTCGCAGTCCTTCCCCATTAATCACCTTTCATGGAAGCACCTAAAGAGGCTGTGAATTCAAGTTAGGTTGTAATTCTGCCAACTTGTAGGAACAACCCTGGGTTCAATTTCTGCTACGATAAGAGATTCTTTCAGGGGCAGTTGTAGAAGCTTCTTTGATGCTTCTCCAATGCTTTTGAATTATGCCTCTGAGTTGAAATTTTAAAGCCCTGAGATTGTTGGGGTATTTTGTGCTGTATTTTTTCTGTAAATTTTCCATTGCATTCAGTAACTTTAACCCTTGTACTTATCTCTTCCACCAGAGTATTCTATCAAAAAGGTGCTTGGTGTCTTTTAACAGGCAATTGATTCCATGAATGACAGGCCATAACTTAAGACATTGCATGTCATGGACTACCAGAAACCCATTTTCCACTAGCCAGGAGGTCATTATTGGCTTCAAGCTAATCCAAGCCTAACAACACATCTTAGACTTCCCTCCATCTTTGCAGCTGTATTTCCTGGAACCACTCTCAGTACCAAATACTGTATCAGTCAGGATTCTTTCAGGAAAATAGAAAACAATCATGTATCTCAAACAGAAAGGTATTTAATACCTGAAAATGGGTACTTCTAGAACCATCAAAAATGCTTGAGTGTCAAGGTCAGGAAAAACGGTTGCTTCTTTACAAGAGCTCAGTGAACTACAGGAATCATTGGAACCCCCTGCAAATGATATAATTATCTTCAGTATCAGGATGATTTGCAGAAGACCCAAAGTTAATGGCAAAACCTCATGACTGCCATCTGCTGAAATCTGCATGCCTGCACACAGCTGCCATGGGAAAATGATTGCTCCCTTTCCTCTGCCTCCTAAAACTTGGCTGAGAATCTAAATTGGAAGCCTGCTGGGATCCTGAGAAACACAGCTCTTAGGCTTTCAGCCTCTACAATACCTGAGAGATTTAGAAAGGCAGCGATGGTGCTAAAAATCAGTATATAATATCTGGCATATTGACCTGCTAAATGTGGAAAACAAGAAGAGTAATTCCCTCATGTGGTTGCTATGAGGATTAAGCAAGATAACACTTGCAAATCCTGGGCATAGTATAGTGTACATGATAAGGCTTAATAATGGGTAGTGTGGTGTCTTTATCAGCCCTAAAATCAGAATAGCTCACAGCTGTCAACTCTGTCCTCTGTGAGAATGTGCTAGATGATGCTAAGCCATTATTTTCCATTTGTCTCCCATTTCCCCAATACAGATCCATGTGCTGTACTTCCCTGGGTCCTGGGAGGCTGGCTCCTAGGGACTGAGTTACCTGGGATCCTAAACGCCACTTAGCTTGACCTCAGCAAGTACCAACAGAAAGTACCAGGGCAGGAAGGGAGAGGGTTGGGGTATTTCTTCCCTGTCACTTTCCTATGTGGGCCACTGTTCTGCCGCTGGCTGGGTCCCTTCTATACTCAGTCCCCACAGGGTAGTCCCTCCTTCACGCTTGCGGTCCTCACTGGATTCCAATGACAGTAGCTTGCCCTACGGCTTACTGCTACTGTTCAACTCTGGACACCTTGTTCTCCTTCGCTGAATCCCTTTACAACGCCCACAACTTTCAGTGCCTTCATTAAAATGCCTTCATTTGCACTTTCAGAGTAGAATCCTGTTTCCTTCTGAAGCCCTTCCTAATTGATATACTTAGGGCCATCTTCCTTAACACCCCAGACCTGCTGGTTTCGGAGCCATCGACCTCCTCATTTCCACCGCAGAGGGCTGGAGGAGATTCAGAAAATCAGGGCAGGGCCCAGGAGAAGGTGAGGAGTGATGGCGAGTGGAGAAGTGGAGTGATGCTGAACTCTAAGTCGGCATTGCGTACCCCTCTTGGCTGGCATGGGGATTTCACCTCCAGGAGGCCGGTGGACTGTGGCACACAGACAATGCCCTCCTGGACACAAGTCTGGGGCCCCCACCTGGCACCTCTGTCCAAAGTGGAATCACTACATCTGGAGTTGCAGCTCTGTTGCACTGCCTGCAAAGATCCAGCTGTCCCCGTACAGGGAAGAATTAGGGCACAGCTGAAACCCAAAAGGGCTGAAATCCACGGGGAGCAATGTCTATTTCTTAGTCTGTCTCCTGCTCCAAATAGCTCCCCTCTCCTCCCGCAGCTTGTGTTGACGAGTGGCTTTCCCTGGCACCAGATGCCACCAGAACGTAAACTAGGACGCAGAGGGTGGTGATGAGCCACAGGCCCTCAGGCCATCTCCTTTCCTGCCCTGACTCCCCAGGCTCCCTTGCCTGGAGTTCAGAGCACAGACCCTGAGTGACCCCCTGCTCGCCAGGACGTCCCAGCAGGGCCCCTGCTTCCTAGAGCCACAGCAAATTAGGGGGACCCTCTGTTCAGCCTGGGAGGGGGCCGGGGTCACATTTGTGAACTGGTGGGCAGAGGGAGTAGTGCTGGGTGCAGCTGCAGACCTCCCTCCTATCCCTGCCCCATCCCTGCCCCATCCCTACCCTGTCCGCCCCTTTCATTCCCTCCCACTGCGGCCCTTATGAGGCCTCTCAGGGAAGCCCATTCTCCCCCGGGACCTTCAGGGAGCCAGGCTTACCTGTTCTTTCCCCTGCGAGAGCTTTCAGGTCAGTCTCAAACAGGTCTTTCTCTCCCTGCACAGGTTCTTTCAGAGCATGGCTTCAGCCTGGTTACTTCTGACACCAGCCAGGAGGAACAGACTTCTTCCCCATACAGCAGGTACCACCAGAAGTACCTGAGCAAGATCACCCTCAGCTCCTGCAGCCTCAGGGCACCGGAGTGTCCTGTCCACGGGGCATTTGTTACGGACAAAGATTTGTGTGGCCTTTCACTTTGCACGCTGAAGCTTAACCCTGGCTGCAACGGGACGGGGGGCCACCAAGGAAGTCATTAAGGTTAACTAAGGTATAGGGTGGTGCCCTGGTTGACAGGATGGTGGCCTTATGAGGACACTTACAAGATGGACGCCCACTTGTCCCCCGACCCCTCTGGCACAGGAACTGAGGAAGAGTCACAAGAGGACACAGCAGATGTTGGTCACCTGCAGGCTAGGAAGAAAGCCCTCCCCAGGAACCTGGGTCTTGGGGACTTCCAGCCTCCACTGTGGGAAAGAAATGCGTGTTGATCAGTCCACCCAGTCTATGGTGTTTTGTAACGGTGGCCAGAGCAGACAAAGACAGTATGAAAACATAACTTCTCCCCACACGCTGAAGTTATAACAGCAATGCTTTCAACAAATTGGGCAACGCTTTTGTGGTTCCCACTGGGCGAGTGTTGAAGCTTACAAAACACAAAGGCATTTTTGAACGTCTGGTCTTTGAGGTATAATTTCTATTCAGCAAATTCACCACTTCAGGATGGATGGTTCTGTGAATTCTGATGAATGTAAATGGCTGTGACCAGACATAGAACTTTGGCCGAATGTGGTGCCTCATGCCTGTAATCCCAGCACTTTGGGAGGCTGAGGTGGGCGGATCACCTGAGGTCAGGAGTTCAAGACCAGCCTGACCAACATGGTGAAAACCCGTCTCTACTAAAAATACAAAAATTAGCTGGGCGGGGAGGCATGTGCCTGTAATCTCAGTTATTCAAGAGGCTGAGGCTGGAGAATTGCTTGAACCTGGGAGGTGCAGGTTGCAGTGAGCTGAGATCACACCATTGCTCTCCAGCCTGGACGACAAGAGTGAAACTCTGTTTCACAAAAAGAAAAGAAAAAGACAAGACATACAACATTTTCATCACCCCAAAACATTCCCCTGTGCTTCTTAGTAATCCATCCTCTTCCTGGAACCCCAAACCTGGGCAACAACTCATGCGTTCTCTGTGCTTGGAGTTTTGCCTTTCCCAGAATGCCATGGAATCATACGGTGTGCAGCGGCTCGTGTCTGGCTTCTCCAGCTCGGCGCGATGCTCCTGAGATCCGAGTTGTTGTGCGTGTCAGTCGGCTGCTCCTCTTCGCTGCTGTGTAGCACCGCTGTTGTGTGAATGCACCGCAGTTTGTTCATCGCTTCCTCTGACGATGGACATTTAGGTTGTTACCAGTTTTTAGCAATTAAAAAGAAAGCCACCATAAACACTGGGTACTGGTTTTCACGTGGACGTATGTTTCTGTGCAGTCCTGTTTTGATTAAAATGTGAACTCGTCTACTGCCGTGGTAGGCAATTTTTGGATGACTTGGGGCCTAAATGAAGAGAATGCAGGCGCTTGCTGTGTTCTCCCTTTCTGTAGTCTGGGACTGCCATGGAAGTCGTGTGGTTTCTTTGGGCAGGATGGTGGGTAATGCGGGAATTCTTTTATCTATGCCCTGTTCCATCTCATATGCATGTCCCCTCCAGTGCCCAAAAGTTTGCAAACACTTAGAGCAGCGATCAGATGTTTTGCTCTACTGACCCCAAATAAATACATGCTGTTTGCAAAGAACAGAGGCAAGGAGGCTTTCTCTCCCATTTCACGACCCCGCTTGGCAGAGAAAAGAAAAGCATTAGGTTGCTGAATTCTAATGCTTTGCTTACAGCTATGAGAAGTACAGTAAATGCTGGTTCTGACAAAACTCCACGTCCAATAAAATGAATGAACTGCCTAATGTTTTATCTGTCTTCCAGTTATTCTGATGGGATAGTTCCAAGAGGTTCTAAGATAAATTTTAAAGCCTCAAAACAGCTGGGGAAAGAAAGTCCCATAGTCATTTTTCCTAAAATAGAATATGGATAGAATTTTGGAAAATGTTTGCAAACTTCCCTTATGTATGGAATTTTGGAAAACGTTCACAACCAGAGCTCCTTGCCATTAATTAGTAATACTAGCCATTCTTCATACACCTGTCACATCCATGGTGATTTCTTATCAGAACGATTCACTGGCCGCATAGGAGGGAACACAGTTTATTCCAACTGGAGCTTTATTCAGTAAACTGATCCCCCCCATCTACCACTCAACCTGGTACATTATTCCAACTTGATAGCTTAACTTGAACCATGCAAATTTGTCAATGTTCTCCTATTTTTGAACCACCAAAACAACAATTCTGACTTAACTCAGAAGTTCCCGCAGTTCCCGTACACCTCTGTACCTTTGCACATATTTTTTGCCCAGATAGAATGCGGCTTGAGTTTCAGAGTTGCTGTAACAAAGTTCCACAAACTGTGTGGCTTAGAACAACAGAAATATTGTCAGGAGCTCTGGAGGCCAGAAATCCAAAATCCCAATGTTAGGAGGACCGGGCTCCCTCTGAAAGTGCTAGGAAGGATCTGTTCCACTTCTCCCTCCTGGCTTCTGGTACATTCTTGGCTTGTGGCAGCACAACTCCAGTCTTCACATGGGGCTCTCCCTGTGTGGGTGAGTGTGTCCAAATGGCCCCTTTCTATAAGATCACTAGTCATATTGGATTGGGGGCCTGTCCTACTCTAGCATGGCCTCCTCTTCATCAATTACATCTGCAAGCACCCACTTCCAAATAAAGTCACATCCTGAGGTCTGGGGGTTAGAACATCAACACAGGAATTTGGGGGACCATCACTTAAACCGTAACAAATGCATTCCTTCCCTCCCTCTAGGGCTTTCGCTTTGGGAATTGGCTTAGCCCAGACAATCCTTACTTCCTCTAGACAATTTTCCCCCTCGCCTCTTCTCCCACCCACCACACACCCGTGCCCCTCCCCTGGCTGCCAGTGATACTCTTACCCCATTGTATTAAGGTAGTCTCTCTGCCAATGTGTCTCTCCAGATGATTATGACCTTCAAAGAGACAGAGAACATCTATTGTTCATCTTTGCATTGTCCTCCAAGCCCAGCAAGTAGAAAATGCTCCAAAGAGCTCTGGATGACCTCATGAACAAAGAAATGAAAGAATGGCACCACCAAAAGCCACCCTGCAGCTGATCCAGGCATGGATCTGTACTTTGGACGTGTCTTGTTCATAGAAACTGCTGGCCAAAGTGCCTTCCTTTGCAGGAAGACATTAGTAGAGATGAAATGGGAGAATTAGAATCGTGGGCTTGGTATTTGCCATGGCCTGTGCTTGGATACACGGATTAGCTCATTACTCCTCTCAACCACATAGTGCTGTGCTATCATCATCCACATTTTACAGGGGAGTCATCAGAGGCACAAAGCTAAGGGACTCTGCTAAGTTCCCACAGCCAGTGCCCTGTCTGCTGTTTCACTTGAGCGGTTTGGAACAGCAGCCTGAGTCCTTCTCATTCCCCAAGGCTATTTCTAGAGTGCGCTTCCAGCTATTTTGTCCTGACAGGTTCAGGAAGCTGAAACGCTGCCTCTTATAGGAGCACAGCTGGCTGGGGAGTCCTCCCACTCCGAGCCTCTCGCCCCCAGCTCCATCCTGACCTCCGCACCCCACAGGGTTCAGGGTGACCCCGGCTTTGTCTGGACTGTGGCAGCGCCACCCATTCCCTATTGTGACCCAGGCAGTCAGGCTGGGCTGTGAGCTAGCGGGCGTGGAGAGTGAAGCCCCGCCTGGCCCCCCTTCCACACTGGAAGCCTCTCTGTGGCTGATGGGAGGACCAGGGCTGATGAAAGGATGGAGCCATGAAGGGCAGCCCTCCTGCTGCGGGTCGCCCTGCTGCTGCCCTGGGCCTGCAGCTCCTGGCACGTGGGTCTCTGGGACTCCTTGTGGATGTGCCTCTCCAGGGCCCTCCATCCTCGGTGGGCAGGAGACTCCCCTAGGGAGCTTGCTCTCAAGGTCAGTTCCCAGGCTTGCTGACTCAGTAGTCACGGGGTGGGATCCACAGGGCAGCACCTACCAGGTCTAACGCAAAACCATGACATCATGCAGCTAGAGCAAGGGCGGCGCATTAACATCTACTATGGATCCATCTTCTGGAGCCTGAGAATTTCTGTAGCCTTGTTCCATGTCCATGGTCAATGACTATCAAACCTCTGCCACAGGCTGGGAGCTGTTTTATTTATTTATTATTTATTTTTTATTTTTTTTGAGACGGAGTCTTGCTCTGTTGACCAGGCTGGAGTGCAGATCTCGGCTCATTGCAACCTCCGCCTCCCAGGTTCAAGTGATCCTCCTGCCTCAGTCCCCCTAGTATCTGGGATTACAGGCACACGCCACCATGCCTGGCTAAATTTTTTTTATTTTTATTTTTAGTACAGACAGGGTTTCACCATGTTGGCCAGGCTGGTCTTGAACTCTTGACCTCAGCTGATCCACCCACGTCGGCCTCCCAAAGTGCGGAGATTACAGGTGTGAGCCACCACGCCTGGCCTGGGAGCTGTTTTAAAAGCTTTTAAGCTTTTTAAGCTTAACATGGCTTTTATCATGCTTGAAGTTAACGCACGTTCTATTTTTACAGTAAATTCATGGCCATCGGACGATATTAATTAGACATACACGGCATCAGGACCTTCACAGCCACCACAGGTTTTCCCCTCTCCATCCATTATGTTCTTAGGAAATTCTACTTGCTTCCCCCAAACTTTAGTAGTTTCCCATCAGCCCCACAACCACTGCAGCCTGACAACCACTGCAGCCAGGCGTACCACCACAGCCCCTATTCCAGGGCCGCCCCCACACCCCCAGCTGTCGGCCCCGATGGGTTCTGGGGCAGTCGGAGGAATTACTTCTGCTGGGTCACTGGATTAGGGTCTATTTCAATCCACTATGACCTCATCTTAATTTAACTAATTATATCTGTAAAGGATCTATTTCCAAATGAGGTCACATTCTGAGGTTCTGGGTCGACATGAATTTTGGGACGATACTATTCAACCCAGTGCAGATCGTCTGTAAGATCTTAAAAGAACAGGTCCTCTGTAACAAAAGGGAGGCAATGAGGGGCAGTGGTTAGGGGTGCAGGCTCTGAAGTCAGATGACCCAGTCTCCCTCCTGGCTCCCCTACTTGAACTGCCTGTGTGACCTCGGCAAGAGGTATCCCCCGTGCCTGTGCCTTTTCCGATGTCCTCATGTGTAACATGGGAATAGTAAGAGTTCCTACCTTTTTGGGCTGTTGCGAGAATTCAGTGAGGTAATGCACATGAAGCACTGAGCTAACAGGTAATAGGAGATGCTGTATAGACTGTTGTCTTCATCACTCTCTTTCACTCCCGTCCAGTTCTCAATAGCATACACACGGCTGCCACAAATACACAGAAGTTTTGGGAATTAGCTCTGTGAGACAGGCCTATTTCAGATAAGAAAAATGAGGATCAGAGAAGCTGAAAGTCTTGCGGAGGACACCCCAGCAAGGCGAATTACAGGCCCAGAATTCTAACGAGGGCATCCGGACTCTGGGATTACAACCGCCTTCTGCGTCCCAGGAAAAACCTCCTCTAGTCATGCCCAGATCTGCCTGGTCTAAAAACCACAAAAATCGCAGGACTTTCCACTGAGTCAATGCTTGTCACGTCTAGAGACCTGGATCGAGCTGTTTCCTTCCATTCACAGAGCCGTCCTGCAGGAGAGATGTTACTTTTACCATCAATGTAAAAACTGAGCCTTAAACTGCTTCAGAAACTGTTTAGATTCATTCAACTGAATATTCACACTGGAGTTTGAATCAAGGCCTACGTGGCTTTAGAAATTTAAGATCCAAACCGTACCACTGTGGTACCTGACATCCTTCATGCACCTCCCTCATCTTCAGAGAAACAATTCTAATTCTTCACTTTAAAGCAAGGTAGGGTGACTTTCCAATGACTTCAGGGCATTCGGTAAAGAACAGCTTGGTTCAAAGTAAGTTGATGAGCACAGCAATTTCTTCATAATGGCAACCTGGTTAAAAAAAAATAAAATAAACCCATACCTGGCTTTGGGAAGGAAGTTGTTTGTTTTAATGTTTTGTATTTGGACTTGCATCACATAGAGTGGTGATTTTTTTCAACATTTTGTGTGTCACTTAACATTTTTAAAAATAAAGTCTTACAAGCTGTGAAACAATGTGAACATCCTGATCCTATCTCTGTAAAATATGATGGGTGCACATTGATAGACGAGGGTGTGGAAAGTTACATCTGAAGGTGGCAACAGGAGTTGCCTCTGCATGTGTGGAATTAGAAGGATTGTTGATTTCATTTATTTATCTGAATATACGATAGAGAAAGTTCAAGTAGCACAGATGGCTGCACAATGAAGAGGAATTTCACCTCTTACACTCATTCTCAGTCCACTCGCCAAAGGCAATTACATGGATATGTATTCTTCCTGAAATATTCTTTTCATACACAATCGTGTATAAAATCGTGTATGAAAAAAAGTCTGCTCATCATGTAGTGTGTGTTTATATATAAATGTACTTATTTATATAGTTATGGGTATTCTTCATGGTCTTTTTCCATATCTGAGTTTTCCAACTTTTTATCATTATACATTTCTTTTTTTTCTTTAAGTTCTGGGATACATGTGCAGAATGTGCAGGTTTGTTACATAGGTATACATGTGTCATGGTGGTTTGCTGCACCCATCAGCCCGTCATCTAGGTTTTAAGCCCAGCATGCATTAGGTATTTGTCCTAACGTTCTCCTTCCCCTTGGCCCCCACCCCGCCGAGAGGCCCTGGTGTGTGATGTAAACATATGGAACGCTTCACGAATGTGCGTGCCATCCTTGCGCAGGAGCCATGCTAATCTTCTCTGTGTTGTTCCGGTTTTAGGATATGTGCTGGCGAAGTGAGCACTATACATTACTTTTTAATAGAAGTTTTTGAAAGGTCCAAAGGATTTGGGGAAACCTTGAAAACCATGAGAGTTACCATATTCCTCAATTTTCACATTAATTACGTCTGCTCCATTTATTTGTGCTATTTGGTCATCTTTTTCAGCATGTTTTAGAATCTGTAAGTTTTTTGTAATTCAATGTTTTGTGCCACAAGATAACATTTTGATACAATATTTGTAATTTTTGCATTGGCATATGTCAGTTTGTGTATCTATTGTATTCGTCCAGAGACCTATTATGAGGTGCAACGGGTTTTTGTTGGTGTTTTTTCCTTTTTGTTATTGTGAACAACACAGGAAGAGAAAAATGGGTTGGCTGAAAATGGATTTGGGGTGAAAAGGCAGGGGGAAAATGTGAAGAATTTTGAAAAAAACATACAAAAGTGCTTAGAGGTAAAATAGATTATAAAACCAGCCCTTGTTGTATTAAAACTAATGCACGAGCTGGGCGCGGTGGCTCACGCCTGTAATCCCAGCACTTTGGGAGGCCGAGGTGGGTAGATTACCTGCAGTCAGGAGTTCGAGACCAGCCTGGCCAATATGGTGAAACTCCATCTCTACTAAAAATACAAAAATTAGCCAGGCATGGTGGCATTTGCATGTAGTCCCAGCTAGTCGGGAGGGTGAGGCAGGAGAATCGCTTGAACCCAGGAGGTGGAGGTTGCAGTGAGCTGAGATTGCACCACTGCACTCCAGCCTGGGTGACAGAGTGAGACTCTGTCTCAAAAATAATAATAAAACTAATGCATGAGACTAGATGGTGATGATTGAGAGTCCTTGTTGACCAAATTGTTTGTTTTCTTCTCCAGAAGTCCCAGAGCATAGCTATGTGGTTGGAGAGCCTAATCAAAACTACTGTCCCAAAGGCTGTAGTCCCAGCCCTTTCAGAGGCCAAGTCAGGAAAATTGCTTGAGCCCAGAAGTTCAAAATTGCAGTGAGCTATGATTGCACCACTGCACTTCAGCCTGGGCAACAGAGCAAGACCCTGACTCTTAAAAAAAAGAAGTCTGTTCATCAAAAGGTGCCATAAGTGCTTTTTGCCTAGTGCCAGCGGGCTGCACCTCAGTAGGCTATAGGAGTAACTTGTTCCTGCCCCTTCCCCTCCCAAACAACCTTTCTTTCCTAGGGTGACAGTAGGGGGGCCTCTGGTTTGCCAGAAAAAGAACAAAAGCACATGGTACCAGCTGGGTATTATCAGCTGGGGTGTGGGCTGTGGCCAGAAGAACATGCCTGGAGTGTACACCGAGTTGTCCAATTATCTGCTTTGGATCGAGAGGAAGACTGTGCTGGCAGGGAAGCCGTATAAGTATGAGCCAGACTCTGTGTACGCTTTGCTTCTCTCACCCTGGGCCATCCTGTTACTGTATTTTGTGATGCTTCTATTATCCTGGTGATTAAACACCACGTTGTCTCAAAAGCCAAGCGTCCTTCTCAGTTTGTGCACTAAGGTAGAGAGCAACTCCACGTTGCAATGAGTGGCTCTCAGATGATGAGTTGTGCCTGAACTAATCATAGAACTATAGTACTACTTAAAAGATAGCTAAGACTCACATCACAGCCTATGGGTCACCTGGAACTTGGAAGTAGCTTGCCACTTTTAGCCTGAGTCCTCTCCAAGAGTTTGGAGGGAGTGCCTTTCCACCAGGGGGAGCATGCCAGGGACCTGGGAAACAGGAAGCTCGCTCTTTCCTCCTTGCAAACAGGCATCCTTCCACAGCAGCTTTTATCCTACAAAAGGGCAGACAGTTCACGAGATAGGAAACATGTTGAACTCCCTCCCCCTTCATTGGTAGTTCATCCCGGACACCTGCAGATTTGGTTTCCAGAAAGATCCTTGTCCTTCACCCTGCTTGCTCCCTCAGCCACCACCTGGTCCTGAGTCCCCAGTAAAAGTTGCTTTTGGCTCTCAGAGATGAGCAACAACGCTAAGATTCAGGATGAGAAGTCATTGAAGCAGAAATGTCCTAGTGTTGGGGTGGGAAAAAAACACACAGCTAATGAGATGTAGCAGTCAACGTACCTTTGCTCGCACGCATCAGGAGCTCCAATCGAAGCTTAAAAGGATGTCGGTGGTGCAGACTCAAAAGAAGAGCAGAGACCCTGGGAGCTGCCCCAGTAAACAGCAGTCTGACAGTCTGATGGACACCAAGGGCACCATTCGGGCCATCTGGATGAGAGGGTGGACTGTCCATTCTTCATGCAATCATCGTTGAGCAGAATTTTTTCAATCAGGCATGATACACAAAACAGCATTCTTTACTGAGGCAACTTGGCATGTTTTTAAAGAGAGAGAATGAAAAAACTGCAGAATATTTTTTTAAAATGAGAGCATTTTATATGAGTTTACCTGAAGTGGCATTCGATGAGCTGTGAACAACAACAACAACAACAACAACAAAGGAAAAGCATCAACCTTTGTGCATATACATTTGAGAAGAAAGAAAAAATGATGTAAAGACAGTTCCTTTAGCCTGGCCTTCATTAGCTTTCTCAGAACAGGATAGCTTGTCCACCATCTGAGTCTAGAAAGCATTTAGGTGAGGAAGCACCTAAACGCTTTAGCAGGAAGAATCAGTATATACCTGCAGTCTGTTTTTATCTAAAGCTGTAGTGGCCATAAGAATTTTGGCAACTGGGAAGCAAAGAATGGTGGCTACACACAGATGGGGTAGTGTCCCCAAGAAAGCTGCGTTTAAAAAAGATTTCCTCTTGTCTATGAAGTAAGAGCAGTGACAATTCCCTGGGCTTAAAGTTCAGAAGGCTGAGGCTAGGAGAGGTTGCAGTCTTGTGCCTTCAGCTCAGGCCAGTAGCCAGATAGAGAAGCTGAAATGAGCAGACCACTCCACCAAGCTCCTGTGAGAGGGTGTGTGTGTACATGTATGTGTATGTGTGTGCATGTACATGTGTATGTGTGCAGATGTAGTATGTGCATGTACATGTGTGCACATGCACTGTTTGCATGTATGTGTGTACCTGTGTGTGTACTGTGTGGTTGGGTGTGTACTTGTGTGTGCGTGTATGTGTGTGTGTACGTGTGTGTGATGTGTGTTTAGTGGGGGTGCTTCTCGGCCTCCATCACAAAGTAGTTGTCAAACTTTCAGATTTTTGCTAATTCTATAAGAAAGAAATGATAACTCAAAGTCGGTTTTTTAAAAAATTGAAATTTGCGCAAAGAGAAATACTCTGATCTTAAGTATACAATGTGAAGAGTTCTTAAAAATGGTTTTAATTTTTATTAAACCCATTTTATCAATTATTTCATCGTTAGTACATGCTGAATCCTAAAAAATTTTCACCTATTCCAATATTGAGAAGATATTGTATTATTTTCTTTTAAAAGCTTTATCATTTTAGCTCTAACATTTAGGTCCATCATCTATCTTGAAATTACTTCTGTGTATGGTGTGATATGGGTCAGGATTCATTTGTTTCATATACACAGCCAATTGAATTGAAAAGGCCTTACTTTTTCCATTGGATTGCCTTGGCATCTTGGTCTAAATAAGTTGGTCTGAATTAGTATAAGTACAGGTCTATTTCTGGAGTTATGTCATTTTTTTGCTGACCTGGGTATTCTAGGACTGGGTATCTGGTTTGGTTTTTATTTGATATCTGACCTGGATGTCTTTGTTTCCACTTGAAAGTGGCATACAGAGAGTCGGTAAAAATAGCTATTTAAGGCAATCTTTTGGTAGCCCAAGTGGTTGCTGCTATTGGCCATTATGATGGGAACGAGGAACACAAGTGGTAGAACAGGTAGGGAGGCAGACACGAGCAGAGCAGGAGAGATCCCCATCCCCCAATGAGGAGTGGCAGGTGACCCTCAGGTAATGCTCAGCAGTTGTTAAGCTGTCTCTTTAAAACAATAATTGGTCACAGCTGGCACCAGGGAACGGCAGTCTCACAGTAGATAGAAAACACCTAAAGCTGGTGACCAGCAGCTTCCCAGTAAGATCTCAGGAGCTGGGTTAGTGGGCCCAAGCATGTGCACGAAGAGGCAAAATGGCAGAGTTTAACTGGTATATGACCTTCCTCCAGAAATGTTCGACTGATAAGGGAAAAATGCCTCAAGTGAACACGCACACAACTTTAGTCAACACACTGCGCATCCTCACCTCCCAAGTGCTGGCAGGCCACTGGGCGTGTGGAGAGCCCACCCCAAGGGAAGAATCAGGGAAAAAGAGATGCAGACCCCTCAAGCCTGCCAACGTATAAAACCCCAAGTCAAAGGCCAAACAGTGCACTTGAATCTCTCAAGTTGCCTGCTTGGCCCTCTTCCAAGTATACTTTACTTCCTTTCTTTCCTGCTCTAAAACTTTTTGATAAACTTTCACTACTGCTCAAAAACTTGCCTTAGTTTCTCCCTCTGCCTTATGCCCCTCAGTCAAACTCTTTCTTCTGAGGAGGCAAGAACTGAGGTTGCTGCAGACCCACATGGATTTGCTGCTGTTAACACAAGAACTGTGGGGGCAAGCTAATTGTTTAGAGTAGAGCTGAATTTAAGAAAATAGCAGCTCAGGTTTTTATTTTATTTTATTTTTGGCTTAAGTCTCTCTCTTTTTTTTTTTTTTTTTTTTATTTTTTCTGAGACAGAGTCTTGCTCTTTCACCCAGGCCGGAGTGCAGTGGCGCTATCTCGGCTCACTGCAAGCTCCGCCTCCTGGGTTCACGCCATTCTCCTGCCTCAGCCTCCCGGGTAGCTGGGACTACAGGTGCCTGCCACCGCACCCAGCTAATTTTTTGTATTTTTAGTAGAGACGGGGTTTCACCGTGTTAGCCAGGATGGTCTTGATCTCCTGGCCTTGTGATCCACCCACCTCGGCCTCCCAAAGTACTGGGATTACAGGCGTGAGCCACCGTGCCTGGCCAAGCCTCTTCTCTCTTGTAGCTGTAGAACCAGTGTAGCAAATACTTGGGCTCCAAATTTAATCCTATTGATTGCATGAATACAATATAAATACAATTCACAGCCTTTCTAGGTCTCTCATGTGAAAGGTAGGGTTGGGGGAAAGATTAGACATCTGAGACTCAAAATAGGAGGATTTGGGTAGATTTTCATATATCTGTTATAAAATGGAAGCATTATTATTATTTATGTGTGGTAAAGCCAACAGATCAGAAGACAACTGCCATTGAAAAGAGAGTTTGTTACTCACAGTTTCCTGGAGGAGGAGCATGCAGAACCACATGGGGAAGCACCAGAGGCAGAAGGAGCAGGCAAGAGCATGCAGGCAGAGTCTTTACTGTGGGCTTTGCAGGAAGGAATGGGTGAGGCAGGCTCCACAGGCTGAGGATTGGCTAGTGTGGATAATTCAGCAGGCTCTGGAGGATAGAGATGGCTGCCAGTTGCCTGGCACCTGGCTCTGGTGATTAGGGGAGAGAGAGCACAATAAAGGAGGTATTTGGTGGGTAGTCGCTTTGCATTGGTTGGGTTGCATATGAAAAGTGCACTTGCAGACGAGTCTTTTACTCTGTCTAGGAACTGTCCAGCCCTGGGATGGGCAGACACTCTAGGATCAACAAGGTCCCAGATATCAAACACCATAAATACAAAACACTGAAAATACAAAAACTTCAAAAACAAAAAAAGGCACGATTAATACAGTATTCAAGTACCTTGAAAACACAAATCCCACTGAGTCTCACTTACCAGCAAAAAAAACCTTTCCTCTCTTCTGAAAACTCTGGCCATTTCCTGCTTGAGAGTCCTGGAATGATCTCATATGAAGCAGTTACTTTATAGAAGGATGCTAATTATCTTCAAAACCCAACCCACCAACTCTCCTGGCCTCCAGGATTATAAATACAACTCAATTTCACAGTATCCCACAGGAAAAAAAAGTACAAAAATTGGATCTGGAGGACATTAAACAACAAAAGGATGCTAAAATTTTGCTAAGACATCAGAATGCACCTGCAAAATATGGTTGAGATAAAATCTAAAAGTACTAAAACAAGGGGGAAAAACATAGCACTGGAGTGGACTGGATTAATCCATATAATTAGTTTATGGCATATTCTGAATTCAATAAACTAATGAACAGATGGGAGTGGCTCTAATAGTTTGCTTGGTTAATTAAACCTTGCATTTAAAAGTGTTCTACATTAAATGATGCAGTCATGTCAGATATTTCTAGTTACACTGAAGAGAAAAGGATACAAATTCTTAGGGAGATGAGAAGTTGGGGCAGATTCATTATGCTAATGAATCCCTCTCCATCCCTCTTTATGTCCCATAAGAAGGTCTAAAGATGCTTCTTTCACCAAAGCAGTAGGAATGCATCAATGAAGGGTAAGGGGCAATATGCTGGAAGTGGTTAATGGTCTACAGAAATCATGCTTCCTTTCCATGTTGTAGAAGGACATTAGAAAGTGTCTCTGCCCAGCTGGGCGCAGTGGCTCACGCCTGTAATCCCAGCACTTTGGGAGACCGAGGCGGGCGGATCACAAGGTCAAGAGATTGAGACCATCCTGGCCAACACGGTGAAACCCTGTGTCTACTAAAAATACAAAAATTAGCTGGACATGGTGGCATGCGCCTGTAATCCCAGCTACTTGGGAGACTGAGGCAGGAGAATTGCCTGAACCTGGGAGGTGGAGGTTGCACTGAGCGGAGATTCCGCCACTGCACTCCAGCCTGGTGATGGAGCGAGACTACGTCAAGGAAGGAAGGAAGGAAGGAAGGAAGGAAGGAAGGAAGGGAGGGAGGGAGGGAGGGAGGGAGGGAGGAAGGGAGGGAGGGGGCGAGGGAGGGAGGGAAGGAGCGGGCGAGGGAGAGAGGGAAGGAGGGGGCGAGGGAGGGAGGGAAGGAGGGGGCGAGGGAGGGAGGGAAGGAGGGGGCGAGGGAGGGAGGGAGGGGAGGGGAAGGGAGGGGAAGGAAGAAAGGAAGGGAGTCTCTGCTCATCCAGACATTGCATTTCATAATGTCCCCTTTGCATCTAGGCAAGACCACGGGACTAATTTTCAACACTGGAATTTAAGCATAAGTTAAAAAGTCTGCCGACTTCACTGTTATTCCTCTGATGATAGTATGCATTGTTTTGCTGTTTTTGAGATTTTTTTTCCCTTATACTTAGTTTTCAGCAGTTTGAACATGGTATTCCTAGGTGTGGTTCTCTTGTATTTACCTTGCTGGTGACACACAAAATTATTTCAGTTGATGAGTTGATGTCTTTCATCAATTCTTGGAAGTTCTTGCCTGTCGTATCTCCAAATACTGACTCGGCCTCAATTTCTGCTTTCTTCTTCTTTTAAAATTCCTAGGCTTGCTTTAGCAGGTCTTTATGCCCTTAAACATAAGGTTTCTGCATTTTATCTGAGTTTTCTAGTTATTTTTGGCAAGTGCTTTAATTTCCTGCAAAGTTTTCCATCCTGCCTGGAAGAGTAAGTTCTTATATAAAATTCTTTTTCTCTGTAGTTTAAATCTTTGTTTCAAGAAAATTGTTTTTATTCCTTCTGTTATGGATTTCAAAGGCTTTTCAGTTCCAATTTTTTCCCTTTTCTTTACTTCAGGTATACTGGTTACTCACATGCCGGGTCTAAGTTGTCCGTCCCCTGTGTCTTTCATCTTATTCCTGCAATTCCGCATTGAATCGTGCATGAATGTCTGCTGCGTTCTTCTTCTTTTTTGTTGGTTTGTTTGTTTGAGATGGAGTCTTACTCTGTGTCCCAGGCTGGAGTGCAGTGGCATGATCTCAGCTCACTGAAACCTCCATGTCCTGGGTTCAGAATTGCTTGAACCTCCACTTCCGGGGTTCAAGCAATTCTGGTGCTTGAACTAGAGTAGCTGAGACTACAGGTGTGCACCACCACGCTCGGCTAATTTTTGTATTTGTAGTAGAGACGGGGTTTCACCATGTTGGCCAGGCTGGTCTTGAACCCCCGAGCTCAGGTTATCTGCCCGCCTCAGCCTCCCAAAGTGCTGGGATTAAAGGCATGAGTCACCATTCCTGGCCCATGTCTTCTGCATTCTGCATGAATAGCTTACATCAGCCCACCTTGTCACTTACAAGGGATTGGGTTCTTGTTTTGCTGCTGCTTGTTTGGTTTTAACTTCACCAATTCTATTTTCTTACTTTTTATGTCTCTATCCATTTCATTTCTTTTTTTTTCTTTTATAAACTTATGTATTACAGGGGCAACTTTAATTTATTTGGGTAAAGATGATAAAGCAGCTAAAATTTTCTATTTCCTGGAGTACATCCAACAAAATTTTATTTATTTTTATATCTATATATGTGTATTTTATCTATCTATATCTATATCTACCTACTCATATGTAGAGAGATTTATAAATATTAATATATATAACCTAATGCTAAAGTGTATTCATGCTTTTTTGTTGTTTTCATACATTTTTGTTTTTGCGGTTGATTTATGACCTCAGGTTAGATCTAACCAGCTCAGCCTTTAACTCCAAAATACAAAAGATAGAATATCTTTTCCTATTTTTATTAGTTTTTATTTTTGAGGCAGGGTCTTGTTCTGTTGCCCAGGATTCAAGTGCAGTCATGTGATCATAGCTCACTTCAGCCTTGACCTCCTGGGCCCAAGTCATCCTCCTACCTCAGCCTCCTGAGTAGCTGGGAGCACAGGCATGCACCACCACGCCTGGCTAATTTGTTGTATTTATTGTAGAGATGGAGTCTTGCCATGTTGCCCAGGCTGGTCTTGAACTCCTGGGCTCAAGTGATCTGCCTGCCTCAGCCTTGAGAAGTGCTGGGATTACAGAAGTAAGCCACCGCGCCTGGCCTTTTCCTATTTTTCTTGAGAATTAGCACGAGATCATCCTCTTTACCTACAGGGCTGGGTATTCATGATTTATGTTCTCGATTTCTCTATGAAGTCATTCTTCTGTTTGAGGAGAGGAAAGAGGAACTGGAGCTGGGGCTGGAGCCCAAAACAGTCACCATGTGGGGATGCTGTTGCTTTCTTTCTGAAGAGGGCCTGAGTCTGGGATTGAACTCCATCAGTTTGGGAACTCTCCTATTCTGGAAAAGCATCCAAGATTTTCAGCACCCCCGCTCTTTGTGATTATCTCCCCAGAACTCAAAGTCTTCTTTTCATTCCTGAGCCAACGCATAATTTTCCACAAACAGCGCTAACATCATCCACAAAATCTCTGTGCCCTACGTTATACCGATGCTAGTTAAGCAGCTGTATAGCAGAAAGGCACCGTATTGCTATACTGTCCCCCACAGCCTGCTCCCTGGAAGTATGGGACTGTGAAGGGGGTGCTCCCTGTCCTTCCCATAGTTTCCCAGGTTACCAGCCCTTGACTACCTGAGCTGTGAGTGCAGGTGGAGCTTCATAGAAGTTCCTCACTTTGTTTCGCTGAACATCCCTGATAACGCCCCAGAACCGGGGAGCCACGTGTGGATTTCCAGCACTAACTAAACATGAAAATGAAGAATGTCTGAATCAGAAGGCACAGGTGCGACAATAGGAAAAGATATTTGCGACACCTGTAACTGAAAACCACATTGATCTGAGAACGTATTTAACACATCCACACATCAATAACGAAAAGGAGAGACAATCAACCAAGAAATGAGCACAAGGGCTGAACAAACACCTCAAAGAAAGAGGATGTTCAGTGGCCAATAAAAATGTAAAAATGTGCTAGACTTGTTAATTATCTAGAAAATGCAAATTAAGACCACATTGAGATAACTCTGTAACCTTCCAGAAAAGATAACATTACAAATATTGATACATGGAGCATTGGCAGCATGTGAGCAAACAAGAACTTACAAAGTCTGCTATTAAGAGGGCAAATAATTGGAAACCACATTCTCCGCATCTACTACAGATGGGAATCTATTAGCCTGTGACAGGAGCTCTACTTGTAATTATCTACCTGTATGAGTCTCCCATGGCTGCTATAACAAATCGCCACAAATTTAGTGACATAAAACAACATAAATGTATTACTCTACGGTTGTGGTCAGAAGTCCAAAACACCTCTGACCGGGCTCAAATCAAAGTGCTGGCAGGAGTCAGTAAGGGATGTTCCATTTTCTTGTCTTTTCCAGATTTCAGAGATGTTCCACATTCCTTGGTCCATGATCCCTTCCTCCATCTTCAAAGTCAACATCAGGCCAAGTTCTTCTCATGCTGACCTCTCCCTGGTCCTCTTTTCTGCCTCCATTTTTGACTTATAAGGAATTTTTGTAATTACATTGGTCCCGTTTAAATAATGCAGACACCCTCCCCATCTCAAAATCAACTGACGAGAAACCTAAATTTCATCTGCAAACTTAACTCCCCTTTGCCATGTAAGCTAACATATTCGTAGGTTCTAGGAATTAGACTGTGACCATCTTTGGGTCAGGCAACACTCTGCCTACCACAATACCCAAGAGAAACTCTTACACATGTAAACATATACATGTTTACAACATACACAAGGCAACATGTGCAAGAAAGCTTATAGCAGCGCTGTTCAGAGCAAGACTAAACAAAACAAATACCTAATAATTGAGTGCTAGAGGACTAAAGTGATGTCTATTCATATAATAACAAAAGAATCAGCCATATGCAACAATATGGATGAATTTTAGCAATGGAAGGTTAATTATAATTAAGACAAAAGATTACATATAGAATGATACCCATCTTATAATATTAAAAACATCTAAAATAGATTGCTATTTGTTCTAGAAATACAGTCCCAGAAATATATGTATATTATATATAATTACTACATATAGATATCTATAGATATATGTTTCTATAAGCCTGTAGGTATCTATAGTAATTAAATCACATAAAAGGATATCAAGGGCAAGCAAGTCATGAATATAAGACTCAAGATGATGTTTAATATGGGATAAAGATCGAGGATAGTTGTTGATGGTGATAATATAGTTAGATATTACATTTCAGCTATTGTTTAGGTAATTGGTTCATGGTTGCCTACTGAATTATTAAACATAAGGCTAGGTGGTGCAGTGGCTCATGCCTGTAATCCCAGAACTTTGGAAGGCCCAGACAGGCGAATCCCTTGAGCCCAGGAGTTTGAGACTAGGCTGGGCAACATGGCGAAAACCCATCTCTACAAAAAATACAAAAAATTAGCCAGACATGGTGGTGTGTGCCTGTAATCCCAGCTACTCAGGAGGCTGAGGTGGAAGGATCACTTTAGCCCGAGAAGCAGAGGTTGCAGTGAGCCGAGATCGAGCCACAGCACTCCAGCCTGGGAGAAGAGTGAGACCCCGTCTCAAAAAAAAATTAGAATAAAATAAAAAACACCTAATTTCTTTTTAAAACCATGTATGAACCAGTGTCAAATGTTTATGAACAAAAGATGAGGATTAATATCATTCTGTGCAGCTGCATGCCAATACAAGACAGTCTCTGTTTTTGAGAATTTGATAGTTTAATGAGGGAGATAGTCACATAAACAAGTATTTTCTTTTCACTGTGATTAGTGCTTTACAGGTGTGTGGTTTCAGGTGCTTGGACAGCACAGAGGACACACCAGTTGCCTGGTATGGTCCAGGAGGGATTTACAAAAGACATGAAGGCTACACTTCATGAAGGGATGTGTCAAGGGCAGAGAACCAGAACTGCAAAGACATGGAGGCAAAGAAGGGTCCTGTGTTTTCATATCTGAAAAATAACCATGACTCATATTCTTTTGCTAGGGGTGCCATAACAAAATACCACAGGTGGGCAGGCTTCAACAGCAGAAATTTACATTCTCACAGTGCTGGAGAGTGAAAGTCTGAGGTCAAGGTGTCAGCAGGGCTGGTTTCTACCCAGGCTTCTCCCCTTGGCTTGCAGATGGCCACCTTCTCTGCATCCTCACGTGGTTTTGTGATGTGTACTTGTATTCCTGGTGTTTCTCTGTTTGTCCAACAGGTATCTGTTGTATCTAAGTGTTGTTATAATGTTGGGACAAGCCTGCTTGCCTGAAAGAAGAAACTTACATGGGGCTTGGTGAGGGCAGTGCGTAGGGTCTCAGCTCTACATAGAGTCCTTATTCTTTAGAAAATGTGCTTCTCCTCTGGTTTTGTATCAATCCCTTGTCTGGAACTCCCTGGGGTGCCACCTGCTTCTCTGCTTTTTCTTGTTAAAGCATGAAGCTAACGCTGCCTCTTGTGCTGCAGGAAAGGACTTTGCCACCCCTTCCATTCCAAAGGATGCTTGTACATCTGCCTCCAGCCAAGTTTAAAATATGAGCATCAGAATGTTCTTCTGATGGATTCTTCTTGACCCCTTCCAAGCTAACCTACAAAGCATGGCATATTCGGGGCTAACACGCCCTTTCTAACTAAACGCTGGCCTTGGCTTCTGACTTTTCCAAAGGGAGCAAAGCCATCTGCTCAGCAAGCTTCCAAAATGCAGGCAGAGATCTCCTTAACTGATATTTTTAAAATCTGAGTTGCTATGGTGGGATGATCACAAAGAGAATTGAAGGACAGATATTATTGCACACGATCAAGGTCATGAGCCTGACCAATGACAGAGAAGAAAGGAGGCAGAGCCCTGACCCCTGCACGCCTCATGCTCTATATACTTGACTGATCCATGGACATAGCTGAGGCCAATGCTGGTGCCAGGGTAGGAACTACTGGCTCTTATGTGAATCATTGCCCATGTCCCCAACACACATGATGAGAAAGACATTTGGTCTTGAGACAACAGACAATGTAATCACTGGTGTCACTGAAGCAAGACAGAACGCTAAAGTAATAGAAGCAGACGGTGCTGGTGCCTGGCTGCAATTCATTCAGCCGGGATTAGTGCCTCACATGACACGCTGTCGTTCTGGAGCAGAGATGGGTTTGCTATCTACCCATCCTGGCTGATTCGTTTTAGCTCACTACTGACATTTCAAAGACATTCTGCAATTTGGATCTGTATTTTCACTCTGATCCAGTGGTGGTTTAATAAGATCCTTGTAAATTCACAGATTATTTTAAAAGTGTTTTATTTTTGTATTGTTATTGATTTCTAGCTTTATCCTATTGTGGTTGGAGAATGCTGTGGGTATTATTGCTAATTTTTTTAATTTAGTGAGATTTTCATTGTGGCCCAAAATATATTCATTTCATAATTGATATGCTTTGGCTGTGTCTCCACCCAAATCTCATCTTGAATTGTAGTTCCCATAATCTTCCCCATGCATCATGGAAGGGACCTGGTGGGAGGTAGGTGAATCATGGGGGAGGATCCCCCCATGCTGTTCTCATAATAGTGAGTGAATTCTCACAAGATCTGATGGTTTTATAAGGGGCTTTTTCCCCACTTCACTCTGCACTTCTCTCTCCTGCTGCCATGTGAAGAAGGACCTGTTTGCTTCCCCTTCTGCCATGATTGCAAGTTTCCTGAGGCCTCCCCAGCAATGCAGAACTGTGAACCATTTAAGCGTCTTTCTTTATAAATTACCCAGTCTTGAGCAGCTCTTTATAGCAGTGTGAGAATGCACTAAAACAATAATGGTCAATGTGCACTTGGAAAGAAGGCAAATTTTTCATTATTGGATTTTGCAACTTCAATATATATTTATGTGTTCTAGCTTACTGACAATGCTGGTTTTTCCACATCCTTACTCAATTTTTTGGTCCACTTGATTTGTATAGGTATGGGAGAGATGTTTTAAAATTTCCAAAAATATTAATAACTTATATCTTCATTGCACATTGTAGCAGTAAACATGAACTCTCCTTTGTTCTTTCAATGACTTCCCATCTTCATTTAATTATGTTAAGATGTTGAATATCAATATATCATAAAACTTATCTCTTATGCATTTGCCTTGTATGTCTTTTTTCTCAATCTGAAAGTTTGTTCTATTTTTTATATACTAGTCTTAGGGTTGTCCAGAGAAACAGAACCAGTAGGAGGACAGATGTAGATATAGATATAGACAGATAGATTTATTATAAGAATTGGTTCATGTGATTATAGGTGCCAAGAAATCTCACAATCTGCCATGTGCAAGGTGGAGAACCAGGAAAGCCAGTGGTGTAATTCAATCCAAGTCCAAAGGCCTAAGAAACCGGAGGGCAG
Source organism: Homo sapiens (assembly GCF_000001405.40). Lineage (NCBI taxonomy): Eukaryota > Metazoa > Chordata > Mammalia > Primates > Hominidae > Homo > Homo sapiens. The sequence continues at coordinate 2,884,845 of NW_018654717.1, forward strand.
GGAAAGGAAGGAAGGCAATAATAGTTTAAGTCCTAGTCTGAAGGCCTGAGAACCAGGAGTACTGATGTCTGAGGATGGATGTTCCAGTTCAAACAGGAAGCAAAGGTGTCCTTCCTCAACCTTTTTGTTCTATCTGTGCCCCCAACAGACTGGATGATGCCCACCCACATTGATGAGGGCTGGTCTTCTTTATTCAGTCTACAGATTCAAATGCTCATCTCCTCTGGAAACACCTTCTCAGACGTGCACCCAAATAATGTCTTAACAGCTATCTGGGCATCCTTTAGCCCAATCAAGTTGAGGCATAAAATTAAGCATCACAGTACTGTTCCTATTTCCTCCGAATTTTTTATCATTGTTCTATAGCTATATTGTCAAAACATAACACTATTATATACTATATTGCGTTCTTCACTCTATCTTATGGTCTCAGTTCTACTGCAAGTATATTATATGCTCACTATGCACCCTTATATAATACCTCTCAAATTATTTTGGCAGGCTCAAGTTTGTTCTGTAGTAGATTCCTTAGAAAAGGCTTATGGCAACAAAATTTTCTGAGCTCTGGTATGTTCATAAAGTTGAATGTGGCCTTTATAATTTGAGGTCAGTTTGGCTGGATATAAAATGCTTGGCATAAATTTTCTTTTTATAAATATTAAGTATAGGATTCTGTTTTCTTCTAGCCTAAAGCACTTCCGTCAAAAAGTCTAAGGTCAAACTCATTTTCTTTTTCTTAGGAATGATATGACCTTTTAGCCTGGATGTTCAAAGGATTTTTTTCTTTTTCTTTAAGCCAAGTAGCTATATTGAAACAGTGGCTCTCAGAGTGTGAACCATGAACAACACACGGGGGTTCCTGAACCTTCCAGTGGACTCATGAGATTAAAAACTATCTTCCTAATCATACATTTGCCCTTTTTAATTTTGTTGATATTTGCAATGACACTCCAAAAGAAATAGTGTCTGATCATGAATCAAGGCTCTAGTAACCAATTATAGTGTTAGTTACTGAATTCCTCACTACCAATCACTCACAGTACTAAAAAAATGCGTTTTACTTAAGAATATCCTTGATGAAGTACTAAAAATGATTAATTGTATTAAATGTCAATGCTTGAATATACATTTTTTGAATACTCTGTGAAGAAATGAAAATTACACATCATGGATTTCTGCTCCACACCTGAAGTGTGATGATTAATTAGCTCAAGGAAAAGTGTGTGTGAAATTGTTTGAGGTGCAAGTTGAACTTGGCACGTTTTTCAAAAAACACCATTTTTTCTTCAAAGAACAACTTATAGACAAACTATCATTATTTGAATGTGGCTATTTGGCAAGCATTTCTTGAAAGTTAATAAAAGTAATCCTGTCATTTAAAAATATTTACTGCCAATGATAACACTGAACTTTCAGGCACATTTTACTATTTCAGAAAACTTGGTATTCATAGCCAGCACCATGAGCTTGACAGCTTCCCAAACTTAAAGGTTTGTGTTTAAAAATTTTTCAATAGCTTTTGGGAAACAAGTGGTTTTTTTGTTCCATAAATTAATTGCATATTCTGAGACTTTGGTGCATCCTCCATACTCTACACTGTACCTAATGTCCAGTTTTGTATCCCTGGTCCCCCTCCCACCACCCGCCTAAGTCTCTAAAGTTCATAATACTAATATCACTCCGTATGCCTTTGCGTACTCATAGCATAGTCCTCACTTATAAGTGAGAACATACGGTTTTTGGTTTTCCACTCCTGTGTTACTTCATTTAGAATAGTGGCCTCCAGCTCCATCCAAGTTGCTGCAAAATATATTGTTTCATTCCTTTTAATGGCTGATTAGTATTCCATGGTGTATACATACCACATTTTCTTTATCCACGCATTAGTTCATGGGCACTTAGGGTTGGTTCCACATCTCTGCAATTGTGAATTGTGCTGTTATAAACATGCGTGTACAAGTGTCTTTCATATAATGACTTCTTTTACTCTGGGTAGATACCCAGTAATGGGATTGCTGGATCAAATGGTAGAATCTACTTTTAGCTTTTTAAGGAATCTCCATGCTGTTTTCCATAGCGGTTGTGCTAATTTACCCTCTCATCAGCAGTGTAGAACACTCCCTTTTCCTCACATCCACACCAACATCCACAAAACAATGCATGTTTTTAATAATGGCCATTTTTGGAGGAGTAAGGTGGCATCTTATTGCAGTTTTAATTTGCATTTCCTTGATGATTAGTGATGTTGAGCATTTTTTCATACATTTGTTGGCCATTTGTATATCGTCTTTTGAGAAATGTCTATTCATGTCCTCTGCCCGCTTTTAAATTGGATTGTTTTTTTCTTGGTGATTTGTTTGAGTTCTTTGTAAATTCTGGATACTAGTCCTTTGTCAGACGTGTAGTTTGCAAATATTTTCTCCCATTCTGTGGGTTGTCTGTTTATTCTGCTGATTATTTCTTTTGCTGTGCAGAAGCTTTTTAGTTTAATTAGGTCCATTTATTTATTTTTGTTTCGTTGCATTTGCTGTTGGGGTCTTAATCATGAATTCTTTGCCTAGGCTGATTCTAGAAGATATTTTCCAATGTTGTCTTCTAAAATGTTTTTTAGTTTCAGAGCTTATATTTACGTCTTTGATCTATCTTGAGTTGATTTTTGACTTAAAGGTTTTTATAATAAGATTGGTGATGATGCTGATGAATCTGATTTTTTAATATTGTATCACAAACTGTGTGAACATTTGGTAAATCTGCATAGCAGTGAACCAACATTTTCCAAATAATGCCTGTTTGATGCTATAAAATAATGCATAAGTAAAAGATCCACAAAAAGCCTGATAAATATTAATATAACAGAGTATGGAAAGCTCACTGATTTGGCTATAGATTCCATACTGCAACTGACCTTTAAAAATGACCACTTTTCAAATTTTGGAATAGTATCAAGAAATATCCACAACTATCTAAAAAGGCTGTGAAAATAGTCTTCTCTTTCCGAACTACATATATGTGAAAGGCCAGATTTCCTTCATATACTTCAACCAAATGATATAATGCCACAGATTGAGTGCAGAAGCACACTGAAGAATCCAGCTGTCTTCTATTAAGCCAGTCTTTAAAATAATTCGAAAAAAGGTAAAACATGCCACAGTTCTTTTTTTGTGTGTTTTGGAAAATACAATTATTTTTATAAAGTATTTTATTTATATTATGAAAAATGGTTTATTATTTTAAAATCAATAAATACATTTTTAACTTTCTCAGTGTTAGTTTTCTAATATGATAAATATTAACATATGTAACCCATGTAAATATAAGATCTCTGGGATTATCAAGAATTGTTAAGACTGTATAGAGATCCTAAAAGGAAAATGTCTGAGAACTACTATATTTAAATATGTCTCAATTTTGAGCATTTTGGACTGATTTTTCCAGCTCAGTAGTGTGTCCTTTCAATATACAGGTTAAAGCTTTCCTTTATTTCAGGATATTTTTAACAAATATAACTTTCACTAATCACCCTTTGCCCATCGCTTTTTTTCTTTAGGAAAATCTATTATACATATGTTAGATATTTATTATCTACTATATCAATCAATTACTTGGAAAAAATCTGTTTTTCAAACTTTTTTTCTGTTTCTATCTTTGTATTCCCTATTATCCATATAGTACAATCCATAGAGGCATTTTGGTTACGTTAATTCCAGTTCAGTCCTCATTACTTTAGTGGCTTTTTCGTTTAAAATATTTCCTTATCGCTGTTAGATCTCTTTTCCATTTTTCCTTTGGCATATTATCACATTTCTAACTCTGATTTGTGCTGTTAATAGCTTTTTTCATTTAAAAAATTTATTTGATATCACTTGTATATATTTGGTGATGGTTCCCATGTATTTTATAATCATATTTTCTGATGAGCCATGATTGTCAATAGAAATATTAGTCTGCTGATTTTTTCATTTTTAAAAATAAATGTGTGAGTTAAACTCAGTATTTTCCTTCTGCTCATGTTTTAATGAGATGGTACAGTGAGGAGCTTCTCAAATGGCTTCCAATTATGCCCACATGCTTGTATTGACTACCGTACACCCTTCTCTTCCCCTGAGTACCTTGCTTCTAATCAACAGCATACTCCACATGGAGGGGATCACACTTTTCAATGATTAAAATACTAAGGATTCTGGCTTCCATCTCGCTGGCAGACCCACTCCCTTGCTGGCTGTTATTAAAGCAAGTTTCCACGTGGAGGAGGCCACTTGGCAAGCAACTGAGGGCAGCATCCAGCCCACAGCCACCTAAGAACTCAGTCCCTCAGTCCAACAGCCCTTGAGAAACTGAAATTTGGCCAGCAACCCCATGAGTTTGGAAACAGATTCTTCCTCCAGTTAAGGATCCAGATGAGATCCAAGCCAGGATGAGGTGACACTTCGATTGCAGCTTGTGAGAGACCATGAAATCTGAGCTATGCCCAGATTTCTCACCTGCAGAAACTGAAGTAATAAACATGTGGCTTTTGTAAGTTGCTAAACTTATGGTAGTTTGTTACACAGCAATAAATAACACAGATGGGTTCTCCTATGCTCTTTGGAGAAGGGTAGCTTTTATAATTTCACAGCTCTGGCTCTCTGGAATTGTGACCACAAAATACCGAATACAGTATTATATCGAATTAATCTCTCCTGAAGAGGCATTTAATGACTATGTCAACATGTCAAATGCTGTGTTGTAACTGGAAAGTGGAATCAGCTTCCAATGTCATTTCATTAAATAAAAGCCATGTGAAAATTGTGTGAAATTTGTTTGAAATTTAATTATACTAAAATCTTAAAGGAGAAGAACTTCTGGCTATGGCTTAGTGATGACGTCAGCAAATTTTCTTCCTAAAAAGCAATTGCAAAGCTGGACAAAATTAACAAAACCATCTTAGCACTCTGGAAATCAAAGGCATATAATAATCTGAGAAGTAGCTTTGCTTGAAAATGTGCTGAGCTTCAGGTACGAACTGTGGGAATCTTGCCCTGTGGCCGTTTCCATACCTCCCAGCTTGGTTGACACAGAAGTTCTGCTGCGACAGAACTGTAAGAACTGGAAGATTCTCTGCCACAGTGGAAGGAGACTCAATAGATTCTTAGAGGAATGAATAATCTTGGTGGTAGATTAGCAGGGAAGTCCAAAGGCTCTACTAGCTTGAGTTCTGGTAATGCTTGAGACAAACATACTCTTGGATTAAGCTGCACATATGTACCCCAAAGACCAGAGAGGGGCTGAGCTATCCACACATTCCTGGCTGACCCTGGGGCTGTGTTTGTGCACAGAGGAGACATGAGAGGGCTTGCCGGAAAGTAAACGCCAGGGAAGACTTTAAAATGGCTGAACTTTGAATGCACTTTGCTAATCAGACATAGATGAATTGGCAAATGATGGAAGCCTTACTGGATAAAGCTGTTTGAGCCCAACCTTATCTAATCAACTGCTTGGCCACCATGCTACACAGGCACAAGATCAACCCGAGGAAGTCAGACTGAAAAATGAAGAAGCAGAGACATCAGAGTCTATACATCATAAGGAAAATAGATTTCACCAGTTGAGCCCAGGCAGATTACTAGACAAAAAATAAAGAAACATATAAAAGCTCCAAAATGACAATTGTAACAATTTTCTGGGGAAAAAACAAGCACCTAGAGTTGTTACAATAAACACATAGAGTATCCCTTATGTAAAATGCTTGAGACTAGAAGTGTTTCAGATTTTGGATTATTTTGGATTTTGGAATATTTGCATATGCAAAATGAAATATCGTGGAGATGGGACCCAAGTCAGTCTTAACACAAAATTTATGTATGTTTCTATATACCTCATATACATAGTCTGAAGGAAATTTTATATAATATTTTTAAAAATCTGGTGCATGAAACAAAGTTTTAACTGCATTTTTGATGGCAACTACGAGGTCAGGTGTGGAATTTTCTACTGTGGCATCATGTCAGTGCTCAGAAACTTTTGGATTTTGGAGAATTTCAGATTTCAGATTAGGGATATTCAACTTATATTTAAAATGTGTAGTTTTTATCCCAAAAATTTATAAGATATGCAAAGAAACAGCAAAGTGTGATCCATACTCATGAAAAAAAGTGAATAGTCTCTTCGTATCTGCAGATGTTGGATTTAGCAGACAAGAACTTAAAAGCAACTGTTATATTTAAATTACTAAAGGAGACCATTTTCAAAGAACTAAAGAAAAGTAGAACAAAAATGAATTAACATATAGAGAATTCCAGTAAGGAGACAGATGTTGTAGGAGAAAGATCCAAATGTAAATTCTGTACTTGAAAGGAACAACTGAAATAGAAATTCACCAGATGGGTTCAACAGCAAGTTCTAGATGGCAGAAGAAATAATGTGTGTGAAGATACATCAATAGAAAGTATCCCATCTTAAAAACAAAGTAAATGCTATTGAATAAAATAAACAGAGATTCAGAGACCTGTGAGACAAAGCCACATATGTATAATGGAAGTCTCAGGAAAGGAGGAAAGAGAGAAAAGTACAGAGAAAATATTTTAATAAATATGGCCCCAAACTTCCCCATTTTGATGAAAAATACCAGAATACACGCAAAATAGCTCCAAAAACTCCATATAAAATAAATATAAAGATATTCACACCTAAACCCATTATAGTTAAATGATTGAAAGTCAAAGAGGAAAAAAAAAATTCAAAAGAAACAAGAAAAAAATGGACTCTATTTATATTTCTAGGGACCTATCATCATGATTAATAGCTCACTTCTCACCTGAAACGATGGAGGCCACGCAGTAAAGAACATATTCAAAAGCACTGAAGGAAAAAACAATTATCAACCGAGAATTCTATACTCGCCCAAGCTACCCTTCAAAGATGAGGCAAAACAGAATTCTGGTGCTGGACAAAATGAAGTAGATATACTTCTCCCTGTTTTAGCTAAGTACAGCTAAAATCCCTGAACATTATAAACAAGACAAGTATAAACAGACTCAGAAAGGTGGCGAGAAAAGGCAGATCACTTTGGTATCTCAGGACCTGAGGAATGAGAAAGTGATGAGTTCCATGAATTCCCCTGTTGTTTCTTATATCCCAAACTGACTGCTGGAGACATCAGCAACCTGAGAACACCAACAAGAGAAGGCCAAAAAAGCCCCAAGAAAACTCTTCTCTCTCTAGCCAAATTACAATAAAACGAGCAATCTAAAAATATACAAAAGAAAAAGAGGAGAAGGCTGAAAAAGAGCTTAAAGAAATAACGGCTGAAAAAGTCCCAAATTTGGCAAAATACATAAATCTATATATTTGAGAAACTGAATGAATGCCAAATAGTATAAATTCAAAGAAATCCATGCCAAAACACAACATAATAGAGCTTCTGGAAACTAAATTCAAAGAAAAAGTCTTTAAAGAGGCAAGAGAGGAATAGCACATTATCTATAGCAGAACAAAGATTCAAACACTGTAGATTTCTTACCAAAAATCATGGAAGCCAGAAGGAAGTAGCACAGTTTTCAAAAGCTGAAATAAAGATAGTGTCAATGTGAAATTCCACATCCAGCAAAAATATCCTTCAGGAATAAAAGAGAAATCAAGACATGTTCAAATAAAGGAAAACTAAAAGAATGTGTTACAACTAGACCTATCCAAAAAGAATGCCTAAGAAAACAGAAAGAAATAAAAAAAAATAATAAATTTTGTGAGACCAGTCTAGGCAACATGGTAAAATCCTATCTCTACTAAAAAAAATACATAAATTACCCTGGCATAATGGCATGTACCTGTGGTCCTAGCTACTTGTGAGGCTGAGGCAGGAGGATCACCTGAGCCTAGGAGGTCGAGGCTACAGTGAGGAGCCAAGATCACGCCACTACATTGCATCCTGGGTGACAAAGCAAGACCTTGTCTCAAAAATAAATAAATGAATACATTTTGTAATTTCAGGAAAAAAGAAAAAAACAACGAAAAAAGTAAAAATAAGTATAAAGGCCAGATGTGGTAACTCTCACCTATATTCTCACCACTGTGGGAGGCTGAGGAGGGAGGATTGCTTGAGCCCAGGAGTTTGAGACCAGCCCTAGCAACAAGAGTGTGACTCTAAAAAAAAAATAAAAAAAATTAGCCAGAAGAGGTGGTGCACACCTGTAGTCCTAGCTACTCAGGAGGCAGAGATGGGAGGGCTACTTGGGCCTGGGAGGCTGAGGCTGCAGTGAGCCACGATGGTGTCCCTGCACCCCAGCCTGGGCAACAGAATGAGACCGTGTCTCCAAAAAATAAATAAATAAATAAATAAATAAATAAAAGACTTTCCTCCTCCTGTTTTTCCTTTTTCTTTTCTTTCTTTCTATTTATTTATGTATTTATGTATTTATTTTTGACACAGAGTCTTGCTCTGTCGCCAGGCTGGAGTGCAATGGTGCGATCTTGGCTCACTGCAACCTCCATCTCCGGGGTTAAAGTGATTCTCCTGCCTCAGTCTCCTGAGTAGCTGGGACTACAGGCACGTACCACCATGCCCAGCTAATTTTTGTATTTACTAGAGATGGGTTTCACTATGTTGGCCAGGCTGCTCTTGAACTCCTTATCTCAAGTGATCTGCCCACCTCAGCCTCCCAGAGTGCTGGGATTACCAGTGTGAGCCACTACGCCCAGCCTCTGTTTTTCTAACTTGTGTTTCATCACTGATGACAAAGTTATAATATTGTCTGATGTTCCCAATGTATAAAGAGAAAATATTTAAGAGAATTATATTATAAATGGAGAGGTAATGAATCTTAAATGGAGGGACGCTTTCTATACTTCACTTGAACTGGTAAAATGTCAAGATCACCACAGCATAAGGAATTACGTAACACTTAAGAGTAACCCATTAAAAATCTACACTAAGATGTACTCAAAAACACTACAGACATCTAAAACACATTCAAGTAACCCACAAAGGACAGGAAAAAGAAACAGACAAAACAGAGAAACACAAAAGAAAACAAAAATGAAGGCAAAATAAAGACATTCCTAGATAAACAAAGACTAAAAAAAGTTATTGGTAGCAATTCAGCCTTATAAGAAACACTAAATACTTTGGGAGGCTGAGGGGGAAGGATTGCTTAAGACCAGCAGTTTGAAGCCAGCCTGGGCAACACAGCAAGACAGCAAGACCCTATATCTACAAAAAAAATTTTTAAAAGAAGAAATATTAAAGCATTTTCTTCAAATTGAAAAAAAAAAGGCACAGAAAAAAAGTACCATAAATAACAAATAATTGAGTTACTACAAGGGACTCTCTAAATATATTTTATGTGTTGCCTTCTTTAAAATACATAGAATTAGATAAAGAAATAATTATAACCTTGTATGGTTGTTACCATGACATATCTACAGGACCATCTATATGACAATAATGGCACAAAGAGTGGGGGATACAGCTATACTGGAGCAGTGTTTCTATCTTTTACCAGAACTAAGTTAGTATTAAGATAAAGCTGACTGTGGTTAAAGATATGTATTGTAATCTCTACCACAACCACTAAGAAAATAACTTTAGGCTGAGTGCAGTGGCTCACGCCTGTAATCCCAGCACTTTGGGAGGCTGAGGCGGGTGGATCACCTGAGGTCAGGAGTTGGAGACCAGCCTGCCCAACATGGTGAAACCCCATCTCTATTGAAAAATACAAAAATCAGCTGGGTGTGGTGGCAGGTACCTGTAGTCCCAGCTACTTGGGAGGCTGAGGCAGGAGAATTGTTTGAACCCGGGAGGCGGAGGTTGCAGTGAACCAAGATCGCACCATTGCACTCCAGCCTGGGAGACAAAGCAAGACTCCTGTCTCAAAAGAAAAAAAAAAAAAAAAAGGAAGAAACAAAGAAAGGAAAGAAAATAAATTATATAGCTAAAAAAAGCAAGAGATGCTTTTCAATGGAATACTAAAGTATGTATTTAACACAAAATAAAGCAGTAAAGGAGAAATAGGAGAACAAAAGACCTACAGACAAAAAATGGCAAAATGCCAAATGTAATCCAACCATATCAATAGTTATATTGAGTTAAGGGCCTAAGCTCACTTTTTGTTTTTGTTTTTTGGTAATGTTGTTTGTTTGTTTTTTGCACATGGCTATTCAATTATCCCAGAACCATTTGTTGAAAAGACTATCTTTTGCCCTAGTGATTTGTTAGCATCTTTGTCAAAAATCGATTAACCGTAAATTTCACAAATCTCAATTCTGTTCCACTGATCCATATTTCCATCCTTGTGCCAGCACTACACTGACTTGATTACTGTGGCTTTATAGTTATATTTTAAAACTGGGTACAATTTCAGCCATTATTTTTCATTCCTGTAATATACTTGCCATATTTTAGAATCAAGATTATACTAGCCTCATAAGAAGTGTTTCCTCTTTTTCTATTTCCTGGAAGAGTTTGCACAAGACTGTTGTTCTTTCTTCCCTAGGCATTTGGAAGAATTCACCAAAGAAACCATTTAAACTTAGAGGTTATTTCATGGGAAGGTCCTATTTATACTCAGAATCAATTTCTTTTTTAAATATATATATATATATTTATTATACTTCAAGTTCTAGGGTACATGTGCACAATGTGCAGGTTTGTTACATATGTATACATGTGCCATGTTGGTGTGCTGCACCCATTAACTCATCATTTACATTAGGTATATCTCCTAATGCTATCCCTGCTGCCAATGACTTTCTTCAAAGAATTGGAAAAAACTACTTTAAAGTTCATATGGAACCAAAAAAGAGCCCGCATTGCCAAGTCAATCCTAAGCCAAAAGAACAAAGCTGGAGGCATCACACTACCTGACTTCAAACTATAATACAAGGCTACAGTAACCAAAACAGCATGGTACTGGTACCGAAACAGAGATATAGACCAATGGAAGAGAACAGAGCCCTCAGAAATAATACCACACATCTACAACTATCTGATCTTTGACAAACCTGACAAAAACAAGAAATGGGGAAAAGATTCCCTATTTAACAAATGGTGCTGGGAAAACTGGCTAGCCATACGCAGAAAGCTGAAACTGGATCCCTTCCTTACACCTTAGACAAAAATTAATTCAAGATGGATTAAAGACTTAAATGTTAGACCTAAAACCATAAAAACCCTAGAAGAAAACCTAGGCAATACCATTCAGGACATAGGCATGGGCAAGGACTTCATGTCTAGAATCAATTTCTTTAATAGCTATAGGTCAGTTCAGGCTTTCTGTTTTTTCTGCTGTCAGGTGTGGTAAATTGTCCTTTTTGAGACATTTGTCCATTTTTCCAGCTAATCAAATTTATTGCAATAAAATTGTTCATAAAATTATCTTATATTTCGATATCTGTAGGATCTATAGCTCTGTTCTTTCCATTCCTGTTATTGGTAAATTCTTTTTCTTTATTTTATGATTGATCATATATGCAGCAAATAATTTTATAAATTTTTTGAACTTTTGACTCTTGATTTACTGTTTTACATTTTTAAAAAGATTTAACTGATTTCTGCTTTTATGGTCTTTTTTCTTCTTTCCTTATGTTAAATTCACTCTTCCTTTTCTAGCATTCTAAGATGGAAACTTACTCGAATATGTACATTTAAGGCTAGATCATTCCGTCTAAGCACCACTTTACCTCCATCCTACCAGTCTTGACATGTGTTAATAATATTACTCAATTATTTTCTAGTTTCTATTTTTATTTCATCTTAGACCTCTGAATTATGTTAAACTGCATTGTTAAATTTTTAGTGGGGGTGTTTTTCTTGTCATTTTGTTATTAATTTCTACCTCAATTCCATGATAATCAGATAACATACTCTGAATGATGTCAATCATTTGATATTTACTGATGCTTTTTTATGGCTCAGTATATGGTTATTTATGATACATGTTTTATGGCGTTGTTGGGTGTGATCACATGCCAATTACATCAAGCTTTTTAACTGTGTCATTCAGGTCTCCTACGTGCTCACTGGTCCTCTGAATTTCATTGTTCTATCAGCTATTCAGAGAGTTGTATTAAAGCCTCCCACTATGATTGTGAAATTGACTATCTTTTGGTTCTTAATTTTTTTTTTTTTTTTTTTGAGACAGTCTCACTCTGTCACCCAGGCTGGAGTGCAATGGCACAATCTTGGCTCACTGTAAAACTTCCACCCCCCAGGTTCAAACGATTCTTCTGCCTCAGCCTCCTGCGTAGCTGGGATTACAGGCGCCCACCACTTTGCCCAGCTAGTTTTTGTATTTTTAATAAAAACGGGGTTTCACCATGTTGGCCAAGCTGGTCTTGAACTCCTGAACTCTGCCCACCTTGGCCTCCCAAAGTGCTGGGATCACAGGTGTGAACGACCGTGCCCGGCCTTGGTTCTTCAATTTTTTGTTTTATATATTTTGAAGCTGTTGGTAAGAGCATACAGATTTAGTACTGTGATATTTGTAAGATAGGTACTTTTTATAATAAAAAGAACATCTTTATAATAAAGCAACGCATCTTGGCTTAAAAAACAGTTTGTCTAATATTAGCATAGCTACATCAGCTTTTTTGGGTTAGTGTTCACGTGGTGTATATGTGTGTGTGTATATGTGTGTGTATATATGTGTGTGTGTGTGTGTGTGTGTGTGTGTGTGTATCCTTTACTCTCTACCTTTCTGTGTTTCTATATTTTAATTAGGACTCCCGTGAGAAGAAGAGATTTGAGTTTCTTTTTTATTTAGTCTGGAAATATCCTACTAATTATATTAGCAATATTGACATAATGTGGTTTATATATAAATGTACTATTCATTTTCTATTTGGCCCATATATTTTTTGTCCCTTTCTGCCTTTTCTTAACTTCTTTTGGAGTAGTCAAATAATTTTTCTTAATCCATATCATCCATCTATCCACTTAGTTATACTTTACAATTATTTTAACCACTTCTCTGATATTGGCAAAAACTTAGAATCTTTGGCTTCTATTCACCAACCCCCACCTTTTATGTTTTTGTTGTTATGCATTTTAATTCTATATATATTTTAAATTTCATGAGACACAGTTATTGCCTTGTACAATAAATATTCATTTATATTTACCACACATTTTCTCTTTTTTTTCCTTTTCATCCTGCATATTATAGTTCCATCCTGGATCATTTTTCTTCTACCAGAATAACTGTCTTTTATTATTCTTTTAACGCAGGCCTGTTGGCAACAAATGCCCTCAGTTCTCATTTGCTTCAAAATGTTTTTATTTCACTATATTTTTTGAAGCATATTTTACTGAGTTAAGATTCTAGATTGTGTCTTATTTTTCTTTCATCATTTCAAAGTTGTTATTAAATTACTTCCAGCTTTCATCATTTCTGTTGAGAAGTCAGCTGTCATTTCTATTGTTGTTTTTTGGAAGGTAATGTGTCTTTTTTTTTGCTTCTGGATGCTTTTAAGATTTTCTCTTCACTTTTCAACAGTTTTACTAGGATTTGCCTGCTTGTGGTTTTGCTTGTGTTTCTCTTGCTTGAGGTTCTGAGTTTTTTAAACATGGGGATCGATATTCATAAGTTTTGAAAAATACTAATTTGGTATTTCTAAAATATTGATTTTGTCTTATGTTTCTCTTCTCTTTCTGAAACTATAATACTATATATAGAGTACATATACACACATATATAGTATTATGTGATACACATTATGAATATGTCCCATGTGGCTCTTATGCCATGTACGTTTTCTTTTTTTGTCTCTGGGCACTTGACTTCTCTTCTAGTGTTAAAATTTTGTATTCTGCTGTGTCTAATCTGCTGTTGAAACTACCCATTTCATTATTAATTTCAAACATGTTTTTTTGAATTCTACAAATTCTATTGACTCTTTGTAATTTACAGTTTTTTTTGAAGTTCTGAATCTTTTCATTCATTCTGTCCACCCTGCCTCCATTTTATTTAATTTATGGTTATTCTAAAGCTCCTGTCTGCTACCTCCAATATCGGAATCCTATGTGATTCTGGCTCCATTCATGACTTAAAGTCTACTTTGCTGCACCAGCTTTCTCTTGGTTAGTGTTTACATCATTTCTTTCCTGTATTTTACTTTCAAAGTTTTTGTGCTCTTATTTTTAGAATACACAAGTAACATATGCTTTTCTTTTAAAATCCATACAGGCATTGTTAATGTCTAGATCGTAAAGTTATATTTTTTCACTTCTTTGTATAGTTAGTAATTTTTACATGTTTAATCTTAATGAAATTTAATACATTTAAATACTTACCACTGTGTATTTAGAAAGAGAACAAGAATGGAGGTTCCACATGTTGCCTTCCACCATAGCAGAGCCCTCTGTGCTCTACTGTGCGGATAAATTCAAAGAATGATCATTTCCATCCAATCGGGGATTTAGCTGGGTTATGGCTGGTTTTGCAGTCAAACCTCAGATAAACTCAGTCTTCCTCTCATGATGCTTATTTTCTGGGCATGTCCTTGCAACCTCCTCACAGAGAAACTGGCAGGTGTCAAACACCTTCACCTTGAAGATCTGCAGGAGATTCGGGGTTCCCAGCCTTTTCCCCCAGGCAGCTTCATCCTGGTGCCTGTCTTGAGCAGCAGGTGACTGGTGATCCTGATGCAGATTCCTCCATTGATGGGTCTTTGTTCCCTCAGCATTGGAGGCTGCAAGGTTCTTCCCTTTGACATTTAGGTAACAGTCTAGCTGTCCAGACGCCCATACAGCTTGAAATTGGGCACTTGGGTCTCTCAAGTTTCTAGTTTCTCTTCCAGACCCACACAACTCCACTCCTAAAAGCCTTACTGGCTTCTCTCTGCCCCTGCAGGTGATCTCTTTCTTTCCGGACCAAGTCTGATTCTCAGCCCAGAGACAGGATTGACAAATGTCCCCCAGGGGACAGGAGGGACGAAAACCTGTTAGCAGTGACAGCTCATTTCATAATAGTGATGATTCCTTGAAATTTCAGTTGATTTAGTCCTCATCGGTCCCACAGTTTTCCTATGCTTTTAAAAAATTCCTATGATTAAAAAAAATTGATCTAGCTTTTTTTCTGGGTGGGAGCGCTGGTCTACCATAATTTACAGCATCCTACCCAGGAGTGAAAATCCAAACATTATTTTTAAAATACGAACTGGAAAGAAAAATCATCTACTCCCAAGTCTATAGTATCCATCGGGACTTTTGCTTCAACACTCATGACAGTAATCTTTTGTAAAATGCAACATTTTCCCTTTCAAATATTAGTTATAAGTATGACCCATCTATTCTCTTAAAGGACATCCTGCGGAACAGAAAAAAACGGATCTAGGTTTTTGTTGTTGTTGTTGTGCACTGAAGGAGGAAGCAAGTGTAAGGCTGCAGTCTGACCCTTGTTAAAGCAAACTAAATATGGCCTGAGAAGGACTCTGTACTTCTATATTTGAGTCCTTGTGGACAAACTAACCTAGGCAGACAAGGCTGAAACCCTAACTTAGGAGTATGCACCTGTAACGATAGCTGAGTCTTGGTCAATCCCAGCAGCCACACTTCAACCATTCATTCACTGCTGACGGTTCAAACTATGTTCAAACAAGGCAAATGCCAAACTTAACCAATCCAGTTGTTTCTGTACCTCACTGCAGATTCCTATAGGTCACTTCCCCCCGCCTTTTTTTTGGTCTGTAAATTTGTTCTGACCATGAGGCATCCCTGGAGCCTCTCTGTGACTCTGAGGGCTGCCCAATTCACGAATCTTTCATTGCTCAGTTAAACTCCTTTAAATATAATTCAGCTGAAGTTCTTCTTTTAACACGGTGGACTCTGTTCCTTCCTGTGTTACACTGGGCAAGTCGTTATTTCTCTTGGTCTCTGTGCCCTGGAATTTGAAATAAGGTTCCTTTGATCCTATTTCAAACAACAACAACAAAAAAACCTATTCTCTACCTGCTATATCAACGCTGTTACAACTGCACACAGGGGGGCCTTACTTGGATTCTGTTTGTTGGAAATGGGCCCCAACACAATGAAAGTTCAAGAAGAGAAGTGTGGTTTTCTGGCTGCTGTTTCAAGTGGCTAACTGTCCTCTGACATTATTCCATCAGTGCCAGAGTGGAATGAAAATGAGAGGACTCAGCATACGGGAGAGGCACAAAGGGCTGGGGACAGTTAAGCCCCACCTCCCTCCATCCTTCCAGCTATGAGGGCTGATAATTTGCAAATCAGGAATCCTGGAGCTGGACAGAGGAACCCCCTAGGCCTCTGTGGTTCTCGGAACAGGGGCCACCCTAAGACGCCAGGGAAAGCAGGCCAGGGAACTGGAGACGAAGTGAGGACGCGGATGATGTAGCCTGAGGGACTTTGTCAATTCATCACTCTCTCTGACCTAGTTTAGGGACTGTCGGTCTGGTGGCATCTGCTACAAGAGAAAGAAATTTAACACATAAACACGAGTTGGGGGAGGAGAGCTGAGCTATTTGGGACAGGAGACAGACTAAGAAATAGAAAGTCTTCCCCATGGATTATAGCCGTTTCTTTTTCCACTTTTGTATCTGAGCTATGCCCTAATTCTTTCTTGTTACAAGCCAGCCAGGGTATTTGAGCACAAGGTGACAAAGACTGAACTCCAGTTTTATTAACTCCATCTGGGATGGAGGGTTATAAGGCAGGTCCTGGCCTTGAGCCTTCATACAGGAATTGGTTAGACTCTGACTGATTCTGTTTGGACTGAAGAACTGCAGCCTTCTAAGAATGTGAACTCTAGTCTTGAATTGAGCTTGTTCTTGTAATTCACTGTTTTCTTTTTTTTCTGAGCAGTTGGATGAAATTCCGAGTCTCCATTCACCCTCTGAGCTGGAATAAAGGAGGCAGATGGTCCTGAGTCCAGATAACAGGACAAGGATCCTATCACAGCCCAAACTGTCCGATCAAATCAGACGGTTACCCAATTAGGGATTAGAAATGAGATTGAGGGTCAGGCACAGTGGCTCATGCTTGTAATTCCAGCACTCTGGGAGGCCGAGACAGGAGGATCACTTGAGCCCAGGAGTTTAAGACCAGCCTGGGCAATATGGTGAAACTCCATCTCTGCAAAAATATACAAAAATTAGCCAGGTGTGGTGGTACGTGTCTGTAGTCCCAGCTACCTGGGAGGCTGAGGTGGCAGGAGGCTGAGGTGGGAGGATTGCTTGAGCATAGGTGGCAGAGGTTGCAGTGAGCCAAGATTGTGCCACCGTACTGCAGCCTGGGTGATAGAGTGAAATTCTGTCTCAAAAAAAAAAAAAAAAAAAAAATGAGTCTGTCATTCTAACTAGGTTCTGAGAAAATTGACTTTGTGAGTTAGCAGATTCTGAGGGCTTATCACCTGCAGCACATTGGGCTCCGAACATCAAAGTGCTATCATTCACAACTGGATGGGAAGTCCCATTATTGTCATTCATGTTTATTACCATGTGCTGGATACTGGACTGATACTCAGCAGCATCCTGGCCCTCTTCACCTCTCCCAGGATCATAGTGGCTGAAATCTTTGAAACATTGTTTTCCAGACTCTTCATGGCAGTATGGGTGGTGGGTAAGTTCCTGTTTGTATTAGTCCATTCTCACCCCACTATGAAGAAATACCCCAAACTGAGTAATCTGTAAAGAAGAGAGGTTTAATTGACAATTCCACATGGCAGGGGAGGCTTGAGGAAACTTAACAATCATGGCGGAAGGCACCAGGGCAGCAGGAGAGATAATGGGTGCCAAGTGAAGGAGGAAGCCCCTATAAAACCATCAGATCTCGTTAGAACTCACTCACTATCACCGCTATCATGAGAACAGCATGGGGGAAACTGCCCTCATGATTCAATTGTCTCCACCTGGTGCTGTCCTTGACACATGGGGATTATTACAACACAAGGTGAGATTTGGGTGGGGACACAGCCAAACCATATCACTGTCCATGGTCTCCATCACTTCACAGTGCTTCTGATGCCTTTGACACCTTGATTTCTTCCTCTAGGAACGCTGGATTAAGTGGCCCCAAGGATGTATCCCAGTTGTATCCTTCTGTGACTCTAATACGCCCCTCTCTGTAATCTTGGTTTCCATTACTTGGATCCTTCTCGTTTCTCTAATAACAGACACTTGCAGAGAATGTTGTCCTTTCTGCAAAACTTTCACACGTATCTCCTTGAATTCTCACAGCCTTCCTGCAAGGCAGTTAGCACTAACTCCTTTGTAGAGACAAGGAAACTCAGGCTGACAAATGCAAGTGAACTTGTCCTGGGTGTGCCGACTTTAAGTGCCCTGCTCTGCACTCCACCCACACCGCCTCGTTGACGGCCTTTCTCTCTCTGGCCACCCTGTTCCTCCTTTTTCTCTTGCCAATCCATTAGGGGTCAAACCCAGAGCCCAAGCTTTGCTTTTGGCTTGTTTCCCAAGAAACCAGCTTTATTTGGAAGCTCACCCAATTACACCGTTTCATTACTATCTGTTGAGAGATGATGCTCACCCCCGGCTCATAGCCAATATGCTCTCCCCCACCCACATGCAAGATTGCATTATGTTTCTGTGGGCCCCAGTCAACTTTGCCTTCCTGTACCACTTCCTCCACATAGCCACGTTTTCCAATTATATTGTCATAAAGATGAATATCTTAGCATGTATTAAAACATTTTCTTTGACTTTTTTTCCAATCATAAAATAAATTAAAATATTTTCATGAGCCCCTGAAAGTACTGTAGGCCCTAGGCACTGTGCCTATCCTACCTAGCGGATACCTAGGCCTTGGCTACATGATTCTTCCATATTCCGAGACTAAGGAAATAGTCATCCAAAAGGGTTAAGGAACAAGCTAGGAATAGTTTCTAGCTTCCTGAGTGGAAATTTTCCACCACCCTGAGTGGAAAGTTTCACAATTCACAGAGCATAGAGTAGAGTGCTTCTCAGTAGGCTGTTAGTCCTAGACTAAATGCTGCTCTGCTCCCATCTCAGAAAACTTAAAAACAAGTCCTGAAAGAACTAAATGGTTTCCAAGTAACTTAAATGTGTCACAGAGTAAAACTCAGGAATACCTAGAGGAATACAAAAATATCCAGCACCCCAAAAAGCAAAATTCACAACGTCTCTGTTATCCAATCAAAAATTACCAGGCATGCAAAGAAGTGATAAAATAAGCCCCATAATGAGAAAAATGAGTCACTCAAAGAAAGCCAGAAATAACACAGATAATAGAATTAAAAGACAAGGACACTTAAACAGTGATAATAAAGGCATTAAACACATTCAAGAAGCTAGAGGAAAGATTGAACATTTTAGTAGATATAGAGATGATGCATTAAAGCCTCCAATCAAACATCAAGAGAAGAAAAAATCAAAAGATGAAAACCACAATGTCTGAGATGAAAAATACGCTGGCTGGGATGAATAGCAGATTGAACATTGTAAAAGAAAAGGTTAGTGCACTTGAAAATACAGCAACAGAACAACTGAATAGATCCAAAACAAAACTTAGAGATGAGTTAGAAAAGCTTAAAAAATGATCAGAGTATTTGTGGGTCATTTCATCGGCGTTCCCAAAGAAGCTGGGGAGGGCTGAAAAATATTTGAAGATTTCATGGAAGTTTCTAAGCTTGATGAGAATGACAAACCTGCAGATTCAAGAAGCTCAATAAAATCCAAGCATAAGAAACACAAACACTACATCGGGGCACATCACAAATGTATTAGTTTCCTAGGTCTGCTGTAACAAAAACTATGTGGCTTAAAATAAATTTATTCTGTCACAGTCCTGGAGGCCAGAGCCTGAAATCAGGATGTTGCCAGGGCCATGCTCTCTCTGAAGGTCCTAGGGGAGGAGGCTTCCTTGCCTCTTTGTAATTCTGGTGGCTGCCACCAATCCTTGGTGTTCCTTGGCTTGAAGCATCAGTCCCATCTTTACTTCCATCATCATGTAGCATTTTCTTTGTGTGTCTTTGTCTCCATACAACGTTCTCTTCTCTGTGTATCTATGTTCAAATTTCCCTCACCTTATAGAGACACCAGTCATTAGATTGGGGCCCATTCTAATCTGGTATAACTGCATCTAAACTTGATTACACCTGGAACAACCATATTTCTAATCAGGTCACATTCACAGGTACCAGGGGTTAGGACTTGAATGTATTATTTTGTGGTAACACAATTCTACCCACTTTAATAATCAAATTACTTAAAACCAGTGATTAAGAGAAAATAATTAAAGCAGCCAAATGGGTTAAAAAATTGTATGCACCATACACAGAGGAACAAAAATAAGAATGATAGCAGATTTTTAACTAGAAACAATACAAGCCAAAAAAAAAAAAAGACAATGGAGCAACATCTTTAAATTACTGAAAGAAAAGAGACGTCAACATAGAATTTTATGTCCAACAAAACTGTGCCTTATAAACAAAGGCCAAAAAAAGACTTTTTCAGACATACAAAAGCTGAAAGAACTAATCACCAGCAGAAATACACTCTAAGAAATCTTAAAGAAAGTCTTCCAAGTAGAAGGAAGATGACACCAGAAGGAAACATGGATCAACCAAGAGAAAACGAGCACTAGAAATAACTGTGAGTAAATATAAAATAATTTGTATAATAATTTATATATATTTGATTTTATTATAATTATTTAATAATTATTGTTATTTAAATATATTTAAAAAGTAATTGGCCATTTAAAGCAAAAAATAATAAAATTGTATTCTGGAGTTTATACTCTGTTTAGAATAATATATGATAACAACAGCATAATGACCAGGTGGAGAGAAATGGAAATATACTATTTTAAGGTATTTATAGTATACAATAAGTGATAACTGATAATTATGGTGATAAGTTGCACTGTAAATCTTAATGCAACCACTAAAATAACACAATAGATATAGCTAATATGCCAACAAAGGAGATAAAACAGAATCATTAAAAAATTCATTATCCTAAAAGAAGACAGAAAAACATTAAAAAAGGCATGAAGAATAAATAGGACAAGAAGAAAACAAATAGATACATGGAAGATTTAAACCTAACCATATAAATCATCACACGAAATATAAATAGTCTAAAACACCACTTAAAGTCAGAGACTGTCAGATTGGCTAAAAAACAAACAAACAAACAAACAAACAAAAAACCCACAACTCAACTATATGCTGTACAAACTCACCTTAAATAACCAGATACAAGTTGATTCAAAGTAAAAATAACGGAAAATTATATATCCTGTGTACACTCATCTAAAGAAAGTTGGAGTGGCTATATTAATATAAGACAGGGTGGATTTCAGAACAAAGAATATCACTAGCAATAAAGAGGGTCATTTTGTAATACAAGAGGGTCAGCTCATCAAGAGGATATAAAAATCTTAAACATTTCTGCATCTCGTGACAGAACTTCCAAATATATGAAGCAAAAACTAGCAAAACTATATGGAGAAACAGACACACCAACAATTAAAGTTGGAGATTTAAATACCTCTCTCTCATTGATAAAACTGGTAGAAAGAACATCAGTAAGGATACAGAAATCTTGAACAACACAATCAACCAACTTGACTTAGTTGACATTTACAGTATACTTCACCTAATGATGGCAAAATATATGTTCTTCTCAAGCATACATGAAACATTTACCATAATAGATCCTATTCTGGTTCATACAAGAAGTCTCAATAAACTCAAAAGCATACAATGTTTTTTGACAACAATGGAATTAAATTAGAAACTGGTAATAGACCTCTGGAAAATATTCCAATATTAGGAAACTAACACATTCTAAATAATCCATAAGTCAAAGAAGAACTCAAAAGAAAAATTTAAAAATAGTTTGAACTAAGCAAAAATGAAAACACAATGTATCCAGATTTGTAAGATCCCATGTAAGGCAGGGAAATTTATAGCAGTAAATACCTGTATTATAAAAGAATACAGGTCTCAAGCCAATGTCCTGAGCTTCCAAGTAGAAACTAGTAAAATGGAGAGAAAAGTAAAGCTAAAGTAAGCAGGAGAAAGAAAATAATAAGATTAGGGCAGAAATCAATTAAATATAAAATTCAATAGAAAATTTTAGAGAAAAATCAATAAAATTTGGTTTATTCAAAAGGCAATAAAATTGATAAACCTGTAGAATGACTGATCAGGAAAAAAACGTAAACAAATTGCCAATGTCAGGAATGAGAGAGGTAAGATCACTATGAATTTTATGGATATTAAGATAAGGAAATATTATGCAAATACATTACATAACTTAGATGAAAAGGAGAAATTACTTAAAAAAAACCAAAATCTACCAAGGCTCATTCAGGAAGTAGATAATCCAAATGGTCCTGTATCTATTAAACAAATTAAATTTGCAATTAAAAATCTTCGTGCATAAAAAACTAAAGACCCAGAGGGCTTCACTGGCAAGTACCACCAAACATTTAAGGAAGAAATAATAACAGAATAATAACAATTCAAACTTTTCCAAAAAACCGAAAGATACCTCCCAGCTGATTCTATTAAGCCAGCATTACCAAAACCAGGTAAAGACATTACAAGAAAACTCAGACAAATATTCTTCATGAAAAAAGATGCAAAAATAGTTAAGAAAATTTTAACAAGTCAAATCCAACATTGTATAAAAGGGATACAAATCATGACCAAGTAGGTTTATCCCAGGAATACAAGGTTGAATTAAGACTCAAAAATCAGTCGAAATAATTCACAATATTTACAGACTAATAAGGAATGTCTGTATGATCATTTTCTGGATGCAAAAAAAACAGCTGACAAAATCTGAATCCATTCCTGATAAAAACAAACTTTCTGCAGACTAGAAAGAGAAGGAAAACTGACAAACAGCTTGTATGAAAAATCTACCGTTAACATCATATTTAATGGTAAAAGACTGGCATAGTTTGGCTGTGTCCCCACCCAAATTTCATCTTGAATTGTAGCTCCCGTAATTCCCACATGTCGTGGGATGGACCCAGTGGGAGATAACTGAATCATGGGGGTGGTTTCTCCCATACTATTCTCATGGTAGTGAATAAGTCTCACGAGATCTGATGATTTTATAAGGAATTTCCCCTTTCACTTGGCTCTCATTCTCTCTTGCCTGCCGCCATGTAAGGTGTGCCTTTTGCCCTCTGTCATGATTGTGAAGCCTCCCCAGCCACATGGAACTTGAGTCCATTAAACGTCTTTTTCTTTATAAATTACCCAGTCTCGGGTATGTCTTTATCAGCAGTGTGAAAACAGACTAATACAAGCCTAACATCAGAACAGATGAGTATTTCCCCTCTTACCACTTATATTAAAATTGTACTGGAGATAAAGTGCGACAGGGTAAGGGGGAAGGGGAAAAAGGTACACAGATTGGAAACAAGAAGTAAAACTGTCTCTATTTGCAGACGTCATATCTACGTAGAAAATCCCACGGAATCTACCAAAAAAAGAAACCACAATTGATAGGTGAGTTCAGCATTGCGGCAGGATACGGAATCAATGCACAAAAATCCATCAGATTTGCCTAAAGTAGCAATGAACAACTGGAAACTACAATTTTAAAAACAATACTATAACAATGCCATACAAATGGGAAATACTGAGGGGTATATCTAACCAAAGATGTGCAAGACCTGGATGCTGAAAACTATAAAGCATTATTAAGATAAATCAAATAAATTAATTAAATTTAATTAATTAAATGGAGAGCCATATTGTGCCCATGAATTAGAAGACCTAAGACTGTTAAACTGTAAATTCTTTCCAAATTGATTCTGATTCAATGCAAACCCTTGAAATCCCAGCAGAATTCTTTTTGTAGAAAACTGACAAACTGATTCTAAAATTCATACGGAAATGCAAAAGACCTTGGATAACCAAAAGCAACTTTATAAGAGAACTAAGTTTGACAAGTTACACTATCTAATTTTATTAAGGGTTATAAAATGATTTCATAAGTGATTAAGTGAAGATGTAAATTATTAAAGCTTATATTTCCAGAGACAGACTTAAAATCAATTATAATTATATATTAAAATATACAATTGTATAGAAAATTTATACGAATTGGATCTTCAATTTGTATGCAGATCCTTCCCATGTCCCCTCCCAGACACTCATGTCAGTTCTGTTCCCAGAGCTGCTCACTATCAGGGGATCACAAGGCCCCACCAATGGCTGCTGAGAAATCCACTTCCTGTGCAATGCTTTCAAGTGAACTTGTCAGGTTCAAGCTGTTCACAACGTTATTTTATTCTTAAAATAAAGAACAAAATCAACCTTCAGAGATACGTAGGGGATATTCATGCTGAATGATGAAAAAGGACCATTAAGTACCTTATTTGAAACCGCAGTACAACTTTAACTTCTGAACTCTCAGTGATTTTCACTGTTTACACTAGCTGATTCTAAAACTTATAATCTTTAGTAATCAAAACTGTATAGCATTGGCACAAAGGTAGACTAGATCAATGAAACAGAATACACAGTCCAGAAATAGATCTACACATATATGGACGATTGATTTTCAACAAATGTGCAACATCGATTCAGTTGAGAAAGGATGGTTGTCTGAGTCCACTCAGGCTGCTATGATCAAATACCATAATCTGTACGCTTCTAAACAACATAAATGTATTTCTCACAGTTCTGGAGGCTGAGAAGTCCAGGATCAAGGTGGCAGCAGATTCGGTGTCTGGCCAGGGCTCTGCTTCCTCATAGACTCACAGTCTTCTCACTGTGTACTCCCAATGTGGAACGGACAAGGCAGGTCTCTGAGGCTCTTTTATAAGGGCACTAATGGCATTCATGAAGGCTCTGCCCTCATGACTTAATAAGATCCCCAAACACCCCACCTCCTAATACAATCACCTCGGGGATTAGGATCTCTACATACAAATCTGCAGAGGATACAAACTTTTAGACCATACCAATAGCCTGTCAACAAATGGTGCTGGAATAATTGAATATCTATATGCAAAAAATAAACCAAACTTTAATTCATACTTTACACTGTGTACAAAAACAAACTCAAAATGGACCACAGGCCTAAGTGTAAAACCTTAAACCATACAACTTCTCATCTCAGGCAAAGATGTCTTAGACACAATACCAAAAACACAATACATAAAGGAAAAACTTGATAAACTGAGCTTCATCAACATTGAGAACTTCTGTTTTTGAAAGATACTGTTAAAAAAATAAAAAGACAAGTTACAGGCTTTGCAAAATGGATATCTAATAAAGGACGTATCTAGAATATAAAAAGGACTGTCAAAACTCAATACTAAGGTAACAACTGCCCAAAATGAGCAAAAGATTTTACTAGATGTGTCACCAAATAAGATATCCAGATGGCAAAGCAGCACATAGAAGAGGCTCAGGATCATTTGTTAGGAAAATGCAAATTGAAACCATAGTGAGATCCCACTGCACACCTGTTGGAATATCTAAACTCAAAACGATTGACCATGGCAAGCATCCAGGATGACGCAGCACACCTGGAACTCTCATAGCTGCTGGTGGTAACAACGTAAAATGTTACAATCACTTTGGAAAACAGTCTGGCAGTTTCTTAAATAGTTAAACATGCACCTATCATATGACCTAGGCATTTGACAGCTGGGTATATACCCAGGAGAAATGAAATCATGTGTTCATACAAAGATTAAAACATGAACTCCATAGCACGTTTATGTGTTATAATCACAAACTGAAAAGAACCCAAATGTCCGTCAGCAGATAAATGGATAAACCCACTGTGGTACATCCATGCGATGGAATACTACTTAGCAATGAAGAGGAATGAACCAATGAGACATGCAGCAACATGGATGAATCTCAAAATACTTACGTTGAGTAGGAAGCCAGATGATGGAAGAGTAAATGCTGAGTCCAATTTCAGAAATGCAAACTAGTCTTTAATGGCAGAAAGCAGATTGCCTTAGGACTGCGTCCTGAATATGGAGTAGGGGAAGCAGGCCCAGGAATAAGAGGTGTGAGGATATTTTTGGGGTGGTGGATACATTTGTTATCTTGACTGTAGCTATGATTTCATGGCTATATATGTATGTCAAAAAGTTATCAAATTATATACTTTGTGTGTAGTTTTTTGTGTAAAGTACATTTTTTTTTTTTGAGACAGGGTCTCACTCTGTCACCCAGGCTGGAGTGCAGTGGTGCAATCTCAGCTCACTGCAAGCTCCACCTCCCGGGTTCAAGCGATTTTTGTGCTTCAGCCTCCTGAGTAGCTGGGATTACAGGTGTGTGCCACCAAACTAATTTTTGTATTTTTATTAGAGGCAGGGATTCGCCATGTTGGCCAGGCTAGTCTTGAAATCCTGGCCTCAAGTGATCTCCCTGCCTCAGCCTCCCAAAGTGCTGGGATTACAGGTGTGAGCCACCACCCCCAGCCCTTGTGTTTAAAAAAATTAAATGCAACAGTGAGGTCACTGCAGTTTTAAAATAATTATCAACAGTAAAAACCAGGGGCCCCAACATTACCTCAGGATGTGACCCTGAAAGATGGCTGAAAAAGTGGGGGAAAACAAAAGCTACGAGTTTCATGCAGCCAGGTTGCCTAGTTCAAATGTGGATACTCAAAAAGACAGAAACTCACTTTGTGGGCTTCACCAACCTTCATCCCTAGCACCCCTCATCATACTGGTCAGCTACGAAAAATTAACCACTGGGCCAAATATTGTGATAGACACCTCACCAATGAAGATATATAGACACAAAGAAGCACATGAAAACATGCTCCACATCATGGGTCATCAGGGAAATGTGAACTAAAACAACGAGACATCACTACACACCTATTAACATGACCGAAATCCAGAACACCGACAGCACCAAATGCTGGTGAAGATGTGGAGCCACTGGAATTCTCATTCATTGCTAGTGAGAACGCAAAATGGCACAGCCACTTTGGAAGACAGTTTGGCAACTTCTTACAAAACTAAACATACCTCTCACTGTGCAATGCAGCAATCACACTTCTTGGCATTTATCCAAAGAAGTTGAAAATTTAAGTCCACATAAAAACCTGCACACAGATATGTATAGCAATGTTATTCATAACTACCAAAACCTAGATATGTATAGCAATGTTATTCATAATTACCAAAACCTAGAAACAACCAACATACCCATCAGCAGGTGATTGGATAAACGAATGGCAGTACATCCAGACAATGGGATTTTATTCAGCACTGAAAAGAAATGTGCTATTGAGTCATGAAAAGACATGATGGAAACTTAAAGGCATACTTACTAAGTGAAAAAAGCCAATTTGAAAAGGCTACTGTGTGATTCCAACTATCTGACATTCTGGAAAAGGCAAAAGTATGAAGACAGTTAAAAGATCAGTGGTTGCCAGGGGTCAGGAGGGAGACAGGAATGAACAGGTGGATGGAGCACAGAGAATTTTTTGGTCAGGGAAACTATTCTCTATGATACTCTAACAGTGGATAGAGTCCAAACCCATAGGCTGTATAACACCAAGAACAAACCCGAATGTAAACTATGGACTCTGGGTGATAATGACGTGTCAATTTGGTTCATCATTTGTAACAAATGCACCACTCTGGTGGGGGATGGTGATAGTTGGGGAGCTTGTGCATGTGAGGGCATGGGGGGCATATGGAAATTTCTGTATCTTCCTCTCAATTTTGCTGTGAACCTAAAACTGCCCTAAAAAGTTAAGTCTTTGTAAAAACAAAAGCAGCATGAACACATATGGCACTATCACCACAGCTCTTAGGTTCCTTCTTTCAATGGCTCCACCCTGGGGCCTTGGCACATGCCTCTGCCTGGAAAATGTCCCTCTCCCTGGAACGTGTCCCTCTCCCAACTGTACCTTCGCACCCACTTTGCGTGTTACTTCTCATGGATCTTGCAGAATTCAGCCCAAATGCAGCTCCCTCAGCTTTGATCGGATCCCCTCATTTTTACTCTTTCACAGCACACTATGATTTTCCCTGAAAGCTCATCCAGTGTTTTTAATTATGGAGTTGTGACACTGCTCGTTTAATATCTAATTTCCCCACTAGAACAGTTTTATGGAGGCTGGCAACCATGTTTGGCTGACATGATGCCCCCGGCATCTAGCACAGACCCTGGCACACAGCCGGGACCGAATAGATTCATGTTGAGAGAATTAATTAACTAATGGCTGAATGAATAAGAGAGCAATGAGAAGCAGCTCTTAATGTGAGCAATGAACTCCTCTGACTTGCCAGAGATCTTTACACGTTATCAAGGAGCTGGGGAACCTCCGTCCAGAGCCTTTCCTTTTGCTTCCACCTCCAAGGGGGCCACTTGGTCGCAGAAGAGCCACTGTACAGCAGGGGAGGAGAGGGGCCCACAGAGATGTCATCTTCTGTGAAGATGCACCGACTAAGTGACTAGTGGGTGCTCAGGGACATTTGCCTCGAGCCCACTGCTGACATCAGGCAGACACGTTCTTGGCATCCCAGTATCCCAATGTCCCAGCTGGAACTCAGAGCACATTCCAAAGAACGTGTAGCCTGTTCTCTGATGGAAATATTTAAAATTTGGGGGGCAGAAAGGACATCTCAGAGTCAACATATTGTTAAAAAATGTTGTTCCCTGGAAATTTTATAAACTATTCAGACAAACTAATAATGTTTAGAAAATGTCACTCATCATTCCAGGGACAGGGTGGACTCACAAAAGCGAATGAGATTTTTTTAAAGTTCTCAGCAAATAATCCCCTTCTCTCCTTTACAAGAAGACAATAATAATATCTACCATGTAGAGAACACTTACTGTATCTCAGGCTCTGTACAAAGTATATACATACATACATACATATACACACACACACACACACATATATATGTGTGTGTATGCATAGTATTTAATCTTCCCCAAGTCCTGCAACATGGGTATGATTATCGCTGTTTTACACACAAAGAAACTGAGCCTCAGAATGATCATGTGACTTCTGCAGGGTCACTCAATCTATAAGAGGCAGAGCTAGCATTTTCCCTCAGGTCTGTCTCACTTCACTCCAGCTGATCGCTCCACCAACCTCTGTGGAATTTCCAGATTTCAGCAAAGCACCTGTTCCAGGCTCTCTGATCAGCATGCTGTGGCTAACATCATGATACCCTGTTCTTTAGATGACATCTCTTCGGTGAACTTACCCCCGGCTGAGACATTACATCCAAAGCTTTAGTCAGCAATTCTGGTTTCACCTGGAAGGAAAGCTCTGGGTCTCACCTGGAAACCAAGTCTGATAGGTTGGCAGGGCCTTCCCAAGGTCCTTGGTGTAGAGGAATTCTGAAAGTGTGCCTGGGCTTGGCAGGAAAGAGCGTGGCAATCTACCAGCACTTTCTGCTAGAAGTTGGGGGTGGCAGGGTCAACAGGGGCAGTAGAATGACACGTCATGGCCATCACAACAGAAGCTCTAAGACGTTAAACAAGCAACATGTCCCTAAGTGAACTGTCCAGTTCAATTTTTGTTTATTTATTTTTCTTGAGATGGAGTCTCGCTCTTGTTGCCCAGGCTGGAGTGCAGTGGTGCAATATTGGCTCGCTGCAACCTCTGCCTCCCAGGTTCAAGTGATTCTCCTGCCTCAGCATCCTGAGTAGCTGGGATTACAGGTGCCAACCACCACACCTGGATAATTTTTTCGTATTTTTAGTAGAGACGGGGTTTCACCATGTTGGCCAGGCTGGTCTCGAACTCCTGACCTCAGGTGATCCGCCCGCCTCGGCCTCCCAAAGTGCTGGGATTACAGGTGCGAGCCACCATGCCCAGGCCCGGCTCATTAAGTATTTTCCATAATGATTTTCAAGAACACATTGAGAACATGTGAATGAAACCCACGCATGACACAACACTGGGAGACAGAAACAGTATTTCATCTGCCAAACAGGGTGACAACATAGGGTCAGGCAGCAATGCCCACCCCTGCATCATTTGGGTTTGCCACTGGTGCCACCAAAATTTGAAATTCCCCAAGAGAAGGTATTGTTTTATTCACTATATTGGGAGAGGGGGAGTCCAGGAGACTTTACTCCATGGATCAGGGAGCTAAAATGGCGATTTTGTCAGTTATTAGGTATATCTATCTCATGATGTTTTAATAGGTTGTATTGTTATTTAGGTCTAATAAGGCCAACAGACCTAGAGATGGCTGCTGTTAACAGTTTGTTATTCACAGGTCCCAAGAGAAGCGGAAGAACTGGAGCAGAGGGGGGTGGAAACTGTGGACAGAGCCTCTACTGTGGTTTCCATGGGAAGGAATGGCAGAATGAACAGGCTCAGGACAGGCGCGTGTGAAAAATTTCAGCAGCTCTGGGGCACAGGGGCTGTCCCTAGCTGTCAAGCACTTGGCCTGGGGCACTTAGGAAAGCTGGAGAGCGGCCTGGAGTGTGAGAGCCAGACAGAGGAGGTGGTTGGGCTGTGAACTCTGGATCAATTGGTTTGTATTTAAAAAACTGCACCCTTGCCGGGTGCAGTGGCTCACACCAGTAATCCTAAAACTTTGGGAGGCCGAGGTGGGTGAATCACCTGAGGTTGGGAGTTCGAGACCAGCCTGACCAACATGGAGAAACCCTGTCTCTACAAAAAATACAAAATTAGCTGGACATGGTGGTGCATGCCTGTAATACCAGCTACTCGGGAGGCTGAGGCAGGAGAATCGCTTGAACCCGGGAAGCAGAGGTTGCAGTGAGCCGAAATCGCACCACTGCACTCTAGGCTGGGCAACAAGAGCAAAACTCTATCTCAAAAAAAAACAAAAACAAAAACAAAAATAAACCTGCACCCCTAAGAGAAAGACTCCTCCCAGTGAGAAGCAGGGGTGAGGGGGCAGGCAGGAGGTCAGGGGCATATGCGCGTGGGGTGAATGGATACTGACAGATCAAGCTGCAGAAGCTGGAATCATGGCTAATACACACTACGCATTCTGGGAGTGAGGAAATAACTTCAGGCTTGTTCTGACCCACCGGACCCACTGAGAGACAGACTTGGAGCAAGATCCCATCTGTCACCTGGTCTTCATAAACCCCACTCTGCAGTGGACCTTGGTCTTTCACGTTTAGGAGCAGTGGGTAATAACTCCTAGAAGGCCTGGGCTATTTCCATTTCACCAGTACAGAGTCACCTTGGTAAAAGATCCCGGTTCCTTCTGGGGAAGGCTTAGGGCAAGATTCAAGGGATGTGGCACTTGAAACACTGCAAGATCCCTCCTCGAAGGGCTGGACGCCCCGTCAGTTTTAGTTCGCTCTGCTTTGAACATGGAAGTTGGCCTAAGCTTTTCCCCAGACTCTACAAGCAACTTGCTTGTAGGACAGACACACTCGCTGCCTGTGCCTACCTCAGGGGTCACTCCTCCAATTCCTTTGCTCCTTCTTTCCCAGACCTCTGCATGTCAGAACACCCCGGCACTCAATGTTCAAACCCTTTCTCTCTCTCCGGTCTCTCCCTAAATGATATCAGCTGGTCCCGTGGCCTCAAACGCCATCTATATGCTGGGGATTCTGAAATTTCTCCTCCTCTGATCCCTTCCAAGATCCAGACCCATGCAACCAACTGCCCTGCTCCATATCCCCACCGGGACATCCGAGGAGCATCTCAAATTTGTGTGGCCAAAACTGCACAATTCATCCCATTACCTCTACCTCACATCCACCTTCCTACAAGCAAATCATACCCCCAGCCAACCAGTTGCTCCGGTTAAAAATAAATGAGGGAGAAAGTGTGTAAAAAGCTCCAATGCTGCCCAATTAAATAGAATAAACTAAAAAGCCCATTATGTCATCCTATAGAAGGCTCTCTGTGACCTGGTTCCACCTGCCTCACTGAGGGTTCTCTCTACTGATGGAATAGCTTCCACTTCCACTAGTGTATTCCCAACATGCTTCCTCCTTTAGGTCCTGCATCATTTAGTTCAGGAGTCCCCAACCACTGGGCCACGGACTGGTACTGGTCGGTGGCCTGCTAGGAACCAGGCCTCACAGCAGGAGGTGAGTGGCAGGCAAGTAAGCGAAGCTTCATTTGTATTTACAACCGCTCCCTATTGCTCACATTACCTCCTGAGCTCCACCTCCTGTCAGATCAGTGGTGGCATTAGATTCTCATAGGAGTGTGAACCCTATTGTGAACGGTGCATGTGAGGGATCTGGGCTGTATGCTCCTTATGATAATCCAATGCCTGATGATCTGTCACTGTCTCCCATTGCCCCCAGATGGGACCATCTAGTTGCAGGAAAACAAGCTCAGGGCTCCCACTGTTTCTACATGATGATAAGTTGTATACTTATTTCATTATATATTACAATGTAATAATAATAAAGTGCACAATAAGTGTGATGTGCTGGAATCATTCCAAAAACATCCCCCTTCCTCCCACCACCCACTTGTGGGAAAATCGTCTTTCATGAGACTGGTCCCCGGTGCCAAAAAGGCTGGGGACTACTGATTTAGTTCATTTCGTTCTCAAGTGATATGGTTTGGATCTGTGTTCCCCCCTAAATCTCCTGTCGAATTGTAATCCCCAGTATTGGAGGTGGGGCCTGGTGGGAGGGGACTGGACCATGGGGGCGGCTTCTCAGGGTTCAGCACCATCCCTCAGTGCTGTTCTCCTGAAGGAGGTCTCCTGAGATCTCACGGTTTAAAAGTATGTGGCACCCCGACTTGATCCCCCTCCCGCTTCCATCATAATTCTAAGTTTCCTGAGGCCTACCCAGAAACCAAGCAGATGCCAGAATCATGCTTCCTGTAGAGCCTGTGGAACTGTGAACCAATCACACCTCTCTTCTTTATCAATTGCCCAGTCTCGGGCAGTTCTTTATAGCAACGTGAGAAGGGACTAACACATCAGGTCTCACCACCTTGCGAAGGCCTCCGTGACCAACCTCGCTAAAACACCCCTGAACACGATCTCACAGCCCCCAGACGCAACTGACTGCCCTAGCCCATTCATCATCTTCGCATCCCTCATCAGAACCTGACATCATCTTATTTCATCATTTCTTTCCATGTTTATGACTCCTTGTCTGGAATGTAAAGGTTCTTAAGGGCAGGGATTGAAGGGGTCTGCTATAACTAGAACAGCCTGTGACGTGAGGGATGTGACAGGCACCTGGAGAACAACTACTATTACTTAGGTTGCAAGGAGCTAGAGGTGTGCATGTTTACCAAAAATTTCATCCGAATTGTTCCCATTTGGAGGTAAACGGCTCTGAGGCTTTTTCCCTCCCAAGCTGTTTAGAGCTCTTAAATTCATCTTACAGCACTTAAAAATATTCTACCTAAGCAAGCCAAAGACAGAGGAGATGTCAGGCAGTTGGCATTATTGGACTGTAGGTTTTTATTAAAACAAACATTTCTCATAGCTCTAAGCAAAGCATTAGAATTCATCAAGCGGACTCACATCTTTTCTCTGCACAGAGAGGGCTGAAAAGGGAGAGAAAGTCCCTTATGTATGTCTAGATTTGGTAAAGCGAAGGATTTCAGCGAATGAGTCACTGAGGCTATACACGTTTGCAAATTGTAAGGCACTGGCGGGCAGAGAGCACAGATAAAGGACTTCTGGGGTCCCCCATCCTGTCCAGCAACCTCCCAGCTCACACCTTAGCTTCTACCAAGAAGGGTGAACACAGCATCCCTGCTATCTTCACTCAGACCCCAGAAGACACAGGAAACCGCACAGCTCCACTCCCACCATAACTTATTAGGAGATAAGTCACATTTTATCAACTTGCCATCGCGCCTCCTATAGATTATACTTCGGTAAACCCAATCTGTATAAATTCCTTTGTACTTTGTGCACTTTAAATGCCACGATTGTGAATCACACAAGCATTGCCCAATTTGTTGAAAGCATTTTTACTGGAACCTCAAAGGCCCACCATGTGGGGAGCAATTATTTTTTAATACCCACTGGGCAGGACACGCCGGTGCCCCCAAGGCCGCAGTAGCCATTGGGGTTCTTGCTCAGGTACTGCTGGTGGTAGTCTTCCGCATAGTAGAAAGTCTGTCCCTCCCGGATGTCGGTAGTGATGGGGCCGAAGCCGTGCTCTGAAAGAACCTGTGGGGACACAGAAAGGCGCCATCAGCTCCCATGCTAGAGAGACAGCACCTGCGAGGGGTGGCACTGAGGGGCCAGGGCTGCAGTGAGCAGACGCGTGGCTTGGGATGTGCAGTGGGTCCCCTTTAGGCCGGGCTCTCCGCATTCCAAGTGGAGTGACGCTGGGCAGGGACTTACCTTGCTGTGCCTCAGTTGACTGGGAACTGAAATCAGGTTTATATCAGATTTTTAAATCAGTAACTTACACTCTACCCCCACACCCCTGCCATCCCAAGTGCATGTTGGGGGCCCTGGTTTGGACGCTGTGGGTCTGTTTGAAACTGGCCCCAAAGCTCTCCCAGGGGAAACAGCAGGTAAGCATGGCTCCCTGGCTGTCCCCGAGGGTAAATGGATGTCCCTGAGAGGGCTCAGCAGGGCCACAGTGGGAGGGAATGAAACGGGTGGACAGGGTAGGGATGGACAGAATGGCTGCAGCTCTACCTGGCACTATCGCATCTGCCCACCAGCTCAGGAACAGGACCCCAGCCCACTCCCAGGATAGACAGAGTGTCCCCTCACTCGCTGTGGCTCTCGGGAGAAGGACCCTGCTGGCACGTCCTGGTGAGCAGGCGGTCGCTTGGGGTCTGTACTCTGAACTCCAGGCCAGGGAGCCTGGGGAGTCAGGGCAGGGCAGGATGTGGCCTGTGGCTCATCACCACCCTCTGCGTCCTAGTTTACGTCCCGGTGACATCTGCTGCCAGGGAAAGACACGCATCAACACAAGCTGGGAAAGGAGAGAGGGGCTATTTGGGGCAGGAGACAGACTAAGAAATAGACATTGCTCCCCGTGGATTTCAGCCTGCTTCTTCTCCCCTTTGGATTTCAGCTGTGCCCTAATTCTTTCCTGTTGCAGGCTGCTTGAAGCATGTGAGCACACGGCCACAGAGGCTCAACCCACTCTCACTGCCTCCATTCAGTAAAGAGCTGCAAAGCAGAGCCAGGACCCATGTTTTCACGAGGGGACCAACCACACTCTGACTGTCCACTGGTCCATGTGAGATGAAGTCTTCAAGTCTGCCAAGCACAGTGCATCCAATATTAATATTCAGCATGATTCACTGCGTCAGGTTTTTCTTGAGCAACGTCACTTATTTCCTGCATCTCTGTTTCGCCGTCTGAGCCAGCAGAAGGCCGATCGAGGATCTTGAGGCCCAGCAGGTCCGGAACGACAAGGGGCAGGGTCCCCGCCAAGACGGGTGGGTTAGACCAGCCAGCTCAGAGGCAGCCAGTTTTCTTGCAGGGGTTAGGAATGAGAATGAGGAGCCATTCTAATGTCAGTTTTGACAATTTTTTGTAAACTAGCAATTATTGAGGGTCTACCATATGCCATGATCTGTGCAAAGACTTCACACATGTTAATTTTAGCCTCACAACAGCCACGGGAAGGAAGTCCTATTATTATCACCCATATTTAAAAGTGTGTATCAGATACTGTGCCTTGGTCCCTGACATTCTCAGCTCACCCTCGTACCGCACAGGCGGAAAGCTCGCAGACTGCATTCCCCAGATTCTGCTGCCAGCAAGGCCCTGCTTCAGATTCCACCAATCAGAGAAACTCACACGAAATTTGGCAGGCTACGTAAAAGGAGAAGCTATTCTTTGCAGGGCGCAGCTGTGAGGATGAGCGCAGGACTCTGCAGGAAGCAGACCCAAGACTCTGCCAGCTCCTCCTGGCCCTCTCCAGAGAGTCCGTGGAATGCCATCAGCAATGACTTTTGGCAATTTCAGTAACTTCTTGGTATCCTGAAATCTTGGGGTGCTTTTCCCTGACCTTCACGCGAACAGCCCTGCTAACGATTCTGTAAACACCGAATTCCTTCTGTAGAATCCATCCAGCTTGACGGAATGGAAGTTTTCTGTTTCCATGACCGGGCCCCAGCTCACACAGCATTTGGCTCCAGACTGTTTTCAGGGAACAGAACCTCTCTAAGAATGAGCACGTGGGGTTGGCTAACTAACAGGGGTAGATTTAGAGTTAGCAATGACCTCCTTGGAAATGGAGTATGTGCTGGCCGTGTGACTTGAACCATCGCTATCATTTGCCTGTGAAGAGGCTGCCCACTGAAGGAAGGCTTTGGGATGCCAGGTGGCTGTGGAAATGGAATATTCTGGTGACAACAATAAGGACGACGTCTGTGGGGGGTGCCATCTGCTCCAGGCAGCACCAGAGAGTTTGGAGAAGAGAAAAAGGCACGGTGAGGGCCTGACATTTCTGGTCCAAGGCAAGTTCGGAGAACTGAGGGATGTAAAATAATCTGTCATCTCTTACAGCTGTATCCAAATAGCAAATAAAAAATCGGATCCCAAGGGCTCCGGGTTCACAACGCCAGTGGGATTCACAGGCTTACTTGGCCCAGAGCCCGGGTGTGCTCTTGCCCACAGGTGTGATCGTCCTCAGAGGACCTACCCACTCCGCGGCTGACACCGCCTGCTGAGACGGGCCTCGCTCCCGGCCCTGAGCTGCCTGTGCCTGCGTACTGGAGGCGTCCATGTTCTATGGCCACACCTGTGCAGACCTCCCAGCCTGCCTGTGTCTGAGATCCACCCTCTTCCCTGTCCTCCTAGGCACAAGGATGGCCTCCCAGGCACAGCTGCGGTCTCCAGAAGATTCTCTGAGCACAGCGTGGGAGGAAGTGGGTCCACGCAGGGAGGCCAGCGCCACTGCCCACCTCCCCTCCTCCTCCTCCCTTCGCAGCCACCTGCAGGCCCAGGGACCCCCTTGGGGAGCCCGGAAGGGAGGTTTGCCGGTGGGCCTCGGCAGTACCAGCCTCAGCCACAAGATGGCAGACACTTCACTAAGAAAAACCTCCAAGGCGAGCAGGGAAACCGCAGCCCACCCACGCCTCTGCACCGCCCTGGGCCTGGGACCTCATGGACGGGTCCTGTCGGGTGGCGGATAGAGGTGGCGGCCACCGGCCTGCGATGAGCGTGGCGTCAATCTGCAGGCTTCGGTTGTCCTTCCCAGCACTCTCCCCCATCCCCCCACCCGCCGCCAAAACTGAGGGAAAGGACAAAAAAGAGACTAGGTGCGAAAGAAGGGGAAAGGGACCACGGAAGGTCACATCTAGTGTCTTCCTGGTCCCCCTTCGTCCGCTGCCTCACTTGCAAGTCACTCCCCTCGGACAACTCCATGCATTCTGCGAGGTCTCCCTCCGCCACTGTTCAGATTCACGTCTTGATTTCAGTGGGCTTCGCAGCCGCCCTGCTCCTTCGCTGTCCCCCGGGGTGGGCCCCGCTGTGTGCGGCACAAGTGACAGCATTAAGTTAATCATGACATCTCCCTCCAGGGCCCTGCAGGCTTGGCGATCTTCAAAGAGTGCACTGCCCTGACTGTTCACCAGGGAGCCTGGGAGATCTGGGCCTGCCCCAGCACCTCCCCTAACCCAGGAGGGGGCCTCTCCCTGGCCCCGAATCAGAACACCCCAGGCCTTTCTCTCCGATCCAACCCACCCCGGGCCCTTCTCCCCGTCCAGTTTAGCTCCGCCGCAGACCCTTCTCCCTGATCCCACTCCACCCTGGCCCCTTCTCCCTGTCCCTCTCCACCCCAGGCCCTTCTCCCGAATCCCACTCTATCCCGAGTCCTTCTCCCCATCCCACTCCACCCCAGGCCCTTCTCCCCGATCCTATTCCATCCCGAGTCCTTCTTCCCGTCCCACTCCACCCCGGGCCTTCTCCCCATTCCTGCTCCACCCCAGGCCCTTCTCCCCGATCCTATTCCATTCCGGGTCCTTCTCTCCATCCCACTCCACCCCGGGCCTTCTCCCCATTCCCGCTCCACCCCAGGCCCTTCTCCCTGATTCACCCCTCAGCATCGTCTCCCTCACCATCTTCTACCTTTTCAGCCTTTCCTTCCCCTCTGCGCACTATTTTCTTTGGTGGTGTTCATTTTTACCTGTTTCCCGAATGTTCCATTCCCTTGCACACGATCTCCAAGGAATGTCCTTTCCTCTTTTCCATCGCAGGAACTCCTATCCATCTCTGAGGACCCAGACCAAATGTCCCCACCTCTATGAAACCTGCCCGCTTCTTGAAGGCAGAAGCTGCTCCACATACTATGTTCGCGTGGCATCGCAATGCCCGACAGCGCTGATGACGCTGCATTACAAAAACCCTTCTGTTCTCCAAGCCACTTCCACTACCCAGGACTGTCTGTGTCTCTCCCTCATCTCGGGGCTTTGTGCACTGTGTGCAATGAATGAATGAATGAATGAATGAATGAGAAAATGAACTATGGATTCTTGGGATCTCCTGGAGATTCTCTCTGCTTCTGGATTCCACCTGGGTCCCTGTTGCTACCTCAAGACCCAGCACCTCCTCTAGGGCCTGGGAAGGAATGGTGGGAGGGAGAAGGGGACGACGGACTCAGGCAGCCACTTTCCGTGTCACAGAGTCCTGGCCAGTTCCATGGGCAGGTTCAGTCTTTAGATGGTGGCCCTGTGGTGCTGTGTCCTTGCAGGGAGCACAGAAGAATGCCTCTCTGTCATCCACGGCTCCTGAAAAAGCCCATTTGCTCTTCTGCAGGGAGAGTGGGGTGGTGCAGGAGCAGGGGGAGATAGGGGACGAAGACTGTCACCTCTGGGTTACAGATGGTTCCTCTGCTGCCACCCCCCCTCCCCGCCCCACCCCAAGTCCACTGGTCAACCTGGCACCGGGGCCAAGCTATGCAGGTGCCGGCATGGGTGCATGCCAGTCTCCTGAGCCCCCTTCCTGCACTATCAACACACACCAGGTGTCCCAGTCAGTGATGGGGCAGGGGTTCCTAGGTAGCGTGTTACTGATCATGGCTGACACACCAATGCTTGTGGTCATCTACTTTTCCTTAACGAATTGGAGCAGATGGAACGCCTTAGATCCGGATCTCGGTTTTACTGCCTCTCATTGGCCCTCAGGAGCAGGCAGGAGAGAACTGTCAGGAGAGCTGGAGAGGAGGAAGAGGGTGGGGACCCAGGTAATGCGCAGCCTGGTGGCCTCTCCCCTCTCCCGTCGTCCATGGGGAGGACCCATAAAAACGGCTGACCATTCGTGACTGCCGAGACAACTGCCCACATCACCTACTGAATCTTTAGGCGCCTTCCAATAAGGAGGCTGCACCCGTGACAGTGGGATGTCACCAGAAACACTGTGCTGGACAGAGGGAGGCAGGGCAGTGGCGCTCCGGCCTCAAGACCCAGGTGCCCTCAGGGGACTGTGCTCATCCTCCAGGCCCTATGGGGCCACTTTTGGGGATGGAGAATGAGTTCAGGTCATGACGGACTTGCCTGGTTGAAGTAACTGCCTAGATTGGTTCAAAAGCCTGGAAAGAGGTGCTCTTGCTGCTCAACCCCAGGGCCTGCCTCTGCATAGGGTAGCCCCGGCCCAGCTCCCTACTCCAGCCTGTGGGGCCAGGTACCCCCAGGGCTGTACTGACAGTCAGTCTCACATGCCCCTTCCACGTTCCACTTCAGGGGAGGAATGACCTGAGCCTAGCTCCCGGCAACTTTTCTCTCTCTTACTGACTCCAAGTATCTTGACTTTTGCTTGTGGCATTTTTTTGTGTGTGTGTCTTGCTGACCTTTTAGAAAGAAGTCAGCAGGACTGCATACAGTAACACATGTGGGGCGACACCTGGCCCAGGGAATTTCTGGAAGGTCACCTAACAGAATTGGTCATTTGTGTTTTTCTCACAGACTCTTCCTCAATGACCCCAGGAAGCCTCCTGTGCCTTCCTTCTGTTGTCATTTTCTCCTTGGACTCAGCTTTTCTGCCTGTGAAATGGGCCCCTTACCTAGTTCACTGTGCTAGGACGAGGAATGCAGAGAGGGCACAGAAAGTGCACCATGCCCTGCCTGGCTTTTCTGTTGCTGAGACAGGGTCTTGCTCTGCCACCCAGGCTGGAGTACACTGGTGCAACCATGGTTGATGGCAGGCCCTACCTTCTGGGCTCAAGCGATCCTTGTACCTCAGCCCCTCCAGAAAAGCAGGGCCTACAAGTGCGTACACCACCATACCTGGCTAATTTTAATTTTTTTATAGAGACAGTGTCTCCCTATATGTTGTCCACGCTGGTCTCAAATTCCTGGCCTCAAACGATCCTCGCATCTTGGCCTCCCAAAGTGCTGGGATTACAGGTGTGAGCCACGACACAGCCTGCCTGGCGTGTTTTAACTACTGCAGAGTACTGGCTCCATTTCCCAAAAATACCCACCCAGGGGTGAAAGCTAGCCTGCCTATCCTGCCCTCCTTAAGTAGCCCCCATTTCCACATTCCCCCATGGAGTCCCCATTTCTATGGCTGAGCAGCAGATCTCTGGGGCAGGAAGGCGGGTAGGCATGTGTAAGTTGTGATGGAGCCCCCAGCCCCCTAGGCCTCATCCACCTCAGCTCGGTCTCCAGCTCCAGCGACTCATAGGAACACCACAGATGCACGAAAAGCAGCCGGGTCACTCCTTATGGAAGGCGTGCCAGCCGGGCACAGCAGGTCCCATCCGTCCTTCTAGGGCGGCCAGTAAAGAGCCTTTCTGGTAATAAATGTAATGAACATGTGATCATTCTGCTGACTGCAGCCTGCTAACAAGCTTACGATTAGGATCACCGAGATTCTCCAAGTGCCCGAGTGTCTCAGCCTATTACATGGAGGTGACACGCTCTCATACCACCCTGGGAAATGCAGGATGGCTCCTGGCAGCACAGGTGGCAGTGGGCACCAGTGGGCAAGGTTAGAAAGGCATTGAGACCCAGAGCCCAGAGTGGAGACCAGGACCCTGTGTTTGTCCAGAACAACAGTGTTTCCAAAGGGCTTCCACCCTCTGTTCACGTGAACCTTCCATTGACTAAAATGTAGGCTTCTTATTCCTGTTTCTCAGCTGAGGACAGGGAAGCCTGGGGGAGAGGACAGGCATGACCACAGCCACCGGTCAGCAGCCGAGGCCAGCCCTGAACCCTGGCTCCTGACTACTCCCACAGGTGGCTAGACAAGGATGCTGCCCTGCCCCAGGAGCCCAGTAGGTTATAAAATACCCAAAGGAGCTCTAGACATGGATCAGCCTGTATGTGAGTCAGACTCTCCCTACCCAGCTCACATCCCCGGGACTCAAAACACGTGACGTTTATTTCACAGGCCATCTCTTTGGTTTTTGGTGGTGGTTTGTTTTTGGAGACAGGGTCTCACTCTGTCACCCAGGCTGGAGTGCAGTGGCGTGATCAGGGCTCAGTGCAGCTTGGACCTCTCAGGCTCAAGTGATTCTCCTTTTTTTTTTTTAAGTTGTGGTAAAATACACACAACATAAAATGTACTATCTTAGCCATTTTTAAGTGTACAGTTGTGTTAAGTACATTCACATTGTTGTACAACTATCACTACTATCTCTAGAACTTTTTCATCTTTCTGAACTGAAACTCTGCATAAAACTTCCCTGTTCCCCGATAGCATATGTGATACTAACATAGGCATGAAAAGCACTTGTACATGGGGTGGGGGCTGCCCTCTCTTGCTGCCAGGATCACCTGTGCTACCACTGAACCTGGCTGGGTTAGTAACTCTGCAGATCCGAGACCATATGGAAAGAGGCCCGCATCATCCTAGCTGTGTAAGGTGAGACCCCAACATGAAGGAAAGGCCACCTAAGACTATTCAGCCTCAGATGGGCTCTCCAGACCACAAGAACTGTAAGAAATAAGACGTATTTGTTGTTTTATGTCATTAAGTTTTGGGGTAGTTTGTTATACAATACAAATGGATTCAAAGAGTCTCCCCATATTTTTAGATGAGAAGCCCCAATATTATCAATAGCACCTCTCCCCTCTCCTTCAATAATTCTAATAAAAATACAAATAGGAAAAAAACAAAAACAAAAAAACTTCCCTGTTCCCCTACTCCCCAGCCCCGGGCAACCCCCATTCTGCTTTCTGTCTCCTCTGAATT
The DNA here is from genome assembly GCF_000001405.40 of Homo sapiens. NCBI lineage: Eukaryota > Metazoa > Chordata > Mammalia > Primates > Hominidae > Homo > Homo sapiens. The sequence goes on from NW_018654717.1 coordinate 2,926,819, forward strand.
TGACTCCTCTAAGCTCCCTCATATACATGGAATTCCACAGTATGTCTTTTTGTGACTGGCATATTTCACTTAATGTCTTCAAGCTTCCTCCAGGAGGTGGCATGCGTCAGAATACCCTTTCTTTTTAAGGCTGCACACTATTCCACTCTACGTACATGCCATATTTTGTTGCTTTTGTTTCTTTAGCTGTCAAATAATACACATCTGGGAACATGACAAGCACACCCCACAAAGACACCTCGTTATGCTCCAGCCTGTTGTATCAGCAGCTTCCAGCGCTGACCCTGTGCTCCTCTACAGAACTGCAAAAGGAACGTGACAGCAGAAGGACTTGCCCCAAGCATATGGCTTGGCCATTCTTTCTCCTGCCCAACCCAGCTGATCCCAGTGGCCATGACGCCATTATAAAGACAGAAAGCTAACAGAGAGCTTGTCCTGGGTCACCTGATGGCAAGAGAGCTAGACTTGCCCGCCTGCCCTCCACCCAAAGAGATATACGCTCTAAACACCAAGCGCCACCAACTTCCCAAGTAACCTCCTGATTCTAGGAGATGACAGGAGACATACTCAGAGTGCCAGGAAAGCAGCATTTGCGTTTTAAGCACCAGGTACAGTGTCCATTTTCTAATGGATGTCAGGAGGAGTTTGCAGGGCCCCTCTAATGGGGCAGAGACGGATTGCAGGGTGCCTCTCTTTCACCATCTCACGTCATCAGGCTACTCATCCTGCAGGGTGGGGCCGTTATTCTACTTTACCCACTAGGAAACCCAAAGCAGTTAGGGACCTTACTTAAATTCACAGACCTTACTTGAATTCACTTTACCCACCAGGAAACCCAAAGCAGTTAGGGATCTTATTCAAATTCACATGCCTTACTCAAATTCACAAGGGTGAGGGGTAGGTCCGGGACAAGAATCCAGGTCTGGATTCCATGCCCCCTCCCACATCCATGCTGTTCCCGGAATTTGGGGCTGTGGGATAAGGAAGCCCCCAGGATGCCGAGTGTTCTGTCCTGCGACACGTGAGAGGTGCAAGGGATGATACAAATCCACAAGAACCTTGTATAGGAATTCTACAGAGCAGGGTCGGGAGGGAGTGGAGGGGGCTGGCTCTAGAGATGCTGATGCCTATGAACCTGTGGGCACATGCGTGGGAGGGAGGGGCCTGCATGTGCACCCTGTGTTTGTGCGCACAAGGATGCCGTATGTATGTATTCACCCCCCGCCTTAGGAGGACTGACCTATAGACATATTTTTGTTTTGTTTTGTTTTTGGAGACAGGGTCTCACTCTGTCACCCAGGCTGGAGTGCAGTGGCGTGATCATGGCTCACTGCAACTTTGACCTCTCAGGCTCAAGTGGTTCTCCCTGTTGGTGTTTTTTTTTTTGTTGGTTTTTTTTTTTTTTTTTTTTTTTTTTTAGTCGTAGTAAAATACACATAACATAAAATGTACTATCTTAGCCATTTTTAAGTGTACAGTTAAGTACCTTCACTTTGTTGTACCACTATCACTACTATCTCTAGAAGTCCTTAGAAGAACTGACCTACAGACACTTTTTAGAAAAAAGTATTACTAGAAAGGAACCTGAACGTACAATAGTGTCTCTTGGGGACCATGGATTCCCTTGAGACTCCAGTGAATGCTTTGGACACTCTACCCAGATAAACTCACAATCAAATACTTGCTTATAATTTCAAAGGATCCTATGACCCTCTGGAGTCCATCCAACCATGATTACATCCTATGAACTGAGCTGCCCCTCCAGAGTCACCACTGCAACTGCCCATCCCCCAGCAGTCGCCAGGCACAGGGCTCCGGAAATGGGCAGGCAGATCCACTCAGCGGTGCATATTTCCAAGACAGATGACCCTCATTTCCATCACAGTTTGAAGGCCCTTGTGGCAAGGAGGAATGGCTGTGCTTGCTAAAGGGAAAGTCACAGGAAAGAAAGAGGGTACCTGCAGTTCAAACCTCATCAGACTGCAAGCCTCATTATGTCTTCTCCAAGCAATCCCCATCCCCTACACCCACCAAAGGAATTTAGCCTTAAGTGTTAGGTTTTCATGTAATTATTTGTAAAACGTATATGTGTATTTCATTTTGTGATCACTTTTTAAAGTATTGTGGTGGTATGAAATTAGTTTCCTAGAACAGAAATCTAATTTATGACCCTGAGCCCATCGGAAATTAGGGTCGGGCTTCTAAGAGGTCAACTTGAAGCTGCTGTCCGGGAGCCAGCACAGCTGCTTTAGGGGAAAACTCGCAGGCAGGACGCGGGCATGTGGATTCTAGACTCACTTCGCCCTCTAGCGGCAGCAGGACGCCTGTACAAGGCACTTCACTTGGTTCCTACCTTCCCCCTTCTGCACGGAGACCACTTCAATTCCCTCCACATCCACTCCATCAAATTCCATGCTATGCTTGTCCTGCGTGTGCACACGTGCGTGTACACAGACACACACACACACACACACACACACACAACATGCAGGTTTAATAAGCCCAGACAATGCCCCAGTCAGCTATTTTAGTCCATAGGGAGCACAGGTTGACCAAATAGATGTCAATCAAAACTTTAAAAAAAAAATGTGAAATGACTGGGATGGCTTTTAAATAAAGCCACTAATAAGAAAACATCATCTATTCTGAGCTGGGCAGAGGCTCCTGCATCTCTGGCTGAGTGGTGCAGAGCAGATGCACCCCCACCTCCTGCGGTTCAGCCACAAGGAAGGGGGACGGCTGACTGGGCACTGACTGGCTGGGCTTACTAAGCCTACATGGAGTGTGCGTATGTGTGTGTGTGTGTGTGTGTGTGTGTGTGTGTGTCTTCTGACGAAGGGATGAGTGCTTCTCTTCAACACCAAAGAAGACCCCGGAGCAACAGGAGCTCCAGGCTCTGGGACAATGGAATTGCCCCTGTGAGTCATCAATCACTGCTGGCACATGCAAGGAGGACAAACCCAGGCCACCACAGTGTGACAATGACAAGGAGCGCGTTCAAAGGGGCTGAAGCCTTTACAAGCCCCCATCGGAGCTCACTGACCCTCCCAGCTTTGTGAACTCATTGGGAGGGAAAGGAGAGAAAGAGGTGACACAATTAGATCTAACTTGGTCCATTAAGAGACCTGCTTATGCAAATGCACGGCCTCTAGCTGGACGGATGGGGCTTCTTCGTACAGCTGCAGCGCTCCTGTGTTCCGTCCTTTCCCATACTCTGCAGGTTTGTCACACAGCTAATGGCTTTCATTATCTATTCCTCTGTGTCCTCTGCACCCTCGAGGTAAATCACAGTGTCTTCAGACTGCTAAGGATATTTCTCTTGGTTTGCAATGCAGAACGACAGAGCTACAAGCTGAGTTGTGTCTCTGCAGAGGACGGGGAGGATGGAGAAGGAGAGGAAGGAATGAGTTTGTTTCAGCTTGTTGGCTCCACAGCTCTGCCCTTGCTCCTCAGACAGCCTGCAAAGTTTGCAAGAAATGCAAAGTCTGGGCCCTTCCCCAGACGTACCGAATCCCATGTGAGGTTAGAGTGTAAGCAGCTCTGCTCTTGCAGGCAAGTGTGGTCAACTGCACAAGTGCTCTCCAACTCCCTCACCCTCCTTTTGAAGTCAGGTCACCCACGGGACCTGCTTTGGCCAGTAAGCTGTGAGTGAAAGTCACATGGGTGGTCTCCAGGCAGACGCTATAAAGCACTAGCGGAAGCGTCCCTACTTGTCCACCCTTTGCCACAGTAACCAGCCATGCTCCAGCCAGTGATGGCTCCAACACCCTGGGCCCTCACATAAGGACACTGACAAATCCACGCTGGGAGCACCACGGCCCGATGGAATCGTTTATTTCCTGCGTTGGTTTTCCTGGGCTTTCCCGGGCATGGGGTGTGATACCGAAGGGTTGGGAAGTCAGCACAGTTCAGCCGAAGCGAGCAGATTTCTCTGTGAAGAAGTTTTTAAACTCTCCAACTTCACTTCATGAATGAATCTCGACAATTGTTATTGCGCACTGGCTGTGTGTCAAGGACCGGGCTAGGCACGAGGAACACAGGGATGAACAGCACAAGCCCTGCCCGCGAGGTGCTCTCAGAAGAGTGTACGGGCAATTCCCACGACGTGTCTGCAGTGCCCAGCGTGAGCAGGTGCCGTGCCAGGTGCTGGGGAAGCAGGCTCAGGCAGGAGAAGTTCCCTCACACCAACAGCCACACCCCAGGGAGTGACGAGGACTCCTGTCCCCCACCCAGAGGGTCAGAATTCCCTTGGAGGAGAGAGGACACACGGGACTGTGAATATCCACCACGCGAGGCAGAGGGGATGTGCGGAAATGGAGGTGCAAACAGTCCTTTGAGGGCATGGAGGAAGGAAAGGTTAATCCTGCTGGGAAATTGCAGGAGGAGGTGGGCACTGAACTGGGAATTTGACAGTAGGCAGGAGTAGGGTGTGAAGGGCATGCTCCAAGCAGAAGAAACTCCGTGACCAAACACATGGAGGCTGGGGGTTGGGGGTAATGAGGTGTATCTCAGGGTGCTGACAGGTCCGGAGGAGAGTGCAGGGAGGGCAAGTCAGGTGAAATCAAGGATAAACTGGAAAGGTGGGCTAGGCCAGGGTGAGGGCGACCCAGCAGATGGGACCCTGGGGCTCAACCACAGGAAAAGATGGAAGCAGAGGTGGATGGAGAGGCTGCTGGAGGCATCAAGCTGTGGCCTATTTCTGCGTACTCGTCTCTGGGGACCCAGCTGCACACCCCCTGATTTTCCATCGCCTGCAATCACAGTGGTACAAGGGGCCACTTCAGGAGACTGAAGGAACCACGTGAACCCAGGCAAAGACAGCAGGTGCCTCTGAGGCTCACCTGCTTGCATGCAGCAAGGTCTGTAAGGCTGAGCTCAAGTGGGAACCCAGAGGAAGTGGGTGGCCGTCATTTGTTTTCCCATTACTTCCTTGTCGTCCTTCACCTCCCCACACCTCACAAATTCCAAGCATAACTTCCTAGATGCAAGGGGAATGGGTCCTTCCTTCTCTACCGCACATCGTGAATGGTGGGGACCCACCAGGCTGGACAGGGCTGGCTGCAGGTCTAAGCTGCACCCTCCTGGGGCCAGAGCATGAAACTCAGGGTCCTATAGTTGAAATGTGCAACCACCCATTTGCTCTGGCTCAGACAGTGCACCCTCCACCCGCAGGATGGTTTCCCTCCATCATGCATTCAAGGACTGCTGCTTCCTCTTGATTTGGGCTTTCCTTTGAGGTCTGCTGGCTTTTAAAAATAATTCAAGTGACTTTTCCTCTACGAGTTTTCTTTTCATGGCTTTCAGTTTCGGGAGACACGGATCTTCTCCTTCTCTTTCCCTGTCCCTGTCTTTGTATAGATCTCTGAGGGGTTATAATCTGCTTTTTCATATCTGCAATCAATTAACTACAACTTCTGATTTTTGTTATATGCTTAGCATTTAGTACACAAAGAAAACCACTTTTCACTTTTCAGGGAAAGCCAAGGATAGCAGGTTTCACCTTGGGGATGAAATGCAGATTTTGTTAAAAGGAAAGAGCCTTCATTCCAAAAGGTTGAATAGAAAAGAACTTCAAGCATAGCAGCAGATGCTTAAGCTTAGAGCACTGAATTCAGTGGGCAATGGGACTCCTCTGAATGTCACCGCTTCTCATTCACAGAAGAACTGCAGCAATTCAGAGCCACTAGAAAGAATAGTCTCACTGCAGACGGTTGACAGAGTGGCCAAGTGTCTTGGCTGCCAGGGCTGGGGGTGTCTCAGGATGCAGAACTTTCAGTGCCAACGCTAGGAAAGTCCTGGCAAACTGAGATGGTGGGTCACACCGACTGCAGAATGGTTGGAGGCATTTGTTTCTGTTAAGTAAGAAGCACTGGATAGTTTGTTTCACTCATCTGGGTCTCAGTTTCTCCAGCCGTAAAATGAGGAAGTTAAGTCAGCAGGATGCCTCCTGTTTACTTACACATGTCTCTTGGGACTGTGTCTTCCAGAGCCTTTTCTAAACTGTGCTCTTGCCCATCCCCCCAGATAATCATTTTATATTGAGAGGTAGTTCACATAAAATTCGTTTTTTTTTTCTTCATAGACAGAGTCTCATTCTGCCACCCAGGCTGGAGTGCAGTGGCACGATCACGGCTCACTGCAGCCTCAAACTCCTAGGCTCAAGCGATCCTCTTGTCTCAACCTCGCAAGTAGCAGGGACTACAGGAGCACACCACCACACCTGGCTAGTTTTATTTTATTTTTTGTAGAGATGGGGTCTCGCTATGTTGCCTGGGTCTGTCTCAAACTCCTGGGCTCAAACAATCCTCCTGCCTCAGCCTCCCAAAGCACTATGATCGCAGGTATAAGTCACTGTGCCTGACCTATCCTTTCAAACTTTACAATTCAGTGGTTTTCAAAATATTTTCAAGGTTATGTAACCATCACCGTTTTTCCCCCATTTTAAATTCTGTTCCTCAGACTGGATAATATCAATTGACTTATCTTCCAGTTTCATTCTTTCTTCCGCCAACTCAGCCCTTCTGGCGATTTTTTAAAAAGTTATTGTATCTTTGAATTTCTACTTAGTTCTTTTTTTTTTTTTTTAATATCTCTCTCCTTACTGATATTCTTTATTTGTTGAGGCATTACTCTAACATTTTCTTTTAATTTTTTCAGTTTCCTTTAGTTCTTGGTGCACCTTTATAACAGCAGATTTAAAGTCTTTGTTTAGTAACGGATACCGTCATGTTTCTTTGTTACATATTTTTTTCTTGAAAATCAGACAATTTAAAAAATAATGTGGCAACTCTGGAAATCCGATGTCCTGCCCCACAGTGTGGTGTTGCTTCTGCTGCTGCTGTTCCTTTGTTCAGTGACTTTCTTGGACTAATTCTGTAAAGTCTGTCTTCTCTTTCAGGTGTGGCCATTGAAGTCTCAGTGTGGTTAGCTAATTATCACCGAATGGTTAGGCACCGAATTCCTTACAGGCCTGGAAGCACCAGACTCCTACCTTTGCTGAGGGCTGTGTGTGCGCTAGAGCACAGGAAGCTTCAGGGACCCCACGGTTCTCCACTCGGCCTTCTCTTCTTCTCTTCCCTTGTGCAGGGCCTCATGGCAGCCACAGGCGAGATCAGGGCCTTCCTGGGCATACGCATTCCTCAGTGTGGTGTTTCCATTTCCCAACTGAAGGCCACTTAGGTTGTTTCCTGTTTCTGGCTATTATGAACAAAGCTGCTGTAAACATTTGGGAATGGGTTTTTGTGTCGTCTTATTTCTCGTAGGTAAAAATCTAGGACTGGGATTGCTGGCTCACAGTAGGTGGAAGTATATTAAATGATGGGAAATTTCCAATGGTTTTCCAAACTGATCATGCCACTTTGTGCTCCCCACCTCAGTCCCCTGCAATGCATGAGAGTTCCCATTGCTCTGTGTCATTCCCAGGACTTGGTATTGTCACGATTCTTTGATTTGCTCATTCTAACTGCTGTAGAGTAGCATCACAACGTGGCTGTCATCTGCATTTCTCCAATGACTAATGATGCTGGGCACCTTTTAACGTTCCTATTTGCCTTCTGTATACGAAGGCATCCTGTAGGTGAAGGGACTTCTTTGGTGAAGTGTCTGTTCTAATCTCGTGTCCATTTTTTAATCAGGTGATTTGCTTGTATTGTTGAATTTTGAGGGTTCTCTAAATATTCCAAAGTTATGCTTTGGCTTCAAACGCGTAACCCCTGTCCCATGATTCTGGTATGCTCCCGTTGAGCATCTTCGTTCTATACCTGGAACATCATGTTCGATAGTTTATATCACATGTAATATCTCTGCAGGTCCACATTCATTCCCATGTAGCTCTGAAAGCAACTTTTTCAGTTGGTTCAGCACACATTTACTGTGTCCCTATTCGGGCATTACACAAAGTACCAGGGAACCAGAATTGACAAGCCTGTGGCCCTTGTAATTGAGGAACTTTTAATTTAAAGAAACGTGGTTCAAATTTGGATTAAATTAAGAAACACTTAAGAACGACTAGCTGCAATACATCAGATTTTTTCATATACAATTATTTGTTCAGACTAAAAACGGAAACATTTTCCTTATGACTGTATAGGGGCTATTCACTATCATTCATCAATCCCTTCTTTATGAATGGCGAAAAAAATGTTAATACGGCCCTTGCCTAAAGTATCATATATTCTAAAAGAATGCAGTTTGCATCAGAAGATTTCTGCTGTAATTTTAAATGAGTACTCCTGTATTCTGAGTTTATGAAACGTGATAAAAACCAAGTTCAAGGACAAAGTAAAACCACTCTGTGGACGACACACACCCTTTCCCTTCCCAGGGGCGGTGTCCACAGAACAGGGCTGTTCGCCACCCCTGGGAAAGTTTTGCTTAACTGGAATATGACTACCTAGCTAGGAGCTGCTGGCAGAATCTTCCTGAACACAGAGAAAATTAACTTTCAACAGCAGCTTAAAAAGCAATTGTAATTTCTTAAAATCCTCTTACGCCATGTTTAAAAAATGAGACTTAGCAACTTTATTTTTTTTATTCACTGATTAAGACAATAAAGGTTGTGCTCATTTCAATATTAAGAAATTAAAAGCTCCCTTGAGACTTTCTCTTGCCCTAGGGCAGGTTACATCTGTCAGCTGCAAACAGGCTGACCAGCTTGCAAGCAGAAATTCTCCCTTGGGCTGCAATATGTCTAACCTCACACTATATTGGCTGAAGCTAAGAATTCAATGATTGGGTTTTTTTTTTTTATTATTATATTCAAAGGAAACTAAAAATAAGACTAAAAAATAAAATAAGGGCTATATGAGCAAATGCACTCCAGATACAGTTGGCTGTGATGCGTTAGCTCCCAGCTCCACATGGTTAAGAATACGCAGTGAAGCTCAAGACAGAGAGAAAAGAAGCTTTTGTCAGTTTCCTTTAAAGCTTAAAAACGACACGGTGTGAACACACAGAGGACGGCCCACAAAAGGCTGTTTTCCTGTGATACTGTCAGCGTGACGTCTCAAAGCTGCAGGTGATAGCATGCCTGGCATTCTAGCAGTTTCAGCAACAGCATCTCAACTTCCAAGCAGGCGTCTTCGGAGGACTCTGGCCTCTTCGGTTCTTCTAATTGCCAAGAGAATAACAAAGAGGAAAAGTAAAACCTGAGTGGAGGTCAGATGGAGGGGTCTCATTCGGGCTGTTTAAGCTGCTTAGCAATGAAGTACAGTCAGGATTTTTTTTTTGAAAGGAGGAAGGCAAGACGAGAAGGAGGGAGGGAGAAAGGAAAAATGGGTGTGGGGGAGGAGAATTCAAAATAGGCCATAGGTGTTCTTTGCCAAAGCATAATTTTCCTTTTTGTCAGGCTCAGAACCAGTGGAAGAACTGGAACTCCCTCAAGAACATAAGCTAATTATACAATTTAAATTTGCATATAATTGGCATGCTTTCCAGTTCAGACAATAAAAATCCATGTTAACTGGAGTTACAAAAATGGCACTCTACACTGAAAGCAGCACTGTGCATCTCTAAGTATCAAACACTCCTTAAAATATCTCCAGGAGTTCTCCAGGAGATCATGTTTGCATAGAGGTTGGGGACAAGAGGGGCCTGGGCTCTTCTCCTGGTTCTGCCAAACAGCATGACCTTCAGGAGCTGACCTTGAGGCTTGGCCTTCTCTTCTGTAAGAGGGGGATAAGATATCTACCTCTCAGTGCTGTTTTGAGGAAGAGGTGAAATCATGTATTTGAGATAATACATCACATGGATTCTATTTCAGGAGCACTGCTCTAAACTGTGTTGGTTATTTTTGCGATGTGACGGAATGTCACACTGTGGGAATTATGAGGTGATGGGGGTTATGCCCAAAGAAGTAGGAGCGTCAAGGGCCTGGCCACTTGCATCCTGTTCCACCCTTTCCTGTCCTCCACCGGCACCCCCCAAACAAGTGACTTGGGTTTTTCACAGGCCACCCAGATTTTTGGTCCTTGGAAGACCTAGCCTGTTGGCAGACTTTCCATACGAGAGTGTTGGTGGCTCCTGGCCAAGCGTCCCCGCCACACATGCATACTCCATGTCACAATGTCACAAACCCACAGCAACGGATGGGACCATGGGAAGACCACTATGGGAAGATCCTGGACCCAGGCTCGGAGGATCATCTTTTTCCTTTGACTTGCTCTATGAAGAAATATCTTTAAAAATAATAGACAAGGTCTTGCTCTGTAACCCAGGGGGGAGTGCAGTGGCACCACGATAGCTCACTGCTGCCTCAAACTCCTGGGCTCCAGCGATCCTCCTGCCTCAGCCTCCCAAGTAGCTGGGACTAGAGACACGTGCCACCCATGCCAGGCTAATTCTTTTTATTTTCTGTAGAGACAGGGTCTATGTTGCCCAGGCTGGTCTCGAACTCCTAGCCTTAAGTGATCCTCCCACCTCAGCCTTCCAAAGTACTGACATTACAGGCATGGGCCGCTGTGCCCAGCTTCTATGAAGAAATATCTTGATTGAGTCTATTAAATCAACCCAAGTGAAAGTCCTGTGTTTCTGGGAGACAAGGACAAGCACGTGCATGTTGGTGGGGCGAGGAGGGCCTAGGGGTGATGCTGCGTATGCATTCACCCTGTACCAGGCTCCCCTGCATGCTCTACACATGCTGTCTGATGTTATCCTCATCACGTCCTCTCTAGAGATCACAGTAGTATCTGCTGCATTTGGTAAGAAGGGTGCTTAGCAAAGGAGAGGAGAGGCAGTATTTCAACCCAGGCAGTCTGACTCTGGAGCCATGGTTCTCAACCACTCACCAAATCTGCCATCTTAACTAAAAAGAATTCCATGTCCCCGTGTGACAAGAGACCTTACATGATCTCCTTTCTCATGAGGGGAGAGATGAACTTCATTTAAAAACAAACGGCCCACAAGCATATGAAAAAGTGCTCATCATCACTAGTCATCGGAGAAATGCAAATCAAAGGCACAATGAGATATCATCTTACACCAGTCAGAATGGCTACTATTAAAAAGTCAAAAAAATAACAGATGTTGGCAAGGGTGCAGAAAAAAGGGAATGCTTACACACTGTTGGTGAGAATGTAAATGAGCACAACCTCTACGGAAAACAGTATGGAGATTTCTCAAAGAACTAAAAATAGAACTGCCATTCAATCCAGCAATCCCACTGCTGGGCATCTGCCCAAAGGAAAATAAATCATTACATGAAAAAGACACCTGCACTCAGATGTGTATTACAGCACTACACACTGCAGCAAGGATATGGAATCAACCTAAACATCCTTCAACAGATGAACGGAAAAAGAAAATGTGGCGTATATGTACCATGGAATACTACTCAGCCATTAAAAAGAAGACAATCATGTCTTTTGCAGCAATGTGGAGAGAACTGGAGGCCATTATGCTAAGTGAAATAACTCAGACACAGAAGGTCAACTACTGCATGTTCTATCTTACGGATGGGAGCTAAATATGCAAGAACATAATAGTTACTGGAGACTTGGAAGGGTGGGAGGGTGGGGGAGTGAGGGATGAGAAATTACCTAATGGGTACAAGGTACATTATTTGGGTGATATTAACACTAAAAAAGCTCAGACTTCGCCACTACACAATGTATGCATGCAACAGAACTGTACTTGTGCCCCTTACATTTAAACAAATTAAATTAAAACCTGGATTTTTTTATTACCTACTCCTCTATTACTTATTTATTTAGAAATACGGTGTTGCTCTGTTGCCCAGGCTGGATTGTAGTGGTATGCTCACAGCTCACTGCAGGCTTGATTCTGGGTTCCAGCGATCCCTCTGCCTCAGCCTCTTGGGTAGCTGGGGCTACAGGTATGTGCCACCATGCCTGGCTAATTTTTTAAAAAAAATTTTGGTAGAGACAGGGTTTCACCGCATTGCCCAGGGTGGTCTTAAACTCCTGGGCCGAAGTGATCTGCCCGTCTCAGCCTCCCGAAGTGCTGGGATTACAAGCATGAGCCACCACGCCCAGCCCATGTTCCTCTTTAAATGTCACTATGCAGATGTAAAGTCAGAGTGGTGCTAATGAATGATGCTGAGAAGCCCGATTTTTGCACATCTCGTCCCAGGGATGCGACCCTTTCTCCCTGGCCTCTGTTTCCAGACAGTGAGCCAGTTCTGTCTGTGGTGACACAGTTTTCCTGCTAGTGCTCCTGGTCTCGTGATTACCCTTGAAACAAAATTAGAATGTGGTGTCGAAGCTTGTCAATTTTTTAATAGAAATTCTAAGAAGTTTATACCTATTGGTTCTTCTTTGCAATCCTATTAACCTACTCAAAGATTCGGTGCATCTCCAGTGTAGCTTAAAGATTGATGTGATCCTTAATGAAATTCTCAGAATTGATACTTTATCAGGTTTCAGAATGTGATTACCAGGTAGAATAGGCATTACAATAAAAATGTAAGGAGCAAGCAAGAATTTTGATTAAAATGTAAGCTATCCTATACTTCAGGTGCTGGGGTGTTTAGACCAATGACAATTCCTGCTCTGTGCCTCACTCTGTGCCCCACCATTTCCTGGGATCCAGAGTCTTCTCTTCTCTTGCCTACAGAATCCTGCCACTCACAACCCCACCCCAGAAATTCAAACGCACCCCGTGCAAACCCGGAGACATTCTCCTTCCTTTCCCAAAGCGGTTGGTCTTCGCTGTCCCCTCTCTTGGCACACGGCATCATTTGCTACCTCTCCTCCAGGCTACACATTTCATTGCCATCATCAACTCTCCCCATCCAATGTCCATAGCAAGTCCTAATTGTAAAGCAAAGCTTGACAGTTCATCCAGAATGGTTCACAAATCCACCTCCACCCTCATCGCCACCTCTAAGGCTCAGCCATCACCCACCTTTGTCTGGACTGCTGCCACAACCCTCCACCTGCCCTTACTGACTCATGTCATGACCCTAAAATCTACCTCACCCTGCCCAGGACCCAGGGGAGCTGATGAAAGTCTGATGGTGAGAACGTGGGCGTTTCACATCCACCTCTGGTTGTGAGATGCCAGTTCTTGTTCATCACATTTGCAAGAACACAAAGAAAATGTCACATAGTCTAGGCTGGGCATGGTGGCTTCTGCCTACACTCCCAGCACTTTAGAAGGCCGAGGCGGGAAGATCACTTGAGTCCCGGAGTTCAAGATCAGCCTGGGTAACACAGTGAACCTCACCTCCACAAAAAATAAAAAAATTAGCCAAGTGTGGTGACACACACCTGTGGCCTCAGCTATTTGGGAGACCGAGATGGAAGGATTACATGAGCCCAGAAGGCTGAGGCCACAGGGAGCCCAGAAGATCAAGGCCACAGGCAGCTGAGATCATGCCACTGCACTCTAGCCTGGTTGAGAGAGTGAGGCCTGTTTCAAAAAAGAGAAGATCACGTCTGACAAGGCAAGACTCAGGGCCATCCTAGCATGGGCCTCATCTTGGTTCCTAGGGCCTAGAAAGTGGGCCAAACAACATGACTTTTCAGAAATATGGAAAATTGCACTTTTTGGAGAAATCAAAGGAACAAGCACAGAGCAGGGGAGATATGGCTTATCTGTGAAAACCCACCTTTTGTGTTTGAAAGTAGGTTGTCCGTTTAACTTATGCCAGGAGGGAAAAGAGAGCAACAGACTGGCCAGCACCAAGGAGACGCCTCCAATACACCCAGGACTCTGTGGCCCCCATTCCTGTCTGCACCAACACCCTGGATGTAACCCCCAGCCTGCCTATTCTTGAACATCCCCAACACCCATCTCCCCTTCTTTGCTTTCATTACCTGAAAGGATGCCCCACTTTCCTGCATGACCTTGCTCAAGTCACTTAGCCTTTCTGTACTTGGATTTGCTCATCTCTAAAATGAAAGTGACAATATCATCTTGTAGAAGTAGCTGAAAGGTCACATTCTTCAAGAAGCAAATAGCCTCATTTTCCAGATGAAGAACACAGGTTCAGAGAGGTTAAGGAACTTGCCCAAGGTCACACAGCCCACAAGCTGCCGTGACTGCAAGGGACCTCCCTCAGCCCACCACGGTAGACTTTCTGCGAGACCATTGCTGTGAACACACACTCTCTCCCGCCACTGCCCGACACAAGTGTGTGAGCCTGGGAGTCGGATACAGGGAGAGTCACGCTTCTCCCCTTACTGGGAAAGAGCAGGAAATAAACTCTTTAGTTCCCACTAATGGGTTCTGACCCCATCAGCTCATGGAAAGCACACTCACTGCAGGCAGCCCTACCCTGGAGGACAGATGGTGAATAGCCAGTCTCAGTCTCCTCTGCCCCTCGTGATCCATCACATGTGTGTGTGTGAGCACATGTGAGCATGTGTGTGTGCACTGTGAGTACAGCGTGTATGTGAACATGTGTGAATATTGTGTATGTGTGAGTACATGGGTGTGTGAGCATGTCTGATTACGTGTGAGCACATGGGTGTACGCGAGCATGTGTGTATGTGATTACATGTGTGAGCACATGGGTGTGTGTGAACACACGTGTGTGATTGTGTGTGTGAGCACATGGTTGTGTATGCATTCTTCCTCCAAGGTCATCTCCAAGCCTCACCTCTCTGCTCCCACTCCCATCACTCACTCTGGCACTCTGATCAGCATCCAGTGGTAAAGGTCTACCCTAAATAGTTATGGATATGGGGTCCTTAGTAGTCCAAGTTCCAGAGAAAGGAAAGTGACAGCTGAGGTGTCAGGGTAAAAAGAAGGAAAAAAAAATGCCGGGCATGTAACTCACATTTTATTCTCTCTCTCTCTTTAAGAATCTGGCAGAGAGCTCATCTTCCTTCTGCCATGATGGAACAGCAGTGACTTGGCGACCATCTCGCGCCAGATGTCCCCTCATCTGGCTGTCTTGGCTGGGTGGTGGTTTGGAATGAGCTGCCCAAACATGGAGGGAGGGGCAGGTGCTCCGGCAGGGCGATGGGTGGCCGAGCTGGGTGGCCTGGCAATACTCTGATCCTGCAGCTGCAGCTCCCCACCTAGGCACAGGGTTGACAGAGGGGAGAGGCACTCTCTCCCAGAGGGAGGCTGGGCTCGGTGACCTGGCACATGGTCACTGTGGCATAGACATGTCTTGCTATTTTGTGAAGAGAACAGGCTTCCGGTGCACTTGGGCTCTCATGGACACTGGAGCGGTGGCCACGAGTCTCTCCTGTCCGACATCCACCAGACCACACTCCGGGAAACAGATGAGAGGGAGCACAGGGTGGCCCAGGCCCCACATCTGGAGCCTGTGACTGTGGCCTAAGGCAGCTCGGCCATCGTGGGTTCTGTCCAGGCCAAGCCCAAAGCCATCGTGGGGAGCAGTGGGTGCACAGCTGTGCCGCTTACCACACACACTAGCAAGGAGACTGGGGAGGATGCCGTGCTTGGGAAGTGGGACACGCCACATCCATGGTCTGGCGGCCAAAAATGGAAGGGTCCCAGTGAGGTGGGTGGCCTGGGGGAAATGGGCCTGCGACTCTGGAATAAGCCCTCTGGCTGCCCCTGAAACCCCAGGCAGGTGCCACGAGAAGGCACGGAGGGCCGGGCTGTGTTTGTGTACACATCAGTGTGTGCGAGGGAGGGCGGCGCGGCAGCACAGCCTGCCAGCAAGCCCATTTTGGTCACCATCTGCCATGGAGAGCCCGCGCACCTGTCAGAAGCAGCTGCTGACGGCAGATCGTAGGTGAGGGAGGGAGCGGCCGCCCGGGATGGCCTATTGCAGGAGCGAGGGCCACCCCGCAGGAATGCCAACTGTTCACTTTGAAGCCATCCACGTGGGCGGGCGTGATGGATCCCACACCCGCCTGCCCCTCCCCACGGAGGGTTGGGGGGTGGTGACGGGATCGTCACTTCCCTGCCTCCCTGGCAGCAAGCTTGACTGTCGTTTGTCACGGGGCTGGGGAGAAAGGCATCTAGTGTTGTCAGGAAAAGAAAGATTCCAGGGGGACGCTTCTCTGGAGGTGGGAGCCCAGATGCCCCTGGGGAAGGTCCCTGCCTTGCTATTTGTGGAGGAGGAGCAGCACCGTCTCACTTTCCCGGCATTGTGGGGAAATGAGGTGACCTCTCCACGTGGACCAGGGGCCGAGGTGATGCATTGTGACATGCGGAGGGCACCCCCTAGATCCTTTGAAGCATTTTCCGAAGTCTACTTCATCAACATAAAATAAAAGCCTTTTATGTTAATATGATATATAATGACATATAATGAGAAATCTTTCCTACAGTGAGCAACAGTCCCCCGCCCAACACATTTTAATTACGTCATTGTCATCTCTTAAATGCTCATGGGTCACGGCTATTTTATTACTGTATTTCTTTAATCCTCATACAATCCTCTGTGAGTGGTGCGGTCTCATCCCTGTGCACCAGATGGGAAGCCTAGGTCCTGAAGAGGTGAGGCAACTCAGCAGGGACACACGGCCTGGGCATGCAGAGCCAGGACTCACGTCCCGCCCGTCTGCCTCAGCCTGAGCCTGGAAGCCACCGGCATCGCTGCTACATCTTCCCATGTGTGTCTCACACCAGTTTCAACTTTGTAAGGCCTCAGTAGAGCCCACAGTTGTGCAAAGCACCCATGAGCCAGGCCTCTGTGGGCCACAGACACACACGAGGCACAAGCTGGAGACTGTTGGGGAATGCTTTTCCCCACGGGACACCTGATGGCCTGCCTTCCTCTTCAGTGCCGCGGACCACCTTCCCCAGCGAGCACCTCCAGAGCCCCAGCGGCAATTCTCTCACCCAGGCTCTCTAGTCCCAGCCAGGGCCTAGCCATCCAGGACCCATGAACCTCTCCCTTCCTGTGGCCCTGGAGAAGGGATCCCATCATCCCAGCTTCCAGCAAGTATGGCATGAGCATGTGGAGCTAGGTAAGGCCCGGCACCTGCCTTCCCACACAGCACGACAGGGCTTTTTCTCGTTGGCTGGGTTGATGTCATTTTTCTCCTGGGACATCACTCAGGGAGGCACCTTGCTTCTGAAGCCTTCCCATCTGCCACCCACTCTGCTGAAAGCTGTTTCGTTAGTCTCAGGTGCCAAGTTTCCGGAAGCTTCTCTGGTGCATTTGGAGGGCCTTCTCCAAGCCAGCCCTGGGACATTTTAATCTGTGGCTTATAATTTGTGGGGACTGGTAAACAAGAATCTCAAGCTTCGTACGTGTGAGTGCCTAAAACCAGAGCCAAGACAGGTGTCAAGCACCCTGGCTTTTGTGCATGAACTTGGCTACATAACTTCTGGTTGCTTAGAAGCTGTCTTCTCTTCCAGTTTTCAGATACTCCTTTGGCCATGGCTTCAATGGTAGGCATGGTGTATGTTTCTCAGAAGTAAATGCCTCCAAATAGCAGGAGAATCAGGGTCATTACCCATGTTGGGACCCTTCAGTACAGGGAAAATACAATTTTGTGCTTAAATCTCAAGTCTGGAAAGTCTCCTACTGATTCCACATTGCAAAGCAAATAACTGCAAATACTATGCAAAAGTATCACTGCACTATACTTTTGAGAAGAGCTTGGCCATCTGCAACTAAACCTTCCACCCAAAGGGCATTTCCCAATGCTACTGTGACTGTCTCTGTGTCGGGACAGTTTCTTTCCATTGTGGATACTCCTTCACCTCTCCCTATCCCTCTCCCCGAGCTAGCAGCCATTGTTGGAAATGCGTGCTATAGAGTGCCTGGGCTCCCAGCTGCCTCCAGTGGGCATCTTGGGCTATGGGGGCACTGGATGCTTGCGTCATTGGAATGATCATGCACAAAATGCAGCCTCAGGGCTCCCCTCTCCAGGGAAAACTGTGGGTGAGTGGGAGCTGCAAGTGGAGGAAAGACTTCCAGGCCAGAAAGCAGCTGCTGGCTGTCGAGGAAGAACCACATTTGGCGTTCAGCATCAGAGGCCTGTCACGGTTCTCTGTCCCCTGCCCAGGCAGGAGCTGGAATAGGAGGCCAGGGTCCCTCCAGGGGTAGGCTCAGCCCCCTAGAGAGCTTCTGTCCAGTTTGGGAGCAATACCTTCATAGCCAAATGTTTAGAGGTGGGAGGGGATGAATCCCTGGGTGACAGGCATCGCACAGGGAGTGGACAGGAACCCTCAGCAATGTTCACGATCGAAATGCACTAGGAGAGCTAAGGGAACCCAATGCTCAGGGTCTGCCTGCCTTCCTTTACATTTTTTTCTATTATGGTAAAATATATGTAACATAATATTTACTATTTTAGGCATTGTAAGTATACAATTAAATGCATTAAGTACATTTACAGTGCTGTGCAACCATCACCACTATCCATTTTCAAAAACTGTCATCATCCGACAGAAATTCTTTACCCATTAGATAATAACTCCCCCTTTCCTCAGCCCCTGGGAACCTCTATTCCATTTTCTATCTCTATGAATTTGACTACTCTAGGTCCTCATATAAGAGGAATCATACAGTATTTGTCTTTTTGTAACTGGCTTATTTCATTTAGCTTGATGTCCTCAAGGTTCGCCCATCTGTAGCACATGTCAGAATTTTCTTCCCTTTTCAGGCTGTAGTCCATTGCGTATCTATAAGTCACATTTTTTTTTACCCATTCATCTGATGACGGGCACTTAAGTTGCTTCCACTTTTTGGCTATTGTAAATAATACTGCTAAGAACACAGGCGTACAGGTTTGAATCCCTGCTTTCAATTCCGCTGGATATATACATAGGCGTGAGATTGCTGCAGGATACAGCAATTCTACGTTTAACTTCTTGAGGAACTGTCTAACTGTTTCCACAGTGGCTGTACCATTTACCATTCCCAGTAGCAATGCACAAGGGTTCCAATTTCTCCACATCCTCACAAACACTTATTATTCTCTGTTTTGTTTTGTTTTGATAATAGCCATCCTAATGGGTCTGAAGTGGTTTCTCACTGTAGTTTTGATTTGCATTGCCTCAGTGACTCATGATTCTGAGGATCCTTTCACGTGCTTATTAAGCATTTGCATTTCTGCTTTGGAGAAATGTCTATTCAAAGTCCCTTGCCCATTTTTCAAGGGGGTTACTTTCTTTGTGGTTGTTGAGTTGTATGGGTTTTAAAAATATTTTCTGGACATTAATCCCTTATCAGATATATGATTTGCTAACATTTTCTGTGACTCTGTGGGTTGTTTTTTTTTTATATTCTTGATAGTGTCCACTGATGTGTAAAAGTTTTTAAATTTGATGAAATCCAATTTCTTTTTTTCTTGTGTTGTCTGTGCTTTTGGTGTCATATCCAAGACACCAGTACCAACTCCATCAGAGATCTGCATTAAATCCATTGCAAATCCAGTGAAGACTTTCCTCTATGTTTTCCTGAGACGGATTTATCGTTTTAGCTCTTATATTTAGGTCTTTGATCCATTTTGAGTTAATTGTTGTGTATGGTGTGAGGTAAGGATCCAGCTTCATTCTTTTAGTTACATTCACTCACAAACCTGGAGATCCAGTTGTCCCAGCACCATCTGTTGAAAAGTCTGTCCTTTCCCCACTGAATGGCTTGGCACTCTTGTCAAAAATCAATTGACCACAGATGTGAGGGTTCAGCCTTCCTGTCTAACACTACCCATTATGCTTCTCCTCCTGCCACCACCTCAGCAACCAGACTCCCCTGAGAGGCTAACAGCCTCCATGCCCTACATCTCTCGGTCAGCTTGTTACAGCCTCAAGGCAGCAGCCCCAGAAAGCAGGTGCACCATCCCAAGTCAGCATGGACCAATATCTGTCTTTGTCCTTTGTCATACCTGTTCTCACTCCTGCTTCTCCTCCCAGCAGTCACATGGGGAGTCAATAGGCTTGATATCCCCAGCCCCAGCTCTCATTCATCCACCGTGTATCTTTCCCTACACACTACACGCTACACACTACACACACACACACACACACACACACAGAGCCTGAATAGGTCATAGGCCATGGAGTCCTCCTGACCTTCTCTCTGATTTATTTTTTTCTTGTCTCCTCCCCTCCACCCTCTCCACTGTAACCCAGGCCCTCATCATTTCCCACTCTTAGCCCCTCTCCCTGCCCCAGCCCGATCCCATTCCAGCCTGGCCTCCACAATTCCTCCAGAGTGATCACGTAACATGCAAGTCTGACTTTGTCTCTGCAGCTTAGAGCTTTTCAAAGATTCTCCATTTCTACGACAATGGTTTATCACCTACCTCCCACCTTCACACACACACACCTTTAGAGACACTGAAATGGCTGCTAGTCCCTAAACAATCCATATTCATTTTAACCTTCATGCCTTCCCACATTACCTGCCCCTTGTCAGGAAAGGCCTCACTCCCATGCCTCATCTTATTCTTCCAAAGCGGCTCCAACAGCTCTCCCTTTCTGACAAGTTCCATGCTGCCCCCAAGACCATCCATCTAAAGCAGAGCTGGTGTCCTTCACCTGTGCTGCAAATCCTTGCGGTTTGTTAGTGACAGCAATAACAGCACTAATCAATGCTACAGCCGCCACCATAACCACCTCCACTGCCGTCCATTGCACCCTCCTATGTAGCGCTACCACCATCCATTGCACCCTCCTATATAGGGCTACAGGGAAGCCTATTGTGTTAGGCCATTTTTGTGTTGCTATAAATAAATATCAGAGGCTGGGTAATTTGTAAAGAAAAGAGGTTGAATTGGCTTGTGGTTCTGCTGGCTATATAAGCATGGTGCTGGCATCTGCTCGGCTTCTGGTGAGGCCTCAGGGGGTTTTTACTTATGGCTGAAGGCAAAGTGGTAGCAGGTGCACGGCCAGAGCAGGAACAAAAGAGACCGGAGAGGCACCACACCCTCACGTGAACTAACTGACTGGCAACTCACTCATCACCAAGGAGATGGCGCTAAGCCATTCAGGAGGGATCTGTCCCCTGATCCTATACCTGGCACCAGGCCCACCGCCAACACTGGAGGTCACATTTTAACATGAGTTTTGGAGGAGACAAACATCCAAACCATATCACCTATGGACACTTACTACAGTAGACCATGCTCATTTGCTCTCTTGTCCATTTCTCCCCCTAGACATTGCCAGATCTGAGGATACAGATTGTCCTCTGTTCACCTTTGCACCCAACACGTACCTGGCACACAGCAGGTGCTGATAAATATTTGCTAAATAAAGGAATGAATAACTTCAAGTTCCATCTTTAAAGTTTTGCAGCCTTTGGAAAATTCCATGGTTGAGGCAGCTGCTCCTGTCCTCTGTGCAAATAGGCAGTTTATCAATCCAAAGGCTGGCAGATTTGCTGAGCCGAACCCAGTCCTCGGGCTTTTTCCCAGAGCCGTCCCTCCACTCAAGTGGAAGCTGCATCTGCCTCTCTCGATAGGGGCTTCTGCCAGGAAGCTGGGAGAGGCTCAATGCAGCCCCACCACTCCTAATGCTATTTTCAAAGCAAAATTCAGAAGCAATGGTGATATTTTTTGCTCTTAAGAACAAGACAACTCTTTTGACATAATAAGGTTAAAAAAGAAATGAAAAACCTCGTACTGTTTTTCCTTTCATCTGAATAGAAACAAATCCCCAACCTCCCAGTTCCAGCTGGCAGACCGCTGGACTTTCAGCTTCCAGAAGAAGGAGAGCGGAAAGATCAGGCCTTAGCAGCTGAGAACTTATTTTTGGCTAAGCAGCTGGTGCTAGAATTGCTGGCAGCAGGCAGCATCTCCCCAGCACAGAGCGTGGGGCACCTGCCACTGTCCAGTTCTGGGCACTCTGCTTTTCTGCTGGCACTGACAAGTCCATCTCAGGGCAAAGGCAATCCCAGTAGTCAAGCCCTCTGAGGGACCCCTGCAGGAGAAAACTGTGCTCAGACTTCCACAACGAAGGCTGCAGAACAACTTTGCTGCTGGCCTCAGAGAAGGTCTCTCTTGGCAAGGGACCAGAGGAGCCACCCTGACCTGCTCTAAAGCTGAGCTAGGACCAGTGGGTGGAATTACATAAAGGCAGAATCCAGCCCTTTCACTATGAAGAGAAGCTCCCCCAAATCAGATGTCTCTGATAATGGAATGGCTTACCCCAGAACTGTTCAAACAGGAATTTTCTAAGAGGAATCCCTGGACTGAGCGAAAAGAACTTAACTTCTTAGAGTTGGAAAGGCTACTAGAGAGTCCTTGGGAGTTGATGAATGTTACCATTGTAATTAGTCAACTGGATAGTGGGGTCCCAAATTTTAATAGACTCCAAAGTAGATTTTTACACAAATTTACAAATTTGTCAATATGCTCTAATTAAAGCCAATCTTCTTTACTTGTGCTGAATCAATGCCACCTTTTATATTGGTGATGTTATAGCCCAAGTTCAAGGCTTTTCACATTAACAAGAGAGGGAAGAGGGGCCTCCACCCACTTTTCCCTGCAACAAGCTGTTACAATGGGCTTACTTCCTTACTTCTCCTTTTTTTTGGTAATTTAGAATGACAGGAATAAAAAGTTCTAAAGACTATGAGACTATGAGAAAACAGAATGTTCTTCAAAGAAAGCTCCAATCCAGATATTGAATATTCCAACAACATCTTCATGTTCCACGCAAAATATTTTTACATGGAATTTGAGAGCATGAGAGCATGAATAAGGTAGAAGACGAAATGATCTTCACTTGCAGAGAGTCTTCCAATTCCAAAGCAGACATCACCTGTTAGGTGCCAGGCCCTCTCTTAGCTACCGTCCTGGATGAAGACCAATGAAAGATGTGGCCCCTGCCCTCCAAAGACCTCTGAGAAGCACCCTGAAGCCTGGACCAGTGAACACTCCCAAAGAAGAGCACAGGCTCTGCAAGGCTCATACCCCAGAGCTCTACTCGTTCTGGGCTCTGCAGACCTCTTCCTCTGCCAGGGCCCCCATTTCAGCTCAATGAACTCCCTGCAGGATAACAGGTTCATTCTCTGGCTGCTTTCATTTCAAATGAGCTCAACCCAAGCAACATTTCCTGAGCTCCTACAAAGTACCAGGGTCAATACTAAGGCCTTTGAGGGGTATGATTCAAAGGGAGAAGCTTAAATATTTGCGCACTGGTTTGTTCATACCTCTACTTTGTTCCACAAGCATTAGAGATGGCTCACACAAATAAAACAGGACCAGGGAAATATACATTCTAGCAGAAGGTCAAGCCGGGAGACAAAGGTGAAGCCCACACCTGCGGATCATAGAGTCCTATATAGTTGCTAAAACAAAGGCACAAATTTCACTACAAGGATGAGCAGGACACAGTCTCTGCTCTAAGCTGTCTAGAGATGGAGAACAATCCTTATCCAGGTTCCTGGAGTAAAAAAGCATAGAGTCTGGTACTCAGCGACACTCTGAATGTTCACCGTTTGGAAGCCGACTGATGGCATCGGCACCCAAGAGGTCATGCCTTGGAGCACAGATGTCAAACTGAATAATTCTGGCTGGGAGGCTCAGGGAAGGCTTTACTCAACAGATCTCGCGTAAGGGCCATACCCCAGACCATCGGCTTTACTGGGCTTGGGCAATTTCATTCACTTAACAATCTTGAGGTTCCAAATCAAGGTATGGTCTTACTGGGAGGAAAAACAGAAACAGAAGAGAAGGAAGTGGAAACATTTCTAAGGGCAGTTCCCTTGGGGAAAGAGACAAGATTATTCAACAGCCACACGTATGTCATCCTTCCAGAAAGTTCTGATTGAGAAACTGTCTTCAACCCACACTAGAAGTCCTTACATTTTAAGGCAATCTAAAACTTCAATCATTCCTAAGGGGTTTAATAGCCAGGACACACTTTCACAGGATCACAATCCAAGTTCTCAGTGCAGAATCTTCAAAAATCCATTTTCTATCTCATTTTTGCCATAACATTTCTCTGGTTTTCTTCCCAGTGGCATTTTCCTTTGATGATATAGACTTTTATCATACCGAAGCCCCCCAAATGGAGGAAAATGAGACGTTATTAAAATGTTACATATTCCTTCATAGCTCTTCCCACTCAGTGTGTAAATAAAAAAGAAGTAAGGAGGGGAGAGGATGTTGGAGAGGAAGAGACAGTGCACCTGAGAACGGCAGCAGTGGCTGAGTGCAGGAAACGCTTCTTCCTGGAGGCCTGGCCTTGTACCAAGGACAAAGATCATCAATAACAGCAGCAGCACGGAAAGTGGCCCCAGTAAACAAGAATAAACAACTCCACACAGGCAAAGAAGGAGGGGGATCAGGCCTGAGAGATGAAAAGGTGCCTCTAAGGGCCCTTGTGGGAAGGGGAGAAGGGAGGGAGCTGCCTTAGAGATGGGCAATTCCAACAGAAATGGAGCCATACCAAGTGTTAGACAAGAGACTGCCCACTTGAGCTTGACTGCACTTGTAGGGCCGTGCAAAGATTGGTAGAAACTGGAACCTTTGTGAATTGCCATTTCTGATTTCAGCTTTTGTACAGAAGGGGGATGTGTGCCTAGGAGCACCATTTTATATTTTTATTAAAGATATGTGCCTCTGAAACCCACAGAAGATGGGACATCTGTAGCTTTGAGGACGTACGCAGGTTTCATTGGACTTCAGGGAGGGTTTCCCAGTGTCTGGTGCTGAAAGGTACTTTCTGTAGCTAGGATGAACCCAGGGTCAATGGATGTGCAGACATTCTCAGCATTTCATTATAAACAGAGGAGTGATGACAAAAACTGTTCGCATGCCAAGCTGAGATGACTCATTCATGATGCTGCCTGGACTTCCGCAAGAGCCTTCAAACTCCTCGAACATCAGTGCCTGCTTCCTCAGCTCCATCCATCTGGCCTCTGCTAGACTGATTTTTCTAAAATACATCTGTGGCCATGTCATTCTCCTGCTCAAAAATACAGCTAAATGTTTCTTCCATATTTTGGCCTCAACCAAACTTTCCAGCCTCAGTACCTCCACTCCCTACTCTCTTTCTACACACATCCTATGATCCCCTTAGTGAACATGGCGGTTCACAGACTCATACGTATTTAGGTCATCCCTTCTCCCTATAAGGCATTGCCTCTCCCTTACCCACTGCAGCCCTTTGCAATGTGTGTGTGCACGTATGCACACACACATGCTTCCACTGCTTGTTAAAAACCCTACACATCTTTCAAAGCACACTCTTAAATAGGACCATGCTCTGCAAAGTCTTCCCCCCGGCCACCAAAAGCTAGGCTCCAACGCTTCCTCCTGCGTGTTCCTAAACCATCCTGAGCTCATCTTTCCTGCTACGCTTACACACAGGTGA
This sequence comes from Homo sapiens, assembly GCF_000001405.40. Lineage (NCBI taxonomy): Eukaryota > Metazoa > Chordata > Mammalia > Primates > Hominidae > Homo > Homo sapiens. Next base: position 2,951,986 of record NW_018654717.1, read on the forward strand.
CTGTGTGTGTTGGCTTCTGCCACTTGGTCGGAAGCCAACTAGAGGACAGGGACTGAGTTGAAATCATTTGTATAGGTCCCACTGCTCACATATCCAAGTGTCAAAGGCAATATCATCAACATCGAAGAGACTCAGTTCATATGTGGATTGAACTGAATGGAAATATAACTGTAGGTCACTGATTTACAATCAATAAGCATGGACAATCTTGAAAGAAATCTGAATCCAAGGCAGACAAGTAGCCATCATGATACTGGGTGGAGGTGGGACAAGCCAACTCCTTCCCATTTGTGCCTCCTAGTGTCTTGCTAACCAAAGTGTTCAGAAAGCAGCTGATACAATCTGCTGGGGCAGAGTGCAGAAGGGAAGCAGGACCTGTTTCCTGAGCACAGCGGAAGCCTGGCTTTGGGTTTGGTGCCTTCTCTCAGCAGCTGTGACTGCAGGTAAGTTCCACAGCTGTTCTGAGCCTTGGTTTTCCCATCTTTGAAATGGATGTGAGAATTCTGTCAATCTGACAGAGCTGCTCAGGGAATCAAGTGAGATGATATAGAGAAAAGGGCTGTCAGAACTGAAAATGAGCTAGTCAAATGAGAAAACGTGTGCAATTATTTTGTAAATCCTATTGTGATAAGCAGATTTTCATCTTTGATACAACATTAATTCCCTTTATTGGACTATATAAAGAAAAGCTGGGGTGGGGTGGCTAGGGAACTCTGTTTATGGCTTGACACCCTGTGTGGTAGGATCTGGTACACTGCTACAGTGTATTTGAAAATACAAACTATCGTCGCTGGAGACTACAGGGTTCTGGCTGCCAAAAGTACAGATGCATAGTATTAACTTTGGTTTCGCTACAATAAAAACATTGAATGGCCCCTTTTGGTTTTGGAAAGATCAATGAGAAAAACTCATCACAATGAGGACGTCGAAGAGACTGGTAAAATATTTAAATGTCATTACAAATATACAAGACGCAGATGCCGTCTAGCTCATAGTTCCTGTCGCTCTCTAGAGACCCAAAGTTAACACTGGTCATGTTGTCTTAGGGTCTCTTCCATCTGCCCTCTAATTGGCCACAGATTGCAGAAAGCTTACAACACACAAGGCCTGGGGGATGGCTGTGTGATCACCAAATATCCCGTGCCTGCAGACCATACAGTTATACACATAGTATCTTCATGCCAACCCTATGCATGTACATGCACAAAGCCTGAATAGTGACCATGTAGGTGTGCACACGTGGTGCACAGGGGATAGTCACAAAACTGTCTCAATTCAATGCATGCTCACCTATTAGCCATGTAACTGTACCTGTATAACAACCACGTGCTGACTCCATTACTTGGGGCACAAGCTGCCCGTGTGCAGGTCATAAACTATACAAGACATACGGATGCTAGGCAGTCCTGATTGCCCACATTTTCCGCGCTATAATGACATGCACAGAAGACTCCCAGGCTAGCCATACAACTAGGTATCCCATGTTGATATGGCTGCCAGGCAGCCGTCCAGCTGCAATACCTGGGCACCAGTCACAACACCATGCCTACACGGTGCCCAGCAAACACCGTCACATGCTGACGCTGTGTCAGCCATAGAATGTTTGTGCCAATTTCCTTCAAGATGGCATCCTTATTGCCTAGAATATAGGCCCGTTTTCCCTAAAAGTAAAAAAATCCCTCTCAGCCTCCCAGCAGGATTTGCCGTAATAACTTTGGATTTGAGTCTGAAAACTCTGTTATGGAAAATTCGATGGAAGAATAATGCAGTAAAACATGCCCAGCCAATGGCAAGGAAACAAACCCCCTGGCACCGCATCCACTCTGAAAGCAGAATGGGCTCGTCTCTTCTTCTTACACTGAATAGAAACACGGGGGGCGGGCGGCTGCTTTCTGTTCTCCCCACAATCTCCCCAAGCTCAAGGAGCAGCAGTGGACAAAGTGGTTCTTTTCTCGCAGCATAACTCAGAGATCAGAAACAACAGAACTTTTTTTTTTTTTTTTTTTTTTTTGAGACGGAGTCTCGCTCAGTCGTCCAGGCTGGAGTGCAGCGGCGCTATCTCGGCTCACTGCAAGCTCCGCCTCCCGGGTTCATGCCATTCTCCTGCCTCAGCCTGCCGAGTAGCTGGGACTATAGGCGCCCGCCATTACTGCCGGCTAATTTTTTTTTTTTTTTTTTTTTTTTGTATTTTTAGTAGAGACGGGGTTTTACCATGTTAGCCAGAATGGTCTTGATCTCCTGACCTGGTGATACGCCCGTCTCAGCCTCCCAAAGTGCTGGGATTACAGGCGTGAGCCACCACGCCTGGCTGAACATTTTTTTTAGTATGGGAATGCACCTTAGCGATCAGCTAATTTGACCTTCCCAATATCATAGATTTAAAAAAAAAAAAAGGGCCGAGAGGCCAAGTGATGGTCACAGGCAGATGACAGGATGAGGTGTCTTCATAAAGACATCCTTACCACCAGATTCGGTTTAATGACAGGGTATGCTTGGCTGCTGGGCACATTTCCTGACAACACAAAGAGCATCATCGGCCAGATCCCCAGAGACAGAGGAAGGGGAGAAAGAGCGGAAGGAGCAGCTCTGGGCAGGAGCAGGTTGGAGGGAGGAACCCATAGGGAGAGGGCTGCACTGGACTCAGTGCCCAGCCTTGACACTGACCAGCCACGTCGGCTCAGGGAAGTCACCTTCCCTCTCCTGGACTGAACATGGAGGGAGTTAGCCTCTATGACTCCTTCTAGCCATCACGATCCAAGCTGACTCAGAGCATGTAAGCATTGCTCAATGTTTAAGGAAGCCCTGGCATTTAAGTTCTTAAAATTTAAGAGAGGAGACAGCTGTCCATCCACTGGAGTCTGGCCAGCCCAGATGCCTTCATATGCCCCTGACCTAGTCTAGCAGGTTTCAAGTCCATGTTCATTGCCACACAGAAAGCTCCATTCTCAAGGGCCCCTTCTCTTGTCAGAGATGAGCCTTCCACTAAGAAGCCAGTGGGGGAGGCTGAGGTCCACCAAACCTTCCCACCTCATTTTCTGAGCACTGGGTGGTCAGACAGTGACTTCTTTCAAATATAAGAGTCTGAAGTCTAGGCCTAAAATACAACCTTTTGGAAATTTAGAGACATGTTCCATCCAGAAATGTTTCTGACACTTCCATAGGTCAGGAAATGTTCACTGCATGATCAGCACCATGAAGAAACGTCCCTAGGAAGTGAAATGCGGTATTTAAAAGACACCACCGTCTGCTCACTCATAATTCTGTCTCTGCCCTTCACGTGGGACAAATGAAGCCACAAACAAATAAGGACATGAATTGCTCTTCTTGGACCCTACGGCAGGGCAGACTGGGAAAGCAGGTGGCAGAGCTGTTAGGCGTGCTCGTGTAGAAGAACCGACTCCTAGCCCACGCTCAGCCTCAGGTCAGATGGCCAGTGTGTGGCCCAGGGAACTCACCCAGTATCCTCATCTTGTCACCTGACTGTTGGCTTTATGTGACCTCTGGCAAGTCCTCTTGGGTTCATCAGTAGTAAAATGCCCACAGTTATCCATAAGTGATGAACAATATTTTCATAGTTTTAACTGAAATTATGATTTTGGTTCAATCAGAGAATGCCACAGACACTCACCACAGCTTGCTAAGTCCCAGACAGTGTGCTAGACATTTCATACACATCACAGTGCCTCCCCTATCCAGGGCCAATCTGAAGACTTGTGCCCATTTTCAGATGAAGAAACTCTGACTTAAGTTGCCAAGAGCATTGAATATGTCAGGGGCCAGAGCAGACCTTGAGTCCGGGTCTTCGGCAGGTGTAGCAATGAGAAATAAACCTCTTTTCAAACTAGGTTCACTTGGGGTGTGTGACCAATGACTTAAAGATTTAAGGGGAAGATACAAAAGCCAATGCAAATGAGGTTAACATTTCTATAAAAGTGTTCTTCCAATAGAGTGAGAATATTGACAAGTAAGTCTGGGAAATATTTCTCTCTCTTTTTACTTTTTTGAAGTGCCAGAACGTGAAGTACATTTGAGAATAGGTAGGTTTCTCCCTAAAAACTCAGAGCACAGCACCTTGTGCTGTTTTTTTTTTTTTTTTCTTTTGAGACAGAGTCTCACTTATCGCCCAGGCTGGAGTGCAGTGGCGCGATCTCGGCTCACTGCAAACTCCACCTCCCGGGTTCACGTCATTCTCCTGCCTCAGCCTCCCGAGTAGGTGGGACTACAGGCGCCTGCCACCGCGCCCAGATAATTTTTTTTTATTTTTAGTAGAGACAGGGTTTCCTTGTGCTGTTTTAACATGTAGTTTAACATCCTTAATGTCTTCGCCTTTGGAATGGAGTCAGTGCCCATCCCCTCATCAGGGTTAAATGAGGTAATACACACAGAAACAATGCGGCACCTGTGATCCAGCAGGCCAGTGCAAAGTCTCTTTTTACTGCTGTGATTTTTACTCTTCCTTGATAAACCTCGAAAAAATGCCCCAAATCATGTGACAATGGGCAGATGTACGACGATTTCACTAGAAGTCTTCATTTTGCTTCCTATCCTGTCATAAATGTGCACAGGATGCCCCTGGCTTCCCGTGGTGGGCGGGGACACGGGTGGGAGTGGGGAGGAAGACTAAGAGGCAAGTGCCAGTGGCCCTCGCAGGGGAGCCTGGGCAGACATGGAGCCTAGGTCAGTGGTTCTCAACTGGCGACCACGCGACTCCAGTTTGGTCATCTGTCCTGGATGCACTCATTACCAGATAACTGCCAGGCTGCCCATTTTGCACAGGAAACACAAGGCCACGCCCATGTGGCCACACAGGGACCCCCTCCTCTCAGGGCTGCCTGCCCCACGGAGGCCCCATCCCCTCAGAGCAGACCCTGTACTGGGCCTGAACATATAGGTGCCGAGCACTCCCCAAGGTACAGAGACTGGCACAGCCTGGATCACCAGGAATACAGAGAGGGGATGTCAGATCTCACGGGGAATGTGGCACAGGTGGCAACAGTGCTGCACCTGCAGAAGGCAGGGCTCTGTGAGACACATGGGGAGTGGGCTCGGGTGAGGCAGAAGCAGAGTCTGACCTGGTACCTGCAGAAGGCAGGGCTCTGTGAGCCATGCAGGGAGTGGGCTCAGGTGGGTCAAAAGCAGAATCTGACCGTTTGGGCCTGAGCGCAGCTCCGTGCACCATGGGCGATTCTGTGAATGACCTTGCATTTCAGGCAACAGTGTGTGGTTGTATACAATGGGACCACTGAAGTCTTCTGAGACTTCTAAAAAAGAAAAAAAAAAAAAAGAGAAAGTTTCTGGGGAAAAAAAAAAAGACTTTAAAAAAAAAAAAAAAAAAGCAAGCTTCTGAAAAACAGTACAGCACCAGGGTGTGGAGGAAGGCCCATGAAGGCAGGACTGGAGAGAGGATGGCAGGGTTCCCTCCGCCCTCTAGGGCAAGGGCAGGAAGCAGGGCCTGCTCCCCGGTGGGTGGGCAGAAGAGAAAAGATGCCTAGGGAAGGAGACCTGTCAGTGGTTCTCATAACAGCTCCCCTGCCTCATTTTTTGTTAAAAGAATAATTTGATTACTGAAGTAGTAACAAGAAACTTGTAATTGGATGGCAGAACATAACAATGACAAATTAATTTCACAGGGCATTTAGTGCATAACAGCTACGTTTAAAAAATATTGCAAAGGGAAGCGAGTACTTTGGTTGAAGCCTCCCTCACACTGTAACGGCAGTGTTTTATCAAAGCTTCTCACCATGCCTCAAAAATCATCTAAAATCCTTCCTCTAGAACTCTATCACTCCTCCATTCGGAAGATGACTCCGGTGGTTCTCAAGCCTGGCTACAGCTTATTTCAAGTCACCCAGGAAACTTTTAAAAATACAAATGCCAGGGTCCTTTTCCACAGAGAAACACTGACTGGATTGCCTGTGCTGGGGCCCAGGAGTGGGTGAGTGTTTTAACCCATTCATGCCGGAGGTTACGAATTTTTTGTGAAAAATCAGACCTTGGTGATGACCTTGAGCAGTAGGATATAAATAACTCCCACAAGCTTAGCGTTCCAATAATGGAACACTAGGCATAAATATGTCAACAGGCGATTCTCCATACTTCCAGTGCCCTAGTTCAGTGATTCTCAACTGGAGACAAGCTCTTTCCAGGAGACATTCGGTAATGACCAGGGGACATCTTTAGTTGCCACAACCAGGGTAGCAGTGGCAGGGGTGGGTCGCAGGGGAGGCAGCAAGCTAATGGCATCTAGTAGGTCAAACCAGCGATGCCGGTCAACATCCCATCATGCGTAGAACAGCTTCCCCTCCCCCAACACGGAATTATCTGGCTCCAAACGTCAAAAGCCAATGAGAAACCCTGCTCTCATTAAATATGATATTAGCTCCACTTACAAAGAAGGGGTTGGACTGTGTGTGTTCTTTGGAGTCTGAGGTAATGGGAAGAAGCCAGGATTCTGAGCAGGTTCCTTGGCCTCCTGAAGCTTCAGGTTTAGCATCAGAAAAGTGAGAGATCGGATGTCTCCCATCTTGCAGGATTTTTCGAAGCTCACGCAGGAGACCAGAATATGCCACTCTGAAATATGCCTCTTTGGCATGAGGATTATTTTGAGCTGATTATTTTGAGAAACTGCAGACACAGGAGAAGCTCTGAAAACAGAGAAGTTACCCTTTCGTAAGGGAAATTTTACATCTACAGAGAAAATCTGCCCTTCTAAGAGCATCTCCCTCTCTGTACCAGGAAGACGGGGGTGACCTTAAATCACAAGACCCTTATCGAGGGAGAAGGCACAGCCTCAAGTCTGCAACACGAACCTTACACTTGCTTTCTGTAGTTTTCCTGGTCACCTTCCCATAAATTGCCTCCCCCATAACCTTCTTTCTTCATTTCAGCTGAAGAGGGTATTGAAGCCCAAATTCCAGCCACCTCTTTGAATTACTTATCCCTGAGTTTCTCCCATGTACATATGAGATGTACATGTTAATAAACTTCTGTTTGTAAATTTACTTTGTTAATTGTCTTTTGTTACAAGGGCTCCATTGGAGAACCTAGAAGGTGGAGAACAAAGTTTTTTTCCCCTCCCCTGTACTACTATGATGTTGGGGCTCAGAGAACAATACCCTAAAATAGGCGGCTTTGGCATGCCAAGCATTTTTGAATTACAGGAAATTGGAAGGCCCTAGAAGCTGCCTGAGAACCAAAGACTTTCTAAACCACCTTGTTTCTCCCCAGAAGTGAAGAAGAAACAAACTTCTTCCCCCGAAAAAAGCAATTGTCTTAAGAGCCCCTCCCTAGGAATCTCACTGAATAACTAGGAAAGATGAACTACAGGAGAAAAGACTAAAAGTCATCACCATGCCCAGACAGGCTTTTTCTGTATTCTTCCAAGAGCAGCTCCGAGACATTACTTGGGAGACTTTATCTGCATGATGAGACAATCTTTGTCTGCAGTGAACTTGCACCCCTCACCTTCCCACAATCCACCAGCGCTAAGAGGAACTCTGACTCAGGCCACTGTCTGTTCTTTGGGCTCATTCATTTCTCCTAAGAATCATTTACCACCCCCTCAAAACTGCCTACATCTCTTTCCCCCATGAAAATGGTCTTTAAGCCTCAACTCCCTGACCCTTCTTAGAGTCTCATATTTTGTATGGCTCCCGTGCACAATTGCACATTAATACATGGGTATGCCTTTTCTCCTGTTGATTTCTGTTCAGTTTATTTCAGCAGATTCAAACCTTCAAGGGGGAAAAAAATTCCCTTCACCCCTAAAATGACAACTATTCACACATTTGCTCTGTTTTACCTGCTTCCTTGAACATTATAGAACTGTTCAAATAGAGATTTTGTGACATCGATCATGTTACTCAGGAGGTGGAGAGAGGTTAAATCTCAATGATCTGTCACATGTAGCAGTGCAGTCACGGATCCTCTAGCCTCACTACTGGAAGTGTGGTCGAGCCGTGCAGGCAGCAGGCAGCAGGCAGCAGCAGCAGCTGCCTCTGGAGCTTGTCAGAAATGCAGAAGCTCAGGCCCCACCCTGGACCTGCTGAGTTGGAATCTGTACTTTAACATGACCCCAGGTGTTCTGCACGCACATCAATATTTGACAGGCACTGCTCCACCAGCTGCAGTTCAGCCGATCCCATGCCTTTGGGGCTAATTTTTCTGAAGACTCTTGGAGACTGTTTTTTTTTTTTTTTTTTTAAATAATCCACTCTGAAGAAGAGTCTCCTCAAAGGGTTCGAATCCCATTTTTCCCGGAGGAGGAATCCCTAGTTCAGCAATCTAAAGCCAAATGCATTCATCCCTCATTTTTAGAAGTAGAACCCATCACCTGTGCAGGCTAAATTAGACCAGTGGTTTTCAAAGTGTGATCCTGGGATCAGCAGCATCACCTGGGAGCTTGTTAGACATGCCTATTTTGGGACCGCAGTCCTGCTGAATCAGAAGCTCCAGGTAAGGCCCAACAATTGTGTCTTGGCAAGCTCTGACGGCGCTTGCAACTCATGCTGAAGTTTGAGAACCACTGGAAAAGACCATATATAGCCTTTACAAACACAGATTTGAAGGTTCACGGCCTTGAAATACCTTTCCTCTGTTGTTAGACTGCTTTGTCTATGATGTCAATGATGCTCCAGTGAACATCATCATATAAAAACCTTCCCTTCCCTCCTGCTTCAGGTATATCTGTTCATCACCCCTGCCCCATTCCTTAGGTGTTTTCAACATCTTCCTAACGTCTGATCAGAGAAAATTATCTGGTGTGAAACTAATATGGGACAGCGGAAGAGTCTGGAATCAGACCTAGATTCCAATGTTTCTTCCACTTGGCTACACAATTTTGGGAGAATCGTTTCCCCTCTCCGAGGTCCAGCTTCTGTTTGTAAACTGGAATACATATCTCACAGAACTGCATAAGAATTAAAAGAAATATATTTGTTCATAATTCATTTTAATAAGCAGGCAATGGCACACAGGCACTTCAATGGCCCCTATGTTCAGAAATTTTAAGGGGTATTGACGAGACTGCCATCCATTCCTCCTGCCCTGAAATACTCACAGACAGGGTCTGAATGAATGGGTTATGATGAAGGAAGGGGCGCTATCTCCAGAAAGCCACCTTTTTCTTTCCTGGTGTCTGTGATCGCGTATTGTCCTCCTCTGTCACTACGTATTCTTGGTCACCCAGGCAGTTTCCTCTTCCTCGGCTCTCTCCACACTGGCGCTATTCTGTCCTTCACCTGCTTTTTTAGGAAGACACCCCACCCCCCACCAGGTGAGTGACAACATCCACAGTTCACTCCCACAGCTGCAGAAACCAGGTAAATGTGGCTATGACACCGGTAGCTCTTCCACCTCCGCCCTGGCCTTAGACCATGACTTCACTGCCTCTTGGAAATCTCCACCTGGACTGCCCAACCAGAACCTCAAATGCCATGTGTCCCCCACTGAACTCTGGGAGCCAGGCCCTCCTAATCTCCTTACCACAGAGTAATCTTTTAAGACCACAGACCTGATCTTCTCACTCCTCTGCCCCTCCTGCCCCAATTGTCAAGGTCAAACCCATCCTGTCCCATCTTTCAGCCCTGCCCTCTGCCCCACATGTGCCACAGGCTTCCACCCGCCATGTACCACCCGTCATTCTGACAGAGTCTCACTTTGACTAAACTCTACTCAGATTCCTTTGAACTCTCTCCTCAACCAGGCCCTAATTTCTAGGCTTCTACCTTTGTCCCTGCGTTGTCCAATTTTAGTAAGAATCCTGTTAAGCTGGTTTAACCTGAATCCCCCCAACTTCAGTATCGAATTGAGTTCCCCATCTGCTGCCATCCCCCAGGTGGTCTGATCACCCTGGCGTGCCATCAGCAGGAATCCTGTTAGGTCACTTTAGCCACAATCCCCCTTACTCCTGGTGTTTCCCCCATAATTTCCATTCACTGACCTCCATCTCCTGCTCCTTACCTATGAACTCCCACTTGTCCTTTGCATTCGAAGTTGAGCCTGAATTCTCTTCCCCACTGCAACACCCTATGCAGCAGCTCCCCTGAATCATTTTATTTTTCCTTTTTTTTTCGGAGACAGGGTTTTGCTCTGTCACCCAGGCTGGAGTGCAGTGGCCCAATCACGGCTTACTGTAGCCTCAACCTCCTCGGCTCAAGTGATCCTTCTGGCTCAGCTTCCTGAGCAACTGGGGCTGCAGGTATGCGCTACAACACCCAGCTAATTTTTTTTGGAGACAAAGAGTTTTGCTCTGTTGTCCAAGCTGGTCTCAAACTCCTGTCCTCAAGGGATCTGCCCACCTCAGCCTCTCAAACTGCTAGGATTTCAGGCATGAACCACCATGCCTGGCCATTTTATTTTTTCTTTAACAGTTCTCCAAATAGGACTCCAATCTGAGTCCTTCCGCTAGTGCAACAGTTCTCAGCCCTGGCTGCACCCTGAAAACACCTGGAAGCTTCCAGAAATACCTACTCGTGCCTGTGTCCCTGTTGAGACCAGCTCAGTGTCAGAATGTGGGTGAAAGAGTTTTCAAACCGCCACTGGTTATTCCAATGAGCAGCCAGAGTTGAGAACCTGTGACCTGGACATCGTCCTCGTTCTCCACCAGGAGAGAGAAAGACATCCTGCCATCCTGCGGAGCTACCTCAAGAGGCTTCGTGTGGCCCAGACCACCATCAGGGCTTTATTGACACTGGTCTGTCGATATCTGCTCCAAAGGCAGGAGCTCTGGCTTTTCATTCTTTGCATTCCTAGCACAGGCAGAGTGTCTGACAGCATCTCTCAATGGATTTGACGGCGTCAGAGCAAGCAGGCTGGGGTACAGGGAGATGCTCCTATTTCAAGGCAGGTGGTTGCTATTTCTCCCCATCTCTAAGGGCGCAGGAGGAATCATGGCATAGTTGTCCAGGTGGCAAAGCCCTATACGTCACCCGTCAGGCTCTTCTAATTTAAGGTACAAGCTCTGGGCACATAGCTGGCCTGAAACTGGCAGCTAAATGTCACAGTATTTTACTGTATGGCTTCACAGAGCAAGGGGGCTCCAGAGTCACGGATTTCGGGGTGACTCTCAGCTCTGCAGGCATCAGAACGTGAATGTGGCTGCAGCCCTCACCCTCTGAGCCCCTGGGAAAGCAGTGGGGATGAGCGTATGAGGAATGTCCTGGATGTTCTTCCCATCCCTAATATCCTTTGACGCTCTCACAAACAAAATAAAAATGCTCTGTCTTTAGCTGTGCTCAAGTGAAGCAGAAGTCCCCAAAATGAAGGTGACAGCAAGCAGGAAGGAAATTCACAAAGGCCATGTGCTCAAAGCACCCTACAGTTTCCCAACGCAGCACTGGGCTTTGTCCATGTAGATTAAGGAAAGGAAAGCGATCCGATTTGGGGTAGGCAGAAGAATAATTCCAATCCCGCTTCCTGGAATAAGGTACTTTAAATTCCTTTTCACTTCAAGGTGTCTAATATGGTTTCCAAAACATTTTTACAAATGTCAAACTCACCGTCAACCTGAAACCACCTGGAAAAAAAAAATAACTGACAGGCAGCTAAATTAAGGAGCTACAATTTTGCTGAAGTGTTCCAGCAACCTTTTAAGCCGCAGGAACCAAATTGAAACTACTTCACTAGAGCTCAGAAGCTGCTTGAGTTAGAATAGGCCACAAAACCGTCTCTCCTTCACACACAGAAACACACAACACACACGCTTTGAAACTGACCCTGTGCGAGGTGAACCGGAACCTCTTCTCATTGCAGGACCCCATGCACCCCACTTTGCATGCTGACATTCAGATGCTTTGGCAAAGTCCTCTCCTGCCACCACCTGTGACCCCCATCTCACACAGGAGCTCCTGTGGAAGCCTGCACATTGCCCTCTGCCCCTGCAGCCTTCTTGCCCTTCCAGATGGCAGCAGAGTTGGCTGGCACCCTTCATGGGACAGTCCTGACTCTGCCATCAACTGGATCTATGATCCTGAGCCTCAGATGTTTACCCAAGGGTCAGGTGGGTGAACACAGCATTCTCTCATGCCTGTTTCCGATCTTTAGGGAAGCCCCTACCTCTTGCCCATTTCAAAAGTGATGGTCCAGGGATTGTCCTCTCACATCCAGCACTGCAGGAGAAGATGAAAGTTTCAAAGAGGAAACCACATTCAGGAAGATGAAGACCTGAAAGGGAGCTGGCGGTGGAGGGTGAAGAGTATTATCTAAGGTGGACCAGGAACCGTCAGGGGCAGAGACTGGGTGATTTCAAGCTGCAACACCAGCTAGTTAGTGGCAGAGTGGGACCTCTTCCCAGCACAGCCTTGTCCTTCCATGACTAAGGAGAAGAGTCCAGAAATGCCATTCTTGCCCCTGAATGACCTTTAGCCCATTCGAGTCCTTTGTCCTCTGCTAACTCTGAATGCAGAGATGAGGTGTTTGCCTCAGTAACTGTAGTTGGTGGACCCTTAACACTTGTTGGCCAGGTTTTCATGAGATGCCTTGGCAAAGCCCTCTCCTGGCACCACCTTTACAACTCTAGTTCAGGTCTCCAAATGAGAGGCAGGTGTAGAATGACAGCCTCTGGACATTCTGCAAATAGGGCACTCAAAGCCTGCCTCCTTGCAGGTCAAGATGAGCCCCAACACCAGCTGCTAGAGGGACCTTTCCACCAAATGCAGTACAAGGGCGACTCTGGGTACAGGTGTCTCTTCCAGCAGTGTGGGTTGGGAGATGAAGACCATGATCATGGCTAGGGGTTTTCCTCCTAAAGATTCAAGAGAGCCGCAGTGCAGGAGGGTATCTGAGGGCAGGGCCATCTTCAAGCCTGAAGGCTCCTGGGCTGCTGGGCCTGCTGGAGGCCTTGGAAGAGCAGCCATAAGAGGGAAGCCAGCAGCCTCATCTGCTGAAACTAACACAAACAACTGCAGCTCAACCACAGCCAAAGGCCTGCAGCTGCAACAGCCTTGCCCAGTCCAGCGGTCACTGGGGGCAGTAGAGCTTCTAGAAAGCCACTTAACTTCACTGGGACTCAGTTTCCTCACCTGTACTGGGCAGGAGAACCTTGTACCACGCAGAAAGAAATGGCTTAGCATTACTATTCTCCAATCACATATTACTTCTTCCAATACGTACTACTCATGATTTGTCCTCTGGAAGTCTGCTCTTGACATGCCTCTAATCCCCTGGGGTCCCAAGAGTGGCAGGTGCCTGAGGTGGGGCAGGGAACAGATCACCCAGGGTGATTTTTCCAGTCCCTAAAGATGGCAGTGACTTCAGGTGTCATTGTTACAGCTCCTTGATCTCCACGGAAGCAAAGGTCTCATCAGCTTCCTGAGGGTCTGCCCTGATTCTGCTTTAGCACTGTCATTGGGGCAGCACCTATTACCCCTGACATTATGGGGCAGTAGGGAAAAGTGCTCCATCCTGTGGGTCAGTCTAGCAACTCCTGAAAGAATGCCAGAACCTAGAGCCCCACCCACAAGGTTTGAGGGCATGTGTGTTCGTTCCCACCTCTACCAGCCTAGTCTCCAGGACAGCAGATGGATTTGACTCCATTGTGAAGGGTGATGGAAACTCACTGGGGAGGGGCCCGTAGGGTACACCCAGCTCCAGCATCTAGGCCTCATAAGTCCCTTCCTCCCAGCTCTTCCCCTGAAATGTTCTGGGGATTCTGCTCTTCAGGACATGTCCTTTCTGAGGTCCTGGGGATTAGCCCTAAACCAAAAACTTCCTGGCTAATTACTCAGGGTGAAACAAGCAAGAGGAGGTACGGAATGGACTGGTTTATGTTAGGAATAGGGTGGATCAAAGAGAAAAGAAAGGAGAGAAAAATACTGGGATGAGGGTAAAGCTAAAAAGAGGAACATGGGAGAGTGGGTGGTGGGAAGAAGAAAAAGGAGAAAAGGCTGTGTTAGGTAGAGGGTCACAGAGGGGAAAGGTTTGGGAGAGACCACTGGGGAAGTCACTGCCCAGGCACCTCTTCAGAAGCCACAGAAGCATAGGAATAGATATAGGATATCCATCAATCCATCTCTCCACCCATCCATCTTTCCATCATTTATCCATCCATCCATTTTCTATCCATAAACCCATCCATCTATGCATCTCTTCATCCATCCATCCTTCTACCCATCCGTCCATCTATCCATGCCTCCCTCCCACCACCCATCCATCCATCACTCCCCCTCCCTCCAGCCTTCCATCCATCCATCTACCCACCCACCCATCCAGCCATCCAGCCAGCCAGCCAGCATTCCATTCCATCCATCCATCTCTCCACCCAACCCTCCATCCATCCACCCATCTGTCTGTTCATCCATCCATCCATCCAGCCATCCATGTGTCCATGCATCTCCCTCCTTCCATCCATCTCTCCAGTCTTCTATCCATCCATTCAAAAATAATGTATTAAATACTTATTGTGCGCCAAGCATACTACTGGTTTCCAGAGACATAAAGATGAAAAAATGGCCCTCAGTCTAGAAAAGGAAAGAAATTACTAAATGTAACTGCATATTTCTATCTTGGACTGTCCCTGGAAGAGTCCAGAGTCTACTTTGGGCTAACCAGGGTAACTGCCCAGGAAAAGAGGCCACACCATCAGCATTTCTCATAGGTCCCTTGGAATAGCCTTAAAGAAAGAAATTTGAAAAGTGAATTGCAATGATGCTCTCAAAAACGATGAGCCTTCAGCGCCATGGCTCCATCCCACCAAATACAGTGCAGGGAAGGCCCTCTCCAGTTGTCTACCCAAACGCCAGGCCTCCTCCTAACATAGCAGAGCTTGTCCTAGAAAAAGCTTCCAAAGGAGGTGACCCTTCTGGCTGAATCTTAAATCATGAGTAGGAATCATCCAGAGAGATAAAAAGGAAATAAACATTTAGGCAGAGGAAACAGCACATGAAAAGGCAGACGAAACAAAAAACAGGCAAGAGAGAGCAGGGCCCATTCAGGTATGCCTGGGATGTGCAGGAGGAGATGTATAGTAGACAAAGCTGAGGCTAAAGACATAAACCAAGAACAAGATGGACATCAGCACTCTCCACCATTTCTCTTTCACTAGAACTTTCTGTTGTTGATTGTGATTAGGTTGGGTATTCTCTCTAGCTCATTGTAGGCCCACCCTCTCGTATCGTCTGGCCCAATCAGTACTTATGTCACTAATCTGCCCCTTCTAGGCATCTGGCCTGAGTTTGTGGTCCATGAGCCAATAATGATGAACATAGTTTGCTATGTCATGAAGTTCGAATTTTATCCCCAAAGCAACATGGACCCACTGATGGAGCACGCCTGCAGACTGCCACTGGCAGAAGAGATCATGGCCTAAAAGAAACCCTGAGGGTTACCCTAGGCCTGGCCATCCCATACTTAGGAATTTATCCTAACAAAATAATCTTAGTGTTATTTACGTGGCCCCAGAACCATTATAGGTCTTGTCAAAACAAAGGGGCTACCACTAGAGGGTGTGCTGGCCAAGCTGAGTGTCTGGGAGGAGACCAGGGTGCCAGAGGGGAAGAGGGGGGAAGGCGGAGGGGGCATGAGAGGAAGGACTGGCCTTCCTGCTGGGAGACCAGGATGCTCAGGAAATGACCAGACGGAGGGCCTGGCATGGGGCGAGGCCACAGGCTCCAGCCCAGCCTCAGCCCGGGCTCCCCCTCTGCTGACGCCACCTGCGAGTGAAATGAGAAAAGACTCGGGTTCAGAACACTGGGGAGGGCAGGGAACGTTCAGTGGTGATCCATCCCTGCAGATTCTGTATCTGTTCTGGGCTGGCTGGATTTTTTTTTTTTCTTCGTTAAGCAATCTTCTTTGGATCACTTCATGTTGAGGGCTTACAGGGAAGGTTAGGCATTGGGCAGTGGAATTCCCCAAAAGGTGACTTTCCCTGGGCAGACAGGTGACTTTTCCAAAAATGGAAAGTGGCAAGTCACCAAATGCTTATGGACAGGGCAGCCAGGCCATAAAGCCAGTACATTAGGGAGGTGTTCTGCAGTCAATGAAAATGACAAATATGAAGGTTATGAAGCAATGGAAAAGACGCACTAATACTGTTAAGTGAAAAAAAGTCCAACATAAGCATGTCTGCGTAAAAAAATATGCAGGCAAATGGACCAAGGCTGGAAGAGAGATGACAGCAGGTGCTGTGATGGGGCAGTAGGGCTGTGGGTGATTTTTAAGGGCTCTTTTATTGCTAAGTTGGTGTTTTAATAAGATATGGTTTTAAATAAAAGAGGAACACACGTGGTTAGTCTGATGCAGTGGCTCTCACATCTTAGTGTGCCTCAGAACACTTGCAGGGATTTTTAAACATGAATTACTGGGCCTCACCCCCAGGGTATCTGAGCCAGAAGTTCTGGGGTGGAGCCCAAGAATCTGCATTTTTAACAAGTTCCCAGGTGGTGCCAATGGGGACCACATGTTGAGAATCACTGGCTGTTGAATGGCCTCTGTGAAGAAGGGACGCGGAGCTGCTGAGGGGGATGTTAGGAGCCCACGTGGTGAGGCTCTCTCCTGGCCGGGAGATGAAGCCAGCTTGGGTTCTGATGGCCACAGTGAGCCCAGTCTCACCCAGCCTGTTCACCGTCAAAGTCACCAACTCAGCAAGGTCACTGGAGATGCCACCCTGATAGGAAATGCCTCAGTGGTTCACAGAGACTGAGAATTATCACCAGGGGATTAGCCGGCAGCCCTCCTAGTTTCTGGGGTGCCATGGGGCCAGACTGCAGGGCTCCCTAAAGATGTTCCTTGGGGCAGCTGCCCACCCAATGAGTCTCTCACTGGGCAACAGCTTTTCCCTGTGGTCCCTTAGAATCCAGAAGGAACGCAGGCTGCTAGCACCACAGGGACCCAGAGGTGATCTAACTCTAATGTCAGCTTTCTGTGTCAAGGCCCAGAGGGGAGAAGCCACACAGCCAGCCTGTGGCAGAGCTGAGACTAGAATCCAGGGTCCCTGATCCCCATCCACAGCCCTTTCTCCCTGCTTCCGCCCTGTGCCCTCAGGAGTCCACAGAGTTCCTCTGCCAATGTCGAGCCACTGATAAAGACATCTGCTGGCCTGGCCACCCGGGGCCTTTTGCCTTGAGCAGGTGGTGCTGATTAGAAGCTTCTGTTCTGGGGCCAGAGCTCCCAGTGTGGGAGTCACACGCCTGCTGCCATCACCTAAGCTCAAGCGCAGTCCCTCCTGGATCACGGGGGCCTGCACTGCCAGGGAGCTTCCTCCTGGTGAGGCGAGATCTGTGCAAAGTGGATCCCAGCCGGCTGCCCTGGAGACCCACTTGCCTCCACACCCAGCACGTGGCTGTTCACAACCCTCCTCTGAAAGAGTGACTTGCCAGAGGGTGTTTGCCCTGTGAACCCAGCAGAGGTTCCAATCTGATTTTTGAGCCTGAAATCGGGCAGCTGCAGTGCTGTGAAAGACACAGACCGCTTGCTCCCAAGCTCTGGACACGGGGTTCCAGCAGTCTCCGTGAGCCATTTTGGTATTACATCTCACTAGGCAGAGACAAAACCAAAAGTGGAAATTGCAGAGTACACTTCTGGGTAAAAATATGCATACTCCTTACCTCATCCCTCCTAGATGCCCCCGGCTCTCCCATCCACCCATCCACCCAAAGGATATGGCTACAAGAGAAGCTCTGCCTTCTAGCAGAGTCAGTAATTACTATGTAATACACTTTGGCTTATCTGCTAATGGAAAAAGACTGCTACTAGTAATATCAGAGAATCTGGTTCTTTATAAAGCAAACTGTGCCTCAAATCAGAAGTCCCACGTAGATGCTGGCAGAAATCCCCTTAAAGGGGCTTCAGGCCACCTTCCAGTTTGGGATTTTGCCAGGCAAGAATGTCAAATGTAATTAACGTTAAGCCACGCAGGTGAACTGGCCTGGTTTTCACCCTCTGGTTAGTTCCACCTGTACAGCAGGCAAATCGTTCCAAGAAAAACTCGCGATCATTACGTTCAGTGGGACAGAGCACTATCTCCTACCCAGCTGCATAACGTGAATTACTGCTAGAAGTTAGTGCATAACTTTGTAGCCCCATTTCTCAGATGAGGAACCTGAGTCAGATCTAGAAGGCTTCAGTGGCTTACCCGAGGTCACACAACAAAAGAATCTGGGCTAACATTCAGTCCTCTTGATCCCTTCCCCGCTTACACCCTTTTTAAAACAGGGTTCACACAAGCTCTCTTGTTGCCTGACTTCAGTGCAATGATACAGTAAAGAAGGCACCTGCGTATTTATTGTGGCTATGCCCAGGAATACTTGCTTTCACTAGATGAAAATCTCTTTATGAAACCAAACTTTATATAGTTGTCTTTATATATTCAGCACCTAGCATATCTCAGTTCACTGCATGTGGTCACCGAACACTGGTAGTTCTAAGAGTTGAACTAGATCACTAAAACTGGTTCAAAAACTCCAAAAAAGTTAAAAATAGGATTCCCTTGGGGTTTAACATGCTTAATAGAGGCTACTATTTATTAAGCACTTACTGTGTGTCAGGTAGTATTCTAAGAGCTTTACCTGGAATAAGTTATTTATCATTTACCAAACCCCAGGAGGCAGGTCCTATCATTACCCTTATTGTAGAGATTGGGAAACTGAGGCAAGGCAGAGCAGCAATGTGCCATGCCCAAGATCCAAGCCCAGATAATATCACAGCAGAGCCCATGACCTTAAGATGCTGCTGTCCTGCCTCTAATTAGGTATTTTCTAAATCTGCACTTGATTAAAAATACAGGCGCAGTCCTACAGATGCCTTGCTATTAAGTGAGCCAAATGGCATTTGCTGTTCCTGGCTGCATTGTAGAAGCCAGGGATAGGAGAAGCCTCAAGAAACTTGTCAGAAGTATCAATGCCCTAAGAGACATGTGATCGCCCATGTACAAGTGGTGCTAAATGTTTCCCAAGTGACTTAGCTAAAGGAATGCATTATCCATCTCCTAAGCAACCATGAGCAGCTCAGATTGTCAGAAATGTGAGTCGGCCACCCAGAAAGGGAATTTGCTAAGAGAAGGCTGAACCAAATCAAGCTGCACGAAGACGCAATCTTCCCCAGGCCCTTCAGAGGAAAGTCCTGAACCTGACCGGGGAGGGGAACAGAGTGATTAATAGGAACTCAAGTTAGTAATCACGCCTTCCTCCCCCATCAGAAAGTCCACACAGAAACCTCCAAAGTAGCACTGATCGTATTGACCTAATACTCAATTCCAGTCCAGTGCAAAGAAGTCGGGTCGGGGGAATTCTCTCCTTCAGAGCCACCTAGTCAGGGCAACCAAAGTTACAGAGAAAAGAAATGACCATGACCAGGCATTTGTGTAAAGTCTCGACCACTTGGTTTCAACCCCCGAAGCAAGATGTTGGTCTTTGAGGTGTTGCAGGCACCAGCATGGTGTACCTGTGTGTTTTCCCATTTCCACTGGTGATGCGGTCTCATTATTTACCCAGGAACTGCCATTCTGGACAAGCCAATGCCCAGGAACTTGCTGCTGCTTAGCGAGCATCTCCCTCGAATCCTTGACTCCCTGGCTGGTTGACAGGTTGATAGCTATTGATCAGCTGTTGATAAGGTGCAGCCAGCCCTACCCCTGTTCTTCTCGAGGCACCCACAGGCCACTGGCTCCACAAACATCATTCCACTAGGGGCACGAAGATAGAAGCGTAAGCATATTAATTCAGTTTTGCAAACAAAATTGTGGTCATGCCTCCGATATGAAGGTTCTTCATCTACCTTCAGGGCCAAAGATCCATACCAGCTGTCCTTATGTGGTGTGTAATGCCAACAGCTCCTGATCAGGCTAAGCCTGATAATCAGTCAGACTGCTACCCAGCAGACGCCAGCCTTGTTTCTCCCTAAATGTTTTGGAGATGGGGAGGATGGAAGATGCAAAAAAGATAGGAATAAGTAGGAAGAGGGGGAGCAGATTTGTGGCTGTACAAGTGTGTTATTCCATCTGCACTGCTATAAAGGAATACCTGAGGCTGGGTAATTTATAAAGAAAATAGGTTTTTTGGCTCACGGTTCTGCAGGCTGCACAAGCATAGCACCAGCATCTGTTTGGCTTCTGGTGATGCCTCAGGAAGCTTACAATCATGGCAGAAGGTAAAGGGGAAGCAGGCATATCGCATAGTGAGAGAGGGAGCAAGAGAGAGAGGAGGAGGGTCCAAGCTCTTTTAAGCAACCAGCTCTTGCATGAACTGGGTGAGAACTCCCTTATTACCGTGAGGACAGCACCAAGCCATTCACGAAGCATCTGCCTCCACGAGCCAATGTCTCCTACTAGGCTCCATCTCCAACATCGGAGGTCACATTTCAACATGAGATTTGGAGGGGACAAAACATCCAAACCATATCCAACAAGTCAATCCCAAAGTTTTTTCATCTGTTCAAATGCACAAGAGATTTCAAAGGCAAAATTGAGGGGGAAATGCACGCTAAACTGTCAGACTCTGAATGGTTCATAGCAAAGACCTGGACCACCTACCTCCTGCTAATATAGAGTGGGACACAGGGAAGGCCTACATTGTAATTTCACTTGTCATGTACTATCTGGAAGACCTTGGGCGATTTGTAAAATATTTCTGAGACTTAATTTGTTGTTCTGCAATACTGGACTCATAAGACCTTCCTCATAGTGTTCTTGCGGGACTCATATGCACGGTACCCAGCCTAGGATCTAGCCTGCAGGATGTGCTAGGTTGGTGGCTATTCTTATCACCTCTCCCGTACAGCACCAAGGTCCACAAAGGGGTCTTCCCACTCCCGCTGGTGCAGCCAACCCATCCAATACCACCAGCCCTTGGATTTAGGAGAATCACAGTTTTCTCCTCTAATATCTCTGTCCATAGTCTCAAAATTACATTCTGTAAGTTTACTTCTGTACTTGCTTCTCATAAACTCCACAGGCAAAGTGTTCTGGGACCAAACGGATCGTAGGAATTTGGCCTGGAGAACAAAAGCCCATCAGCTCACTACACTGAACATAAGGCGGCTTGACTTCTCGATCAATCAGCCTAATGGCAGGGGACAATGTCTCCACTGGTGTTTCCTGAGTTTGCATGGAAGCCAGGAACTGGGTGTGCGGTGAGCTGGGGAGGGCGAGCATGGCAGTGAGACATGCATCTGCCCTTGGGTCCAGCCCACAGTCTTTTCATGGGTTCCGAAAGCCCATGGCCATGATATTGACCCCACAGCCAATGCTTCACTTCAGAGATCTGTACAGACACCGCACTTCTCACCTCCTGCACCTGCTCAGAGCCCTCCAGGGGCTCAACAGCCCACCCTACCAGGTCTAAGCTCCTCTGCTGGGCTCCAAAGTGCGGTCATCATCTGGCCCATTCTCACCTGTCCCACTTGATCTCCCCAGCCCCCCGGCACGTGCCCTCACTCCTGGTGTTGCCCCCTGTGCCTGCAGTCATGCTGGCTTCCTTCCCGGAATCCCCTGCCTCTGGCCCCCATGCAAGCCAACCCTGATCCCCTTCCAGGCCCAGTTCCTGCCCTGCTTCCCCCATGGGGCCCACAAAGGCAGCAACTTAGTGCTGTGTCAAAAGTACCAGTCAGTAGCTGGGCAAGGTAGCTCATGCCTGTCATCCCAGCACTTTCGGAGGCCAAGGCAGGAGGATCAAGGCTTGATAGCCCATGAGTTCAAGGCTGCAGTGAGCAGGGATCGTGCCACCGCACATGCCTGTGCAACACAGCAACACAGCAAGACCCTGTCTCTAAAAAGAGAAAAAAACCACTGGTCAGACAGTCCTGGGTTCAAGCCACATCTCTGAGCTACTGTGGACAATTTACCTAATCTTTCAGTCCTTGGTTGACTATTTGGAAAAATGTCAGTAAAAACAGTACCTATTTCATGAACTGGATGGGGGATTAGACAAGATTTCGCTGGTAAATAATCACTTAGCGGCTGGGCGCGGTGGCTCACGCTTGTAATCCCTACACTTTGGGAGGCCGAAGAGGGTAGATCACCTGAGGTCAGGAGTTTGAGACCAGCCTGGCCAACATGGCAAAACCTCGTCTCTACTAAAAATACAAAAATTAGCTGGTGTGGTAAATGCCATGCCTGTAATCCCAGCTACTTGGGAGGCTGAGGCAGGAGAATCTCTTGAACCTCAGAGGCGGAGGTTGCAATTGGGCCGAGATCGCAGCACTGCACTCCATCCTGGGTGACAGAGCAAGATTCCGCCTCAAATAATAATAATGTTAGTAATAACAACTTAGCAAAGTGCTTAGCACACGCTTAAGCCTATACAGGAAATCCTATTTTTAGCTTTATTGGAGTTTCTAGACTGGTTTTAGTTGTCTATCTTGACTCTTAAACCTTCAAAAATAGTAGCTATTATTTAAATTATTATTCCCTAACCATTCCAACCTTCTATTGCAAATTCCTGGGGGCACCTCCAGTCTGTTTCACATCACTGTTACTCATTATGGTTTTTTCATATCTTAGTTTTGTCTAATTGTAAGCTAACCCCCTTTGTTCAGAAAGAGAGAGGGAGGGAGGTGGGAGGAGATTCATTTCAATTGGATAGTTACCGTTGCTAGGAACACAGTGGTTGTATAAGTGAGACTCTCTGAGATTTCATTTATTTATCTAGAAATCGGGAAAACAGCACATGCCCTATTTACTCATAACATTACTGAATGGAAATAAAATAAAGTCATATATGCACGAGCATTTTATAACTGCAATACGCTTCACATGCAGAAGGAATCTGTTTCTCTTATTTGTGAGCATTCTGAAAGTAATCTCCATGGAGTTCCCTTGGAAAATGACTCTGAGCACTTTCCGCTCAATGAGGCCTGTGATTGTTATAGTTTATTTCTTAATTCCCAATTGGACCCCTCTGGCTCCTATGGCAATGGCTGCCCAGCAGGGCCAATGACACCCAGCATGAAAGCCCCGAGTAGTGTAGAGGCAAAAGGTGGGAAGGCCCTGCCTGGTGAGAAGAGCTAACGATGCCCTTCCAGAGGCCCCAGTGCTGCCAACACTGCTCTATCATCCCAGACTCAATTGTCATGAGGTGGCAATGACAATCGCTGCAAATGCTTAAGATTATATGGCATCAACAAGCTCGTTCTGCCTGGGGCTCTTTGATCTATCATTCAATCTCATGTGTAGGATGATAAGACTTCTCCTTCCCTACACTTTCTCATGTGTAAGGAAAGACTTCTGGAAATCCCACAAAATCAGAGAGTCAGAGAACCAAACTTGGGCAAACCTTCAGCAAGTGTTGCCAAGTCAACCATGTCCCAAGTCCTGCAAGACATGGAGTCTAAGAACACAAAGATGGATGCGCCACAGTCCTTCCTCTTAGGCACAGCGGAGAAGGCAGACGTGGTTATGCTTGCATGGTAGGAACTGCAACACCACCGACCACAAAGAAGGCAGGCACAGAGGTACTGAGGCAAACAAGGAGCTTCTGGTAGCTAACAGGCGGTAGGTGGAGGGAAAGGACTCTGGAAAACTGTACAGCCTTGCATGCCATGCTAAGGGATCCAAACACTGTCTCTGCTTGATGACCAATGTCTCTTCTTCCTTCCTAACTAGAAAGAATGTTTCTCTTTGCTGCTGTTTACTTTTATGCAGGCAAAAACCTGAGAACGAGAAGTAAACAATTATGTCACCCCTAAAGTGTGGGAACCCTAGAAAGAAGGCTTCTGTCAACCTTGCATGAGTTCTATGTGGGGTCAGGGAAGCTACGGAACGAGGCGCCGGCCGGCACAGGTTTGGGGACTGAGGACACTCTCCCCATGTCCAGCATGAGAGCGCGCTCAGGAAGCAACTTCTCCCATAATATAGGGGTGTTCCTAGTCTTAAAACTGCACCATCTCTAGAGGCCGGGATGGCTCACTACTTCCCTTCTGGCTTTCAAATGCCTGTTGGTACTTACATCCTTCTCGATCTTGTTCCAAAATAACATATCCTAAAAATAACTAAAGAATTAAGCTTTTCCCTAATCATCTATCATGACACTGAGAGCTCTGCACCTTCATCGGGATTGCGGCAGGGGTGCAGTGGGTTAGCATGGTCTGAAAACATCTCCAGGGGATTCGGATGTGCCTAGGGTAAGAATCATTTGCAGAGGGTGGATTTGAATTGTGGCATGCAGACTTGGATCACACTTCAGACACGTCTTCTCATGACCTGCCCACGAGCGTGTGTGACAGCACGTCCCAGAACAAAACGCTGGCGCCTTTTCTCTCCATGGCAACATTGGCACTTATCTGCTCAGATGAATATCCCCAAGCTGACTCATCTGGAAGGAGGACAAATCCACATGGCCAGCCAGGAGCCGACCCACAGGACCTCTTCAGTGAATGCCATGGGGCATCTTTGACAAAGCAGGGCTTCCTCCTTGTCGTTCACTGTGACAGCCTGATATTCCAGGTATGTAACGTGGCCTGGAGGTGGCAAGTACAGGAGAGCAAAGTGGTTGGCCCGAGGGAGAGGTGTTTTACAATTCATCAAAAGGTGGCTCCTCAAGGCGGTGACCAGGACTTTGCTCCCCGTACTCACAGTTCAAGGGATATGGCTGCTGCTCTGCCAGTAATTATTGCTGGATGAATAAATGATTAAATGACAACCAACATTACATTAAAGGACAAGTAGATTTCATAGTTTGTGTGAAATCTGTTTCCTTGGAAGCCTCAGGCACTGGGTCATTCTCTGCCTAACTTGCTATTTCTTCACTGGCCGCCCGTATGCTATGCCACCATGTATAACAAGGATTGCCCTTTGGAGGGACCACTCTTCTCACAGGAAGCAGTACTCTGGTAGTGGGAGAAGCATGGAATAAAGAGGCTAAGGAAGGAATCTAAGTTCACATCCTTCCTTTGCCACTTATTGGTTATGTGATCTTGAGCAAGTCATTTCATTTCTTTGAACATAATGGCTTCCAAATCCATAAAACAAAGGAACTAATGAACCAGGCTTGAGGGAATGAAAATGACATGTGGAAGCATTTTGCAGCTGCAAAACACGAGACAAATGTTGGCTATTATTAAACCAGAAAGCAAAAATGATGGCAAAACAAAAGTTTATAAAGGCAACACTACTACTGAAGATTCAGCATCTAGTTTCTTCTTCAATATGAACAGAACATGCATGCCAAGTGTCCATCAAGGATTTGATGTTAGAACCTTGACTTGTGGTTAGTTATGAACTCATGGTCTCATAACCACATAGGAGAATGAATGAATGATTGTTCCTCTTTTATCTGCTATAAGTTATATAATAGTGCTTTGAAACTTAGAAAACTGATGAATAATTCTCATATGTATTTTTGCTTCTGTGACTGTTTTTAAAGAGTATTTTTTGGATTAACTGGCCCTAATTAAGTTAAATAAATTCTTATGCTATCAATGATGCACAAATAGAATGACTATTAATGAACATTACCTATCCCGTATTAATAATTATTTTAACCTATGCCTCATTTTTAAGTTTTCATCCTAAAATCAAATTTTAATATATTATAAATTTCTATCCTCCTTTTATATTACCTTTTCTTAATCTCTGATGGGAGTTTTAATGCATGAAGCACCACAAGTCAAAAGACAACTAAAGGTCAAAAGATGACAAAGTCTTCACTGGGTGTGACAGTCAGTAACTTACTAAAATCAGTCTCTGTAGATGGCATTTTGTTTGCTCTAATTATATTTCCTTTTGAAATTTCAGTGTTTGATTTCGTTGGGTACTTTGTCTGCAATTAAAGCACTCAACCATTAGGGGGGCAGTAGTGCCAGGATCATGCTATGTTCAAATAAGCTGTCTAGAATGGATGAATAGATTATTTCTTAGCTGAGGAGACAGATAATTTCTTCTTCGTTTTTTTTTTTTTTAAAGAACTCTATGAAAGGAGGCATAATTCAACAGTATTTAAAAGGTCACTTTAGTTTTTAATACTTAATATAATATTGAACAGTTTTGAAACTTAATACTTCATCCTTAAATACTCAGTCACTACTTAATACAACTGTTTTTCTCCAAAAACTGAATGTAGAGTTCATCTCGAACTCATTGTGAATCCTGAGCTTGGATTCTAACACTTATTCTTTTAGCTTTTGGACTTCAGGCCTATTGTTTCAACACACTTGCGGGTGTTGGTCCCTGGTTATCACAGCTGTGCCCTAGAACCACAAGAATTTCATTTTCTTGCTAAGCTCTTGGAGATCAGTAGGGGAGAAGCCTTTGCTTGGTTTTCTGGCTGTTAGATTAGCAAAAGGCCCTTTGGAATTTACTGACCCGTCTCCCAGGCAGAAGGGAAAAGTGACAAGACAGGTACAAGCATGTGCGGGCAGCAAACACTATGAAACTTAATGGAAGAAGTGACATTCACTCTGTCCCTATGTGGTTCCCTTAGTAATGCCTTTAACTCAGGATCAGATACAAACTGTTTTACAACTGCTTTGTTTTAATAAAAGAGCTTTTATCTTTCATTGTGGAACAGTGCATCTTGAAAACAGCATTTGGCCAGAGGGCTAGGCACGGTTTTAAACTTGCATCTAGAGATTCCTTCACTAGAGGCAACCAGGACTGGGACCACCCCACTCCGGTGTTGGCCATGAGTCGCCTCCCGGCCCCTCTGCTGCCTATGGCCAGCAACCTCGGCCCCAGGGCTTCCGCAGATCAACACTCACAGCCCCTGGAAGGAGTCACACTTTCATCTTCTGATTTTGCAAAGGAAGACATCTTTTAGCAAATCAAATGATAGTGCTGCACTCCATCTTATCTGCACATCTTATTCGTGTTTTGTTTCATTTTAAAATAAATTTGGATTCTCCTGATCAGATTTACAAGGCTGGGCAGGGGGAGGCCTTAAAATGACTCACTCTGTAAAAATGCGTTAAAAGTATTTTAAGCTTCAGAAATATATCATCACAGTATGGAATGAACCAAATTTGTAGTCAGAGTGGATGTGTGAAGGTACACTTGTCCCACGATCTGGATCAGCGAGGTACCCTTTCTTTCCATGGCTTCATGACTCATGGTCATTCTGCTGTGCCTGGCTCTGCTGTGGCAGGACACTCATTCCTTCGCGGGGCAGGGAATTCTACCGTCCGGCAGCTCCACTTGCTTGGAAACCCTTCCTGATGGGCTAGCATTGGCCCCATTGCCATCTTCACCCACAAGTCCCCTCCTGTCACCTGGAGTAAGTGAGCACACCCTCTCTGCCACGGACAAACGAGCAGAGTCTTAAAAGCAGCTTTCCCCCCTCACTTGGGCTTCTCAGGCAAACTAGAACGCCTTCCTCATGAGGCCTGCCTCATCCCAGTTACCCTCTTCCAGGTGTGCTGTGGGTGAAGGCACTTCAGACTAGCTCCAGTGCTGAGCACAACACACCAGTGGGGTCCAGCCAGCGCCGGAGACAGAGCAATGGGATGCCCGCGATCGGAGCCCTTGCAAGTTCCTATCTGCCTCTGCTACTCACTCGCAGTGTGACATGGGGAAAGTCAACACCTCTGTGCCTTGGTTGGCTCATCACTTCACAGGGCCATTGCTAATAAACTGAATTAAGTGATCTGAGATAAGACCTACAGTGCATGCCTTGTACAGTGACTAGCACACGAGGATGTTCTCCATAACCTGCTAATACGGAAGCCCTCCTTATCCATGAGGGATATGTTCCAAGACCCCCGGTGGATGCTCAAAACCTCAGAGGATATGGGACCCTATATATACTATATTTTTTCGTATACATACCTACCTGTTAAAGTTTTATTTATAAATTAGGCACAGTAAGAGATTATCGCAACACTAATAAAGCAGAAGAATTATCACAATATATTGTAATAAAAGTTATGTGACTGTGGTCTCTCTTTCTGTCTCAAAATATCTTATTGTTCTTACTCACCCATCTTGTGATCTGTCGATCTGATCACCAAGATGTCTTTAAGTGACTAACAGATAGGCAGTGTAGACAGCGTGGATCCACTAGATAAAGGGATGAGTCAGGTCTCAGGACAGATGGAGTGGGACAGTGTGTGATTTCATCAAGCTGCTCAGAACGGCATGCAATTTAAAATGTTCGCATTGTTTATTTCTGGAATTTTCCATTCAATATTTTTGGGCTGCAGTTACCTGACCACAGGTAACTGAAACCACAGAAAGCGAAACGGCGGATAAGGGGAGACTACTTAATTATAAGGCCCAACCGGAACACAACAATATCACAAGACCTCAGGTCAACCCAAGTGGCTTTCACAGAGGCAACAGCGTGGTCTGGCAGCCTTGGGTCTGGTGGTCAGCACAACCAGTTAAGTCCTACGTCATCTCAGCAATTTACTGATTCACTCATGATATTAGCTGAGCACATACTAATGGTGCTCAGAATGAAAAAGATCAGTTAAGACAGCCGCCGACCACGAGGAGTCTAGCAGGATGGACAGACGTCCCCAGCAACGAAGCCTGGCCAGTGTAGCAGGTACTGTTACAGGTACAAGCAGGGGATGCGGGAGCAGGGATGGTGCTGGGGGTGAGAGAACGCTTCCAAAGGGAGATGCCACTCTCTGGCCAAAAACCAAACCAGACCAAAAGATCACCACAGCTCCCATCGCTGACCCTCACATCAAGACCCAGCTGAGCAGGCAGCATGCCTTGACTCCGGAATGTCTGTCAGGGTAATGCTTGCCATTGTCCCCACTGCCGGCTCAAAGAAAATTCCAGAGAGCCTGCACAAGGCCTGGCTCAGGGCCACGCAGTGCCCTGCCCAGCCTGGGGCCCTCGCATCTTCCGAGCTCACACGGGCTTGCCTGTGGCACAGAGTTTCAAACTGTAGGCAGGTGTCTTTGGTATAAATTCAGAGCCCTCTGCTTCCTCTGCCCACTCATAACTTCACACTTTTCCCCAAGCTGCCTTTGCCTGGAACAGCTTCCCTAAACGAAACATGAAGCCTCTTCTCTTTCTCTCTTTCAAAAAATCAGTCTCCTCCGAGCCCATCTGCTCTAGAAAGCCGTCCAGATAAAATGGCTGCTCTTCCCTTTCGACAGGCCACAAGACCAGTAAACATCACAGGCCCCCAGGTGTCCCCAGTCCTGCAGATGGACATCACTTCCTGCCTATCTGTCCTGAAGGAGCAGGGGAATGAGGCAGGCAAGGCTGCTCAGCTTGGCACTAAGGACTGAAGGGGAATGAAGGTCGTCCTGCAGCCCCATTGACTAGTCAAGGCAAGTGTGCAGAGGTAGGAAGGGATGGAGAGCAGAACGAGATGCCTGGAGCCAGGAGTCCTGGGTTCACAGCATCGTTCCTCCCTTACCCAGCATGTGACCTTGGCCAGGGTGTTCTACCTCCGAGTGCCTTCACTTTCTCACCTGAGCACCAGGAGGCCTGATGAGAGGAGGCAAAGACAAATCTCCCTTCCCTATAGGCTGGGATTAGGAGGTGATCCCTTCTCCCTGAAACCGGGACAACTGCTCTTCCATCTAGAGTCAGGCAAGTAAAAAGTTAATGTTCTCAGTCTATAAGTAGTTCCTGCTGTTGCAGATAAAATTAAATGGCATGGCTATTTTGGTGGAGAATCAGGTAAAAATGCTGAAAAATAAACTCTCCATCAAATGCTAGTCCCTTCCCCCAACAACGTTCTTTTTTTATACCCATTTGGTATTTGCTTTTAATTCTGGCTGATTGTCAATTTTAAAACCTGATGCATAGAGTGGCTTGCTATTCCGGAGGCGTTATTTTAAGATGAAACAATGTAAATTCTGACTTTGGATGGCAGATGGCTGGCAGTTCACTGTTTGGCAAACCAACTGGTATGGTATGTTGGAAGTTCAGAGCAGCAGGAATGCGGCTCCATTGGAAACCACCACAGATGCTCGGAGGGAGCGGGGGAGGGGTACAAGCTGGTCAGGAAATTAAGAACAGTACTCTGAGCTCAGAGGGGAAAAAAGATGATAATTAGCTGAAAGTTTGCTTCTTCCAGTCTCGACTTTTTTTTTTTTTTTTTTTTTTGGTTGCTTCACAGAAAACCAGGAAGGCCCTTAGAAGTCAGCACAGAGAAAAGCTTCTAATTTTGCTTCCTATCTGTCTGTTTGGCAAAGCTCAGCCTCCATGAGATATTCAAAGGTGGGGACAAAGCAGATAAAGAGAATATCAAATGTGTTATATAAGCGAGAGGTGCAAATGGCAGTGTTAAATAAGGAGCCTAACTCCCAGCTGATTTTTAAGATCAATTAATGAATGATATTTTGGGGAGGAAGGATTCACAGTTTAGGGAAAGACCCACGCACATGAAATTGACAACTCCAATGTTTCTACATCCGGGGATTTCCCAAAACAAAGTCGGAGGGTGGTAATATCTACTGTGCATTTGGATTACAGGCCCAAGACAGTACACGTGATATCTGGCACGCCCATCTGCCGAGGGAATGAACTGTGCCCAAATTCACCCAGCAGTTAAGGTCTGTTCAAAGTCAATGAAGATACAGAATGCTTTTCAAGAAGGTCACTCACACTGCAAACCACAAATCGTCAGCCTCCTGTCAAGTGGAATGTAAAAACAACTCATTAGAACAGGAACTCTTGATATTTTTTGGTGTATGAGAATTAGGCTATTTTTCATTTCCTCCAAATTCTCACCATGGCTGGAAGGCAAGTGGGGAAGGTTTTGCTATTGGTCCCACAATTCTCTTCCTTGGGCACTGAAAGTGAACAGGAAGATAAAATGGCCAAGTGTGATGGAGATTCGCCAAGGATGATTTCGAGACACAACAGCATCTCCCAATCTACTCTTGCAGTCAGGGTGCTGTGACACCTTTGACGCCCCAGGAGCCTGTGTTGATGATTCTGCAAAACAGCAACAATTCTATCTGGGTGTTCATGGATGACAGTCTAACCAAATCCAAAGCACCACAGTCCGAAATGACTGAATAACTCATACGGGCAGGGACAATTCAGTTACTATATTGCAATCAGGTGTTCTGGCCAGAACAAGCAGCTAATTCCAATTCTAATTCATAGCATAATTGCTCATCTGGACCTTGAGTAATGAGCAAAGGGTCTCTAGGTTTTTAAATAATCGTTTAAGTGTGTGTGGACCGTTTTCTCTGGCAGAGAACAGGGTAAGGTCTAGAGAAAGGAAACAGTTCTCTCTGACCCCTACTCCCACCCTCAGTTAGGTAAATACATGTGTTCTTCTTTTGTTTTTTGTTTTGTTGTTTTGTTGTTACAGGGTCTTACTTTGTAGCCCAGGCTGGACTGCAGTGGTGCCATCAAGCTCACTGCAGCCTCAACCTCCCAGACTCAAGTCATCCTCCCACCTCAGCCTCCTGAGTAGCTGGGACTACAGGTGGGTGCGCACCACAACAACCAGCTAGTGTGTGTGTGTGTGTGTGTGTGTGTGTGTGTGTGTGTGTGTGTGTGTGTGTGTGTGTGTGTGTGGTGACTGCATCTTGCTTGGTTGCCCAGGTTGGTCTCAAACTCCTGGGTTCAAGTGATCCTCCCACCCCTGTGTGTTCTTCCTTTCAGTAAACATTTAGGACCTGTGAGGCACAGTTCTCAGCACTGGGGGCCCTGAAGGTTACGCAGATGTAGATCCTGCCCTAAAGAGCTTTACAGGCTAAGGGGACTACTAAGGTGAGAATATACATCGTCATGCTACAAGACAGGCACGGTAGGGCCTGGAGGGAAGATATGGATCACGTGCTAAGGGAACTCCCACTTCCTAGCTCCTCCAAGAGGTGCTGTGTCTGCGCAGGTAAATTTGGACGGGAGGTCCCCACCCAGTCTGACGGGTTCCTTGCACATGCCAGGTTGGCCCTGTGAGTCACGGAAGGAATAGTGTTTCCAGCCATTCCTTTTATCTCATGGGCCGGAAAAGCACGCCTGACATGGCCATATTCCCTCCCTGGCCAGTTGCCAAAGAACTTGGTTCAAAGGCCTGAGAAGGAGCTGGATCAGGATCGCTCTCCCAGCTGGAAAATGAACTAGCAACTGCAGGGCTTCAAGTACCCAAGGACCTGAAGACAAAGGAACCTACGGAGAAAGGCTGAAAGTGCTAGAAGAGTGGACATTTCTGGGGGGAAAATGTTTTGCTCACCAACCACCAAATGGGAACCACACCAGTGACTGAGGCTGGCGAGGGTCACTGAATACATTTCTTATGAGTGTTCTTAACACCAAATGAATCAAAAAAATTGTTCCCCAAGATGCTGCAAAAACAGCACGTCCTTCTGTTGTTTCACAAATGACATTTAAGCAGTTGAGTGTATTAGGGAGGGAGGCAGGGGCAGGAACAAGAGCAGGAGAGCTGGGGCCAGGAGGGAAGGAGGAAGTCAGGGGCAGCTCCCAGTGGCGCGGGCAGTTGCGTTTGAAAACCGACAAAGAGGAAAAAGGCAGGGACTAACGGCCAGGAAGGAAATCAGGACCAGCAGGCAGCTCGAGCTTGATTTTTCAGCCTCCAGAGCAACAATTTGCAAAAGGGTCCTCATCTGACACCTCCTTTCTCTTGGGAGAAATTGGTGGGGGAGCAGGGACAACGGGTCTCCCTGTGGACCCTGGACTCTAGGGGGACTGCTTGGAGAGAAAACAGTGGAGGCCTAGGAAACTCAGAAAGGGGATGGAGCAAAGAGATGTCTCAGTGGCCTCCCCTCCCATGCCCAGTTCCACCACCCACAGCCTTAAATATACAAGCCCACTTTTTTTTTTTTTTTTTTTTTGCTTATGGTATGACTTTGGGTGGGAATTTCTGATTTAGTGGCTGTAGTTAAATTTGTATCAAGAAACGTGTCCTCAACAATGCAGGAGGAGAAAGGGAGGACACTTGCTCATGGGGGCAGGGACAGGAGCAAGCACTAATCACAAAATATTTCTCTTTGGCAAGAGGTCCTGTTTTCATTGACAGGAGTGCTCCTAAGTAAGGACGATATTTCCTGAGCATCTGCACTGGGGCAGGCACTAGGCATGCTGTATAAAGTATGACATTAATACTGCTGCAACTCAGTGGTGCAGAGATTTTTATATCCATTTTACAAGGAGGAAAACTGAGGCTCAGACAAGCCAACGAACTTGCCAAAGTCTCACAGCAAGTGAGGGGAAAGTTGGAATGGGAACCCGGGTCTCTCTCACTCCAGGATTCTTCGTCTGCTTCCTTGGGGCCAAAAGACGAAAACAAAATGAAACAACGACAAGAGAGAGGAGGGAAGGAAGCCTCGCAGATCATGAGAAGGAAACGATTTCCCTTTCCAGGAAATGAGGGGGAAGACAACGGTAAGGAAGAAAAAGTTCAAAACTAAGAAAACCCACAAAACTTTAAAGGATGACAGTACGATGTCAAAAAGTTGAAATTTTAAAACAAATAAGTTAGGAAGACATTTTTTACATTACAAAAGTCATATATATTTATTAAGTGATTTTCTTAAGAGTTACTTTAAGTAGGTGCCTCCTTACATTTAAATAAAAGTCTTTCATTAGAAGTGCTTTCTGTGTTTTGCTTTGTTGTGTTGTGTTTTTGGGAGACAGGAGCTCCTGAGAAGGCAAGCATCTTAAGAGGCCTCCAATGTCTCAAGTATGCTCTCCCAGTAATGGCTTGTGTTTACATCCCGAGTTTGCAGCCTTCAAGAATCCTGGTAAAATGCAAGGACTGGCTTGCACCCCTAAAACCCAGGACGTATGAGTCTTATAGTACTGGGAGAATGCAAAGGGAAGTTACCTATTTCAAAATTTTGCCCAGGGCCACAACCACGTAAAAGTGAGTTACAGCCAAAAATAATGAAAGAAAAGACTTAGAACCCTAAGTCCCAAGCACAAGTCTCCCAAGGAAGAGTTTAATAAACTTCGGAGACAGACCCTAGAGCCTTTTGGTGGAGGCAGATGTAGGCATTATTAATATGACTCATAACTGCTAAGGCAGTCACTGAGCTTGGCTAAATCTTCCCCAACACACTGCATTTCAAAAGGCCTGTTATCTTGGGAAAGGTGGCATTAAGTGTCTCTGGTAATTATGTCTCCAAGAAACAATACTCCTCTCCTCATTAAATGTTTCAGTGGGTGGCCCTGCTGAAGGCAGGAACTTAACCCTGGAGCTACAGAGCCTGAGAGGGCATGGAAACGGGCCACCAAGGAGTTGTCCAACTCTATCAGCCAAGGTGAGGCTGTTTATCGGGTTGAAAACTGCTTTAATTAGGGACCTAGGCAAAGAAGCAGACAAGTGACTGCTGTATAAATCCCTTTAAGAGATAAAGGTACTGGGAGTCACAGGCTTGCCCAAGTATGTTCCACTCTGGTCTTGCCTTTTTGGAGTGGCAGGCATGAACTCCAAAGCCAGTTCCACATTTGAAACTCATTATCTCCATACACAGGCAGCAGAGAGCCACTCTCCCCCACTAGAGGGTGGACTCCTCCCAGATCTGACCCAGACAGTACATCCCTGTCGCCCAAATGAATATCTTCCAAATAAACTGCAAAAAGGATGTAATACCAAAAGCCCAGAATTGTGCCTGCTTTGGGGCTGGAGTTCAAACCCAGAGTTAGACAGTTTCGTGTATGCTACAAACATTTATCGAATCCATGTTGCACACAGAACAATATGTGAAGTGCCGTCAGACGTTCGGCAAGGGGCCCTGTCTCCCATCAGCTTAAAATCTTGCTGGGGGGCTCTGGGATGATGGCAGCTACAATGAGATCCTTCCAATGTCTCCCAGAAAAATCACACAGATGCACTAAATGCATAAGCAACAACTCACAGACAACATTTACAACAAAACTAGGTGACAAGGTATCCCCAAGAACTCCAAATTACAAGTCCATGAATGAAACCACCAACAACCACAAGGCATGTTTTTTGTTTGTTTTTTGTTCTTTTTTGAGGAAGGGGGCATCTCTGCTAGAGAAAACAGAGGGAAGCAATAGGGCATCTGGTGGACCTGGGCACAAAACACCAAAATATCCAACAAGCATTCCCTGGAAGACACAGACAGCCATTTTGACAACAGTGGCTAACACTGAGAGCAGCTTGGCTCACTCAAGCAGCTTGGCTCACTCCAGCAGCAGCAGCACACGCAAGGGCCTGTGTTACGAGGCCTGGGTGAAGAGGCTGGAGCTGCACTGTCCCCAGGGACTCTCAATGAACATGTCCAGGGCCTCACTGCTGGGAGTGGAATCAAAATTGAGCAGATAGAAATAACAGAGATAAAGGAAGGAGGTTGGCCAGGTAAAAGTGGAGGAGGGGAACAGAAACAGGACATCTCAGAGGGCCAGCTGCACAGTTTTAACACTGTGGGATGCAACAGAAGATGGAACAGTGCTGTAAGGTTAGAAAGTCCACATGACCTACTCCTCCTCCCTCAAACTCAAGACCACTGTTCACGAGAAAAGGCAAACTTTGCAAAAGGGCCTCTGTCTGAGACCGTCCTCCATCTGAGACCATCCTCCATCTGAGATCGTCCTCCATCTGAGACCATCCTCCATCTGAGACCATCCTCCTCTTGGGGGACAAAAGCTTGGTGGCAGCAGTGGAAGGAGTGAAAAGAAGGAGCCTCTCTGTGGCAGTAAATACTCTGGTCAAATTTCATACAAAGCTGAAGAAGGATTAGAAAGAAAACGAAGAGGAGGAGAAGGAGGAAGAGGAGGAGGTGGAGAAGGAGAGGAAAATCCCTACAGATAATGAATGCATGCCAAAAAGATGGACCAAAAAACTATAAAATATGCAGCATATTACTTTAAAATGAACTAAAGGCCTTTAAAAAGTGATATAAGACCTGAAATAATATTAAAACATAATGTCAGAGATGAAAACTAAACTAGAAGGAACATAAAAACCAGTATATAAAACAAAAGCTGTGTAAAGGAAATGGGAGGTGCAAAAGGTATCTTTTTTTAAAATCAAGAAGAAAAGAAAAAAGGTAAGAAGGAACTCAGAGAAAGAGACAAATACTGAGGATGGGCAAAGAAGATCCAATCAATGGAGAAGAGGAGTCTGCTCCTGATAAAGAAAAGCAAGTCAAGGGGACAGAACACTGTTAAAGTACATAACTGAAGACAACTTCCCTGAAATTAAAAGAAATCAAAACTACACGTTGAAAAAGCACATCACATGCTTCACACTATCAATCCATGGACAATTTTTCCATAGACCTGGGGTGGGGATCGGGATGGGGGGATAAGGGAATGTTTTTGGGATCAAACTGTTTCACTTCAGATCATCAGGCGTCAGTTATATTCTCATAAGGAGTGTACAACCTAGATCCCTCACACGTGCAGTTCACAATAGGGTTCCTGCTCCTATAAGAATCTAATGCTGGTGGCTCACGCCTGTAATCCCAGCACTTTGGGAGGCCGAGGCGGGCGGATCACGAGGTCAGGAGATCGAGACCATCCCGGCTAAAACGGTGAAACCCCGTCTCTACTAAAAATACAAAAAATTAGCCGGGCGTAGTGGCGGGCGCCTGTAGTCCCAGCTACTTGGGAGGCTGAGGCAGGAGAATGGCGTGAACCCGGGAGGCGGAGCTTGCAGTGAGCCGAGATCCCGCCACTGCACTCCAGCCTGGGCGACAGAGCGAGACTCCGTCTCAAAAAAAAAAAAAAAAAAAGAATCTAATGCTGCCGCTGATCTGACAGGAGGCGGAGCTGAGGTGGTAATGCCAGCTCACCTCCTTCTGTGCAACCAGGTTCCTAACAGGCCATAGGCCAGAACCGGGGGTTGGGGACCCCTAGGTTATATGATCTGATAATGCAAATATGACATAGCCACAAAAATTGGGGGGAAACAAGAGAATAGAGGGATTAAAAAATGTTTAACTGTTTTCAGTAATCATCACTGATGGTATAGCGCTCTTATTATTGTTATTGGGACTATTGTAATAATTACGGGATATTCTAATTCTGTATCTTTAAGAACCAAGATTTGCCAGGAGTGGTGGCTCACATCGCCAGGCATGGTGGCTCACACCTGCAATCCCAGCACTTTGGGAGGCCAAGGTGGACAGATCACCCGGGGGCAGGAATTTGAGACCAGCCTGGCCAACATGGTGAAACCCCGTCTCCACTAATGATAATAATACAAAAATTAGCTGGGCATGGTGGTGCACACCTGTAATCCCAGCTACTCAGGAGACTGAGGCAAGAGAATTGCTTGGACCCAGGAAGCAGAGGTTGCAGTGAGCCAAGATAGCACCACTGCACTCTAGCCTGGACAACAAGAGTAAAACTCCATTTCAAAAAAAAGTACCAAGATTCTTGGTTTGGAAGAAAGGAGATACAAATGCAATATAAAAGTAGTTGAGTGAAAACTATACAGTTCTGAATTTGAGTCTGAAATATCAGTTTGAACTCACAGTATTTGATAACACCCCTCCCTCCCCAACATACGCACTACACATTGTATGGTGTGTCCACTGAAAAAACTAGAAATAATGACCAAACCAATAGCAATAAGCATCCATGCTGCCCCAGCTGGTCTTGAAATACTTTTTTCTGATTAAAAGAAAGCAGATTTCTTGGAGAAATGGTGGAATCCAGGTCTGGGGCAGGAAATAGACAACGTGAGCCTATACCAGATGGTAAAGAAGATAGGAAAGCTCCTGAAGTCATGGTAAAAGGACCCCAGAGCCAATGTGAAGGAGCTCCAGCTGGTCAAAGATAGGAAAATAAGAGTTTCAATAAAGATAGTAATTGCAATGGACTGAAACCCATCAAATGTGTGTAAATCCATGAGTTCATAATATTATTGAAAACGACCTAATTGGTTCAGTCTTAAGGAAGACAGGAAACCAAGTCAATGTCTGAAAAGTGGGTCGAGAGAAAGCATTAAGCATTTATTCTGACTTTCCTGTAAGACCTGTGCCACTGAGTACCCAAATGGAAAATGACATGGAAGCTCCTTCTTAGAAAATTATCCCAATTAATAAATGAAAACAAATTCATAGAGTTGAAATAATACGATTTTGCAACTCTCAGTAAAGCAATGGATTTGTGCCTTAAGCATCATTGGCTGTTAACGTGAAAAGGAGCAAAAACCACATGGTGTAGGTTTGCCGATGAAAAGCATCACTACTTTGTTAAAGAGATAGACTTGGGTCTGGTCCACACCTCTGGATGCAGCTGCCAATGTTCAGGAAATACAAAAGACAGAGGAACTGCTGAAGCATGCCAGCTTATGGGGATCTGCAGATTAAAAACCCACAGGAAAAAAGAAGGAAGAGAGGGCAAGCTGCGTGTTTTAAAGGAGACTTCAAAGACACATATTTTTTTTTTTTTTTTTTTTAATGGGCAAGGCTCAAAAACAGCAGCAAGGAACGTGCACGCTGTGTTGATCTGTTCGGGCTGCCGTAACAACATACCATGGACTGGGTGGCTTATGAACAACACGAATTTATTTCTCACAGTTCTGGAGGCTAGGAAGTCCAGAATCAAGGTAGATTCTATGTCTGGTGAGGGACTGCCTCCTTTCTTACAGTGTCCTCACACAGCAGAATGGGCAAAGGGTCTCTTTACAACGGCACTCATCCTATTTATCAGGGCTCCACTCTCACAACCAAATCACCTTTCAAAGGTCATCATCATCACCTACTAATCCCATCACCTTGTGGGTGAAAATTTCAACAAAGGAATTTGAGTGGGACATAGCATTCAGTCCACAGCACACACCTGGGTGACAAATCCGTAAAGAAATGCATGGAAGTGGCTGTTACAAGAATTGGGAAGGGTGAGGAGCTGTAAAGCTGTAACTGGGGTGGGGCAGATGGAGGAGAGGCTCTTAGGGGGACTAGCAAAGTTATGCAGTAACAAGGTTGTTTGGCTTACATAAAATCACAAAGCCACACATTTGCTTAATATTGCTTTCTGTATCTGTCTTTTTTTACAACAAAAAGAAGAAAACAAACTTTTTTCAAGGTCTGCCTTTCCTGTAAGATCTGTGCCACTGAGTAACCATACGGAAAACAACATAGAATGTTCTAAGCTTGATCTAGAGAAAAGACAAGAAAGAAGGCTGCCAACTACCGTTACCAGCAGTGAATGTCCAGACCCCTGGTGCTGTGGCTGCCCAACCCTCACAGCACAGACCACTTAGTCCCAGCTCCCCAGATACATGAAGGGCCTTCAGGTCGATGGCACAGCAGTCTGGGCTGCTGGTTCCACTCTGACTGTGGTACCACGTAGGACCTGGGCTGCTACTGAATTCCTTGTGAACAGACCCCTTCTTCAATCCTAGCTCTAGTACTGAATACCAGTTTCCTATGGCTCAGACTCCAGGAGCCCGGTGCCTATGGAACAAAGTCACTCCTTATCTCTAGACCTCCAAGGAATCTCCAAGTCTCCACTCTAAACCTCAGTCCCCTGAGGGCTGGGCCTCCCTGATATGGCATATCTTCCTGGCTAGACCCCTGGCCACCACCTGCATCTGCAGACCCTCACCCAGGACCACCACCAATCCTCTGCTTTCCAAGGGCACCCAGGAAAGCTACTAGGATCCCAGCAGCCAGGACATTCAGAAGCTACCACTTTAAAAGAGCCACCCTGACTGCCTGACCCCACAGAGGGACAGGCCTTCCCCTGCCATGTATGTACTGAAGAAATGCATCCATCAGGTGAGCCCACTCCTCCAACCTCACTGCAGTTCTTTTCCTTTGACACAGCATGCCACCCAAGCCAGGTTTTCTGTTCCTTACACGTGTCTCAGAAATCTCCAGAATTTTGAAATGCCCTCCGACACATCGTTCTTTTTGATGACTTCATTTGCTTTGGTTTGGAAAGTGACAATCAAAGAAGTGATGGCCTACTCGGCAAATGTCATATCTATCGGCGATAAAGCTTCCATCAAAAATCCCGAGTCTCTGACAATGACTTTCTCCTATTTCCTCTCCATTCATCCACAGCTGTCCTCTCTTTGCAAACATGAAACAATACTCAGCACTTCCATGCAAACTGCCATGGCCTCTGGGCCAGGAACTGGGCTGGGCAGGAAGAGGCGGCACTGGAAAGGCTGGGGGCATCGTAGTGTTGTAGGCTGATAAAGGAGGTGCACGGAACCCGGCCCTGACACAGTAAAGAGTTATGGGCTACCACAGGTTAAAAGTATGCTAAATGCCAGTGAAGAAAATACATTATGCTACTGACACAAATCAAAAGCCATAAAGTTTGCACATGCATATATGTAGCCATTCCTCTTCTGGGAACTTATTCTAGGGAACTAACCATGGATGCAAGAAAAGATTCAGCTGTAAGTATGCTCATCACGGCAGCATTTATGAGCAGGAAATGTTGGAAGCAACCCAAATGTCAAACAACACTAAAGCCGTTAAATAAGCTATGGTATATCCATTCAATGAGACTACATAGTGATAACAATAAAATAACATTTTATTATATAACTGGTATATATATATATATATATATATATACACACACACACACACATATTACATAACTGGTATGAAAAGATATTCATGAAATGAATATGCAGCGAAAATGCAGGTTACAAATATTTTCACTGATAATACCTTCACCGATGCATTTGTAATCATTCTAATCTGATTTTACTGACCGATATTTCACGAATATACTGATTCTATTGTTTAAGGTATTTATTCCCATAGAGAAAGGAATAGAAGCATACATACCAAAATGTTTTAAAATATGATTAGCAAAGGTACTATTATTGTCTTACCTGTTTTCCACTATAAACATAAATTGCATAATCAAAAAGTAAAACAAAGTTCTGTTCCTCCAGAAAGCTCCTTAGAAACTCACCTGATTCTCTCGCTTACTCATTCTTGCTGTTGTGTCCTCGCATTTGTGTGTTCAGGGTGTGTGCTACCCTTGAATCTTGCCAACAATGTGGATTCCATCAATTTAGAGATCCAGGCTGTAGCAAATGCATTGTAATTCAACTAATGGCTTAGTAAGACCTTCAGTGAGCTAACTTGTCTA
This sequence comes from Homo sapiens, assembly GCF_000001405.40. Classification (NCBI taxonomy): domain Eukaryota; kingdom Metazoa; phylum Chordata; class Mammalia; order Primates; family Hominidae; genus Homo; species Homo sapiens. The sequence goes on from NW_018654717.1 coordinate 2,992,832, forward strand.
CATACTGGACAGTGGGCTTTCCTAAGTGCAAGTAAACCTTCATTCAGGGCTTACAAACAAAAAGCAAATGATAAACTTAAACTCTAATGCTAACCAAAGATTCAAAAATAAAGTGCTATTTCATGATTACCATATTAGCAAACACTGAAAACAGTGAAGGAGCTGGGGCTGGTAAGGTTATAATAAGATACACTGCAATGCAGGGCACTAAATAACATGCACTTTTAAAAGTTAACCCACTGGAAAAAGAAAAGTTCATTTTAGCTCTCTTGACAACACTGCTTTCCTTCCATAATAAGGTCCTTTGTATCCTTAAAGCCCTTTCCTTCATCTTTTTGTCTTCATATTTTCTGAAATGTAAAGTTTCCTACATGACACAAGACATGGTAAAATGTCTTGTTATTTCTCCCTCTATGTTTATTACTGTCTTGTGTGAGATTCAAAAGAATTTTCCAAGTGGAACCCTGTCCTCTGCTGGGTATCTCAGGACGTAGACAGGTGGCAGTGGGCAGGTACAGGGACAGACAAGGAGAGTCCCTATACTCATCTTCCCTCCGTCTGCAGCCCAGTCTGTGTTCTCTTCTTCCAGTGAACATGCTTGGGTACCTAAAGGAAAAGGCATAGCTAGAAAGACGGTACAGAGGCTACCCAGAAAATTGCATCTCGTTACAGAAACGTCAGGTGTCGTGCTCTGCAGGGGACCAACTGCTAACACAGATACACGGGCCTCCGGTACCAAATACAGGACTCACGGATGCCGAAGTGGGAGGAACCTCCAAGGAGACTCCCAGACCCTCCCAGGTCCCTCCTCCGTACACGCCACGGACGGCCCTGGTGGTCTTCAGTACCAGATCAGCGTAGCAATTTCTTTCATGTATATATATTTTGGTGAGTGCGCTAAACAGAAAGCTAGCTGCTGCTGAGTGGCTTTTTATTGGCAAGACTGCAAGAAGCACTGTCTCCTCAAGAAATTGGTTATTTGCAGAAGGCAGTTCTCCCAAGAATGTTCTGCAACATGTCAACTACCTTGAGCATTGCTTTGCCTCACAATTCTTTGTCTCACAGTGAGAATGTGTGTGTGTGCACACGCCTGTCTGTGGCTCAGGCCTGTGGTTACAGAAAAATGCAGAGAAAGGGACTGGAATGCTCTCTCCACCTCTCCCCCTACCCAAACGAAGATGGTATCAGGCAAGATGACTTCAACCACAGAGACACACCTCAAAAACAGTTCAGAGCACACCGCAAAGACAGTTCAGATGGGCAATGGAGAGATTGCAAGTGGGCTCATCAGCTGGGCAGCACGGGATGCTCTGATATGTTGCAAGACAGAGCCGATTTTTTAAAAGAAAAATATAGCCAGGGCCTCTTTCTCCCCCGGTTGTTGTTGACTCTCCAAAACACTGGCTCTGGCACGCGTTCTGATCCCTGGAGTTTGATGCACGTTTGATTCACAGACGGCAGCGTGTCTGCACCAGATGGCCTCGAGTTAATGAACACAAACTCATCACTTTTGCTCACCAGGGAAATGTGCAGCTCAATCTGATTTGTACTCTACAACTAAAAATATTTGAGTATTTTCAGGGAGCATTTTACCGAGACAAAATGGCACTTCAGGAAAGCGTTAAAAGAACAGAGACTAACCAGCAAATTGCAGCTGCAATCTTCTCCACACTGATAAGCTGGCTCCTCGGATCATTCTTTCACCAACATAAAAGTAACACCCGATATGCTGCACAGGGACGATGGCTTCATTCTGCCCTCCCTGCCTCCTCTTCAACTCTGCTGCCCTGCCCCAAGCTGAACTTGTAGTCCCAAAGCACAGTGGAGAACTCTTTCCAAACACTAGATTTTCCCCTTCGCATACCAGCAAAAACATTTCTCATAGGGTACACATACACACATACATACACAGTCTTTTCTATATTATTGTAATGTCTTCATATCTATATGTTTTTATATATGAGAATTTAAGGATTCAGGAAAAATTCACTACACGAACTGAACCCTACAACATCTCCTTCTCGTCCAGCTATGACACAACTCTGTTCACGACGTGTTCCCCTGCTCATCGGCACCAGCACACAAAATAGCTGATGCCCAGTGATCAATCAGGAGCTAGGAAGCTATTTCATCCAGCTCATTTCTCTCTTCTCCAAACTCCCATATTTTCTGCTGTTTTATATAGAAATCTTAGTGATTCGACTAAGGAACATTAAAGTCATAACTTTCTAAGTCAGTGCGATCCTCATCGCAGTCAACAACCACACAGCTGGGTTCTCTTCTCATTAAATGTGGCCGTCGGACAGCCAGGGTCCAGAGAAGCACCTCATAGCCTTAAAACCTGCGCCTCTTCTGGGAGTTTATTAGGAAAAGCAGTCTGGGTTCATCCAGACCTGCTGTATCCGAATCTGCATTTTACCAAGATCCCCAGGTGACTTCGGTGAACATGAAAGTTTGAGAAGTACTGCCTTCTATTCATCTCACTGTGGATAACCATCTTTGAATCCACACCACAAGTCTTCTTACAGGTGGCACTGTCTAAATGAGGAAGTAGTTTAATCATCTCCCATCCTGCCCTACAAAGATATTTTATAAGTACCAGACGTTCACAGAAACCTTTCACTTTTTACAGAGATAATCTATGCAAATATAAGTCACTTTCGGCCGGGCACAGTGGCTCACGCCTATAATCCCAGCACTTTGGGAGGCTGAAGCGGGTGGATCATGAGGTCAAGAGACCGAGACCATCCTGGTCAACATGGTGAAACCCCATCTCTACCAAAAATACAAAAATTAGCTAGGCGTGGTGGCGCATGCCTGTGGTCCCAGATGCCTGGGAGGCTGGAGCAGGAGAATCGCTTGAACCCAAGAGGCAGAGGTTGCAGTGAGCCAAGATCACGCCACTGCATTCCAGCCCGGCAACAGAGCGAGACTCCGTCTAAAAAAAAAAAAAAAAAAAAAAAAAAAAAAGTCTCCTTCAGAGCAAAAACAACCATCATTCATTACATGATGTTTTTGGGAGGGAAAGAGATGAATTTTCACTCGAATGGATGAGCGTGGAGACAAGGTGTCACCACCGAGGAACAAGCTTCCACTGAAGCATCTCAGGTTGCACTTGGCAGGACGTCGTCTGACTCACAGCATTCTGCTGCATAGGCAGCTTAAACGAGGTTCTCTTTCCAGTCAATTCTGGGGGAGCAGCTGCAGAGAATTCATGGGGAGTAAGAGTTCTGGAGGGTGGTTTAAAAACACACTCTTTGTCACCTTAAGAAATGCCACAGGCAGGGCAGGCAGTAGGAAGCCCTCTGGCGGCCTTGGACTTGCCACTTCCCCTCCCTGACAGCTGACTAGGCAGAGGGCTGGGACAGCCTGAAGCGACCCTGGGAACTGGAAGAGGGAAGGCGCAATGCTGTGAAGGGGGAGGCGCGAGGCCTCGGGGGTAAGTCGGCTGGGGGCTCGGTCTGCTCCGTGCTGCCACCATCAAGGGTTGCCGGCCTTGGCAAGGAGCCACGGTGCCCAGGCCAGAGATACAGGGCCAACCAGCTATGAGCCCACTCAGCCTGAAGCCCGGCAAAGCTGACTCTGCAAATTTGAGAGCTATTTTCTGGTTCCAATTCAAACATTACGGCTGCTGACCAGTGAGTTCCAATTCGGTGAGACATCGATGGTCGTCCTGGACTCACTTAACTCTAAAATCCATCTTAATAGTAGATTCACTGGATGTCAGAGTAGGAAGGGCTTTATAGGGCCTTTTCATCCACAGTGTCAGATCTAAATGCCTTCGGAAGCCAGCAAGAACCGTCAATGAGCGAAGGCAGAAGCATCCGGCCGGCGCTGTCCAGTCCCGCACTCTAACTGCTGGCTGCATGCAGCGGCCGAAGACTTGGAACATGGCTAGTGCAAGCTGTGAAGCGCTGTGAGTATAAAACAGAAAGTTTCTCAAAGATGCAGTAACTGCGGGGATGGACGGTGGGGACCAGAGCTATCTGCAAAGCAGGTGTCTTTGTGAGAAGCATCAGAATTCAAACTTTAAAGAAAGAAACGAAGACTGCAGACCAAATTCCACTCGTAGGTCTCCAGATTGTGGCTAATGATTTCACACAAGAACAGGAAGTGCCCCAAATGGCCCAGCTGGAGAATGGAAAGTTTCAAGTACAATCCGAGGTCTCTCAACTCAGAAGAGTCCATCATTTCTACTCAGGGAGGCCTGTTTAACCAAGCCACAAGCTTCAGCGGTAGCTGGAAGGCAAACTGTAACCTTTAGCGAGGGTTCACCTCTCTGGAATGTGTGTCTGTAACAAAAGGGGGTGACAGGGGAAGGCCCCTCAATGCCCTTGGGCTCCAACATGCTAGCAGCAGTGAGCCTCACAGACAGAACTCAGGAGTGGCCGTTCACAGACATCAAGGACACAGGACTAGAGGGGCCAAAACAGCAACGGGGAGATGGCCGTTTTCTTAGACCTAAAAGAGCCTCAGCTTGTGTTAGTGACATTTCATTAAATAAATATTTCTTGCTTTCCAATCGAGGAGCGCCAGGCCCCGTACTAGGCACAGAGGGGACGAAGGCCACAAAAGCAACTCAGACAGGGTCTTCCTCATCATTGAGGCATGAGCCAGGGGAGGCTCCCAGAGGGGAACAGAGACCTGTGCTCAAGGGATGTTCAAGGTCATGAGTGCACGTTAGCAAATGTGCAAGATGCCATGCGGAAGCAGAGGAGAAAAGCAATACCAAAGGGAAGTGGGGTGGCCTCACAGAAGAGTCAGGGTTTTCATTAAACCCTGAAGAATAAACAAAAAAGGAAAAGATATTCTAGGCAAAGGCAACGGTACGTGTGCAGGCCGAGGATGATAAAACCACAGAGAATGGGGAAGAGCACGGCGGAGCAGAAACCCAGTTCACTGCATTGGAAGCACAGATTGCCATTAAAACTGTTTGAAATGGTTGGTTTGCATCTATGACAGCAAAGGTGAATCCTCCAGCAGAGTCAATGTTGATGCTACCCAGAGCAATTTCTAAATATAAACTTCAACAATTTAAACAATAAATGTATTCTGTCTTATTTGTAATTGTTTTAATTTATGATTATCATGTATAATTTGCATTATCTAATCATGTTTTAGAATGAATAGATGTATCGCATATGATTATTCAAATTTTGTCGGCATTCTTTTTATTCCATTCTCTTAGGCTGGTGTTCTACACGGGGCTGGCATGCTCTGAATGTTTTATCTTCATCAGATACATAAATCCAGGGACCAAAATACCAAGCTGGCAGGCTTTTTTAGATCTCGTGAGCAACAGGGAGGCTGTTTCCCTCTTTCCCACCATGCTGGTCTATGAGATCGTTATGCACACTCATGTGCCTTGTCCCCCCCAAGCCTTCTCCTGCCAAGACCCTGCAGATCCCAGATACCTGTTGATCCCCAATTCTGCCAACCTATCCCTCTTTCCAGTATGACGTGTAACTGCCGAGTTTTAATGAGTAAGGAGATAAATATTTTAGATGCCTTGGTAGTATGAACTGAACTTCTACTAAAGAAAAGCCAGGGCCAGGCATGGTGGCTCACACCTGTAATCCCAGCACTTTGGGAGGCCGAGGCAGGCGGATCACGAGGTCAAGAGATCAAGACCATCCTGGCCAACACGGTGAAACCCCGTCTCTACTAAAAATACAAAAATTAGCCGGGCACGGTGGCGCACGCTTGTAGTCCCGGCTACTTGGAAGGCTGAGGCAGGAGAACTGCTTGAACACAGGAGGCAGAGGTTGCAGTGAGCCGAGATCACGCCACTGCACTCTCCAGCCTGGGCGACAGAGCAAGAGCAAGACTCTGTCCAAAAAAAAAAAAAAAAAAAAAAAAAAGGCAATAATTTCTGGATATAAGTTGGGAAATAGGCATTTGGCCATGCTGCCGGTGTAGGCCTCAAGAAAAAAAAATCTCCGCGGAGAAGGCCCTAGCACGGATTCAAATACAAAGCAATTTACTAGAACTACAAAAGGAAGGGCTGAGTAAACACTGATGGTTCAGACACACAATTATGCTGCTACTCTGTCTATATGGTCTCAGGATTTACAAGCAAACTCTTAACTGCACGTTTGAATTCATCAATCCCAAATCCATCTAAGGATGAACCCACCTTAACGTGAGGGTTATTCTAGATGCAATGACCAGCTGCATCATTCATTTACTCAACAGATATTTACCATGTGCCTACTCTATAAATGGCAAAGACCAGCTAGGGTGGATGTTTCAATGAGCTTAGTTCAGTAAGGGAAAGAAGACATCTGCATCGATCACTACAGCACAGCGTAGTATCTATAACTGCCACTGGAGACAAGGGAATGTTCAGTCATTGTTTAAGCTGCGGAGGTGGTAAAGGCAGCAGAAAGGAGGGGAGGAACTGCCATGTCCTAGAAACAACTAGGGTAACGGGATTGAAAAGTCAAGTGTGTGGCAAGGAGTAATGAACACTATGGACGGGATTATTTCATACGGTTGAGAGCTCTGAAGGCTAGGCTGAGACATGCGAGGCCACAGAAGGGTTTCCCATAAGACAGAAGCATAAGCAAAGTGGAACTTTGGGATGGCGTGGAGGATGGATTCGAGAGGGTGACTGAGACTGGAACCCAGTGACCAGGCGGCAGGCTGAGGTCAGAGTCCAAACCAGAACAAAGGCTGAGGTGGGAATAAAAAGAAATGGGACAGAAATGCAAGAGATGAAGATGATGGGGACCCACTGATAGCTGCAGGGGGCAAGGCAGAGTGTTTGTGAGCATGGTGGGACTTTACAAATCAGGACATCACAAGAAGGAATGGCTTGGGAGAAAGATCAAATGTTTGGTTTTAGACATGATAATTTTGAGATGCAAGTGGAATATCCAGTTGCAGATATCCGTAAGGCAGGGAGAAATGCAGACCAGGGAGTGGAAAGAGGGAGATTTATCAGGCTGTATTTGGTATTCATCAATCATTTGTTTAATCGGTATTTACTATAAGCTGACTGGAGCCAGACACGGTGCAAGGGACTAGGGAAGATACAGTGATGAACAAGACAGAACCCCTGCCCTCAAGGAGTGTTTGGACCAAAAGGGAAAACGAACCAGTAATGACTAAAATAAAGGGGACATGTGTTGTGATCAAAGTGCAGGTGCTGTGAAAACACATTGGAGGGGGCTTCAGCCAGAATGATGGGGTGTGGAAAGAGGGTCTGTGAGGACAGGGAACAAGTAACAGCAGCACCTTCAGTTGGGGGAATGGTGAGAGGCTGAAGATACAAATGGACACTAGTCTGACTATATAAAAACAGAACCTTCACCCACAACCTGCAGCAACCAGCCCAGGGAGCCAACCTACTGTTTAGAGTCACCAGTTCAGGAAGCCAAACAACAACCCCTTTAGCAATCAGCCCCAAATGGCAAGGACTTGATTAATTTCCCTGACAGTTTCCCTAACTTTTGTCCTGGCTTGAAATTCTAGGACTAACCCAAGAAAGCTAAATAGGTACCCCTAATCTATTACACAAGATTCCCCGCATCTTGTTAGCCTGTCTGCAACTTCCCCAGGCCAACAGCCTCCAATCAGGACATACTTGAAGCTTTCCCTCTTTTCCACTCTGGAGCTTTCTCTCTTCCGCTTGCCTTTCAGTCTCTGCCGAACGCAAGGGCTAGTGGCTGGCCCTCTGGATGTAGCAAGCTCTGATTCAAGAGGCTTTGCTTGTTTCCATTTGGTGGTCTTCGTTTATTTCCATATCAGCATGTGAGTTATGAAGGCTAGGGTGCAGTGGATGCAGGATGGGATGCACAGTCCCTAGAGTGGGGGAGGGTGTTTACACTTAGGAGAGTGGGGAACCAGCAGCCATGTTAGAGAGGACCTTATAAGCCATGAGCAGGGCTATGAAATGCATGCTGAGCGCAAAGTCATCCACACAGAGGTGAGAGCTGATTCTGAATCTATACTCCCATATTTTCAGGACTAGGTTCAGTGAATAAGCAAAGCAATGGGTGAGGATAAGACTGCATTTACTGAGGTCAGGACCCCAAGTCACTCAGCCTTTGCCCATATATAAGAGAAAAGAGGGCCAGGGATGGCCTGGTATCCTTAGGGAACTTTGTAAATTTGGAACACTGCACAAGAGGTCACAGTTGAGCTGCCCTCACAAACATGTACACATAAACACAATACAATGAGCCAAGCAAATAAACAAAAACACTAGGAAGGTAGGAATGGATGGCTGAACTATGATTCTGTATGTAGGCTGTAGGTTTCCAAGTGGTTAGAGTAGGTTGCCAGGAGATTAAACTAAATAAAGTAGGTTGCCAAGTGGTTAGACTAAATAAAGACTTGAGTAAGCTGAAATGCCTCCATTTGGAATGCAGGCTGCACCTAAAAGGTAGATTTGACCTTTTAGTCTCCTCCTAGTGCCTTTAGTTTCATGCAAACACATCTTGATTTGCCAGGCCTTTTTAGAGTGAGCTTAAAACACCAGAAAAGAAACAGAAACCCGAATAACGCACTTCTCATAATGTAATTATTTTTAAATGTGCAATATGTAACAGAGATGTTTAGCATCTCATAAGTTTTTGGAAAATACATTAGAATTCTTCATAATTATTATTTGTAATAATATATCCCATTGGTATAGTCCTCTACCACTTTGAAGATTCTTCCAATCATATTTGATTTTTACATTGTGTGGAAGATGAAACAGAAGTGTGTGTCTGTGTATGTGTGTGCTGAAGTCAGGTGGTGATAATGGTGGACCCTTGGATCGCTTGGTACAAGACTTCTTCATTCATGAGGAATGTGAATCCTATGATCACACACTCAGTTAGAAATGGATGTGACATGGAAAATACCTCAAACTCAGGCTGGCCCTCCTTACATGCTTAGTAACCTATTCCCATCTAACCGACATGGAAACTGAGGCTAAGGTGGGAAGACCATTACACTAACAGCCTCGACAAATCACACCTCCTGGTATCTACACTAAGAGGGGCAGTCCCCATCCTCACATTAACTTTGGGCTTGAACATATGACTTGTTTTAGCCAAGGAACATCAGCATAGGAAGCAGAGGCTTGATAAGCTCTTGGAATTGGGGTTCAGCATGGCGTCACCATCTCTAGAGCCAACCCAGGCCAGGCTAACCTTGAGGGGGAAAGACCATGGAAAGAGAGAGAGATCCAGACAGCCCCATCTTCCCAACTGAGCCCTGCCTCCAGGTGACCCGCCAAACCGAATGCTGTCCCATGAATGAGTCCAGGCAAAATCGACAGAACAATGCAGCCAACCCACAGAATCACAAGAACAATTATTTTTGTCTTAAACCACCATGATTGGGGTAGTTTGTTATGCTGTGATAGACACCTGACACACTAAGGAAGAATAAATATGTCCACTGTAGTCATTCCCAGGCCCAAGAGTGAACCTGAGGTCTTGTACACCACCTCACACAGTAATGGAGAATGTGTTGGTGAACGAAGCTATCCCTGACATGCAAACCTGAGATCAAGCTCTAGATTCATTCAAACTCATGGTAGTTAGCTCATTCAGATCCTTAATGATCCTTACTTAATGCAACATAATCCTTATGTCAAGGCCATTGGAAATGGCTGGCTTTTTTTTTTTTTTTTTTTTTTTTTTTTGAGACGGAGTCTCCCTCTGTCACCCAGGCTGGAGTGTCAGTGGCGCAATCTCGGATTGATGCAATCTCCGCCTCCCAGGTTCAAGCGATTCTCCTGCCTCAGCCTCCCCAGTAGCTGGGACTTCAGGAGCCCACCACCACGCCTGTCTAATTTTTGTATTTTTAGTAGAGACGGGGTTTCACCATCTTGGCCAGGCTGGTCTTCAACTCCTGACCTTGTGATCCACCTGCCTCGGTGGAAATGGCTGGCTTTGATTGCCTGATGGTGGAGGGATTCAGCCACCACTCTATAGTCCACCATTAGAGGTGAACAGCTGCTGAGAGATCACCGTACAGATGGGGTGAAGGAAGACCAGAGAGTCAAGGCACTTGCCTCGATCACACTGCTGTTAGTACAAAGGACGATATGAGAATCCAGGTCTTCTCACCTCAAAGCCAGTATCTTTTGGGTGATACATGCAACTTCCTTAGCAAGAGGGAGAAGCTCCAGTCCTGTGGCTTAGAGATATGGATCTTATGTCAGTTCCAGGCAAGAAGATGCTATCTGGGACTATAGAATGTTCTATCTTCAAAGTGATCTTTGGGTAAACAAGAGCCACAAGTGGTATCTCCCAGAAAGACACTCAGCAAGACTGAGGATGAATCAATTGATTCATTCATTATTGATACCCACATATGTCTGAACAGGATCTGAGGTAGCATACGGAGTGCTGATTATTTTCTTTGGTTGGGTAGATAAAACTAGTTATTTATAAGAGATTATTTTAAAATCTCTGTCCTTTGTTATTTTTTGGTTTTGTTGCTGTTTGCATATGAAGTCTTCAAATTTATGTATGATGTTTTAATATTAAAATTTTTTCAGCAGAAATCTATTGACTTGTGTGTGCAGGTCACCAGGGACCCCCCAGCACCCTTTACAAATGTAAAGCGCTACATTTACATTTGTTGAATAAGGAGCACTGGGTTACCTACCCTCACTAAGCTCTCCCATGAACTGATGTAGGAGACAATTAAAGAGTGGTTGGGGAACGCAGTTTGCAAATGGACGGTGCTACAGAAGCAGACATTCCACTTTGGGGGAAAAACAAGAAAAAGAAAACCATATGCCAGAAACAAATTCTAATCACCATACATCATGCTGCAGGTTATTCAACTGCAATAATACTATTCACCGCTTCATTATGAGATTGCATTCCACCCTGAAAACACTGATCACTCCTGCATGACGTACAGCATGGATTGTTGGGTCTGACATGTAAACTAATTACATCCGATCTTAGCTCTGCCTTCAGTCTGTTGTGAAGGCAGATAGAGACGGTGTTCTCACCATGGATTCTGGAATCCCTTTCCCCTGCGATGCTGCTGAGCAAGCCTGAAGGTTGCTGGGAAAAGGAACAATTGAGACCAAGAGATGGAGAAAAGCTGGTCATGATTTCTAGAAGTAGTGACTGCTAAAATATTACAAATGTATCCCTCTAAGAATTAGCTGGGAAGCTAAAATGTGTGTGTGTGTGTGTGTGTGTGTGTGTGTGTGTGTGTGTGTGTGTAATGCTTATGCAAGATGCCAGTTCCTTTCCACACGTTATCTCATTTAATTTTCCCAGCAAGCCTATGAAGCAGCTATTTTTTATTATTCACATTTTATGTATGAGAACGCTCAGGCCAGAGAAGTTAAGACACTTGCCCGAAGTCACACAGTGGCAGAGCTGGGATTGGAACCAAGCTGTCTTTCACCGGAGCCTGGTCCCTAAGTCACTCAACTGGGATGCAGGGGCAAGCCCACTGGGCAGAAGCTCTGGGTTATTAACTGAGCTTGGCACCCACGCTGTGTGAGCTTGGGAGCATTGCTTTACCTCTTTGGGGCTCAGGTTCCTCGTCTGTAAGGCCAGGGAACTGCGCTGGACTCGGAGGCCTTCCCTAAGACCCTGCCCCAGCTGTGCTGCTCAGTGATACAACGGCCTCAGATTTGACTTCTGTGCTTCTCTGTGAGGCAGACGAACAGGGTTGGGTAACCTGTGCAATCAAGATCAGCAGTTCCGTGCGGCTCAGAGGCCCCCGGGGAACTCCAGAATCTTTTCCAGGATCCACAAGGTCAAAATTATTCTTATCATCATGCTAAGATATATTTCCCTGTTCACTCTTATTCTCTCATGGGTGCAGGTGAAGTTTTCTGGAAGCTACACGGAGTGTGATGACATCAACACTCGATGGCTGATGGAATGAATGTGTGTTCGGGTTTTTTTAATTTCTCAGTTTTAATTTTTAATCTGGTAAATATCAAACAAAAGCTCATTGGGGTCCTCAATAATTTTTGGGTGCAAAGAGGTCCCGAGGTCAAAAAGTCTGAGAACTGCTGCTCAAGGCCATGCTTGTGAGACCCATGGAAACAAATGAGCGGAAAAATCTCAACACACTGAAGAACAGAACTTAAGAATGAAAAGTGTTGCTTTTGCACAGCTGATTACTAACCAGATATTTTTAACTCTTTGAACCCAGCTGACACACACAGCTTAGACGGCAGTGGAAAGACGCTCCTAGATGAGGACCTCACAGTTAAGCTTCCCCAAAGCCCCTAACCTTGGGCTGGGAGCCTAGCACACAAGAGGCACAGCTTATGTCACAGGAGGAAATGCACTGATGGAAAATGGGGTTCTAGATGTATCTTAGCTGGCACTGTCCCGAGCCATGCCTTCCTCATCAACAGCTGACTGTTTAATGTTCACACGCCTTGGGCAAATCATCTGCCCATTCATGCCCATTGCGGATACAGCTGCAGACAGAACATTGCGAGTCGGGAGCTTGGCACATGTCATCTCACTTACGTCACACCATCAACCTCCGAGGTTCATATGATTAGCTACATTTTATAGATTAGGAAACAGGCTGAGAGGTTAAGTTACCTATCCAGGCTCAAACAGGTACCTAAGTTTGTCTGATGCCCAAGACTAAGTACTAATCCACTACCTTGAGATGTCCAAGCCCAGCGCTGTATGAAAATCACTTAGAGAGTTGATATGGTTTAAATATATGTCCCTGCCCAAATCTCATGTTGAAATGTCATCTCCAGTCCTGGAGGTGGGGCCTAGTGGAAGGTGTTTGGATCATGAAGGCAGATGCTTCATGAATGGCTTGGACCATTCTTTGGTGATAAGTCGGCTTTCACTCTAAGTGCACAGGAGATCTGGTCTTTCAAAACGTGTGGCACCTCCCCCCAACTCTCTCTCCCTTGCTCCTGCTTTCACCATGTGATGTGCCTGTTCCCCCTTCACCTTCCTCCATGATCAGAAACTTCCTGAGGCCTCCCTAGGAGCCGAGCAGATGCCAGCAGGCTTCCTGTAAAGCCTGCAGAATCATGAGCCAATTAAATCTCTTTTCTTTATAAATTACTCAGTCTCAGGTATTTATGGCAACGCGAGAACTGCCTAATACAGGAGTTTTAAACATTTCATATTTCCTGGCCCCACCCCTAAGGACCCTAATTCAGTAGGTCTGAGTGGGAGTCTGGAATCCACAGAGCCCTACAAATAGTCAACCTCTCACTTGACATCTAAATTAAGGATCTGATCAGTTGGAAATCTTACTTCATGTTGGAGGCTGTTTCCACATCAAAGTATTTGTTGTCTTTCTTATCAGGGGCATCTTTTTTCTCAAAGAAATACCATTTTGATTACCACACAAGAACTGTTCTTTCTGTGAAGACAAGTAGGGACCAAGTGAACAGAGAAGCTGATGTGAGATGCTCTTTGCTGATGCCTTTGCAGGTTTTAAGTTTGTATATAGGTTGCTTCCACATCCCCTCCCTTGAATACGGAGGTACTTGGTAAATACCTTTTGAATTGAATCAAAACATGCCATCCTCGCCACTTTATAAAGTGGGTATAATAACTTCCAATCTGGCGGGACACAGTGGCTCATGCCTGGAATCCCAGCACTTTGGGAGGCTGAGGCAGGCGGATCACTTGAGGCCAGGAACTCAAAACAAGCCTGGCCAACATGGCGAGGCCCTGTCTCTACCAAAAATACAAAAACTAGCTGGGCGTGGTGGCACATGCCTATAATCCCAGCTATTCTGGAGGCTGAAGGACGAGAATCACTTGAACCCGGGAGGCGAAGGTTGCAGTGAGCCAAGATCACGCCACTGCACTCCAGCCTGGGTGACAGAGGAAAACTTTGTCTCAGATAGATAGATAGATAATAACTCCTAATTTGATGGCCCATAGACTTGCCACCATACGTGGAATTCGGATATACATTTTTTTTTTGATTGTCAAAATCTACTTCAATACCCTGGTGGTATTAACCCATAAAAGCACGGACACCTGGGGTCAGCTTGGGAGACCTGAGAATGGCACCAAGCTCCGCTGGGAATGGGCAGGTGTGTCACTGTGGTCTCCGAGCTCTGCTGGGAATGGGCGGCTGTGGCTCCGTGGTCTCAAGCGGCTGCCTCTTCCCCTTTGCCGTCTCTTTCCCAGGCTGTGACAGCATTATTGGCTACTCATATTCTCATACCACACGGGCCAGGAAATGGCAGTGCTGATAGCTCTATCATTGTAGACACACACAAGGCAGCTAGGGCAGCTGCCTTGGGGATCCATGAAGATTTTAAGAAGAGGGAGAGCAGAGGCCTGGGTGGGGTAGGGCCTGAGAACAGCCTAGAAGGGCAGACCATAGGGTCCTTATGTTCCGTCTCGTTAGTCATCAGACAGCCTGTATTGAAAACCCCTTGCTGCCGGGCGTGGTGGCTCACGCCTGTAATCCCAGCACTTTGGGAGGCCGAGGCGGGGGGATCACGAGGTCAGGAGATTGAGACCAGCCTGGCTAACACGGTGAAACCCCATCTCTACTAAAAATACAAAAAATTAGCCGGGCGTGGTGGCAGGCACCTGTAGCCCCACCTAGTCGGGAGGCTGAGGCAGGAGAATGGCGTGAACCTGGGAGGCGGAGCTTGCAGTGAGCCAAGATCGCATCACTGCACTCCAGCCTGGGCGACAGAACGAGATTCCGTCTCAGAGAAAAAAAAAAAAAAAAAAAAAAAAAGAAAGAAAGAAAACCCCTTGCTTAACAGGGAATAAAACAAACACAAAAATCCTGACCACGAAGAACAGGACAGACACTGAATTCATTGTACTTGTGCTGTACATGTTGACATCTAAATAGATCCAATTCAAAAGCAGCCAATGTGGACCTGAATCATAAGTTTTGGAAACTCATGAAACAAGGTCAAGTCTAATTTCAAACATGAGTTGCCTTCTGAAGAAAAGTTATTTAGCCAGAAAAGTTACAGAAAGGGCCTGTCTCCATGCTCAGATAAAGAGATGGTAACGTAAGAGTTTTACAAACTGCAACTCCAACATCATCGCTTCGTGGGTGTCCCTGACTTACAGTTTTCATTCCAAAGCCAAGGGGCTAGGAAAGGCAGGGACCAGAGAGGAGATCAATGAAAATTTTCATCTGTCAGCCACTGTCAACTTATCTCTGCAGTCAAGGTTCATAAGAACAAGGGAACAAACCCAGTGAATTAAAAAATGGAAAAGAATAAAATGCCAGATCTTTCATCACTTAGAAAATGCAGTTTGGCAAGGACTGGAAACTTGCCTGGCACTTGCTCCCCACAACCCAATTCTGCCAAAACCTTACTTAAATTTGTAGAGCATTTTCTGGATTATAACCTTTGCCCGCACATCAGCTCCCTAGAGCCTCAAAAACACCCCCAAAGAGAGTGATCAGGGCAAGGGTTGCTAGCTCAGTTTTGCAGGTTAGGAAATTATTTGTCTGAAGTTGTATGAATCACCAAAGCACCACAAAAGTCCATTAAAGGGGCTTTCAGTACACAGGTGGCACTTCTTGGAGAATTTCTATGTGACTTCTTCACAGAGTTTTCTCAATCCTGAAAGGTTTTTCTTTCTATACAATTCTTCTTTAAATTTTTTATTATTATTTTTGATTGACAAATCCTAACTGTATATCTTTATGGAGTGCATGATGTTTTAATATATGCATACAATGTAGAATAATCAAATGAAGCCAGTTAGCAAAGCCAACCCTTCACTTACCTATTGTTTTTTTATGGTGAGACGTGTTAAATGTGCTCTTAGTTATTCTGAAATATACACTACATTATTGACTACAGTCACCCTGCTGTGCAACAGATCTCAAACCCTATTCCTCCTGTGGATCTGAAACTCTGCACCCTTTGACCAACAACTCCTCCTCCCTTCCCCACTCCACCCTGGCCTCTGGCCTTTCTATTCCCTGCTTTAGGATTTCAACTTCTTCAGATTCCACATATAAGTGAGATCATGCGGTATTTTTCTTTCTGTGCCTGCCTTATTTCACTCAACATAAACAACACAATGATTCTTGAGCACCTTTTGCTTTCTGCTAGTATTGCTTTCTCGGGGCTCACTTTCCTAGGTTCCTCTTTCACACAAGTGTGCATACAGTGGTTCACAGTTTTCTTTCCTACTCCTGCCTAATTCCTCACACGTCCTATTTGCCTTTTTCTCCCACTTAAGGATATTTTTTTCTTTGGCTGCTCTTTGATCACCCCTTAGGTTCATTTCTCATATCTTCTATCAACTCCCCTAACCCCTGCTTTCCTGGGCCACCCAGTTTACCTCCCTACTTCCAAGTCTTATTAGTCTTGCATCAGAAACACGAAGCCCTGCTGTCATAACAAAGAATGTGTGCATTTGTGAGGACCACTTTACAAACTGATTTAGCAGAAAGAAGGCACCTTGCTGCATACTAATAATATTGCTTTAATAATGTTTTCTTGAAGATGGCTGCACCCAGGCGAGTTGAGCAGAGGAGGCTGCAGTGAGCCCCAGCATGGCTGAGGAAGAACAGGGAAGCACCAGCTGCCGAGAGAGGAGGAGTATAAGGTTCAAGATGAAAAATCATTCACCGGATGACACTATCAAGGAAAATGTGACAATATCCAATATCAGGACCAGAAAAATTAACCAACTTCCAGAGACAGAGAGGAATCTGCTTGAACATGGATTGATGTATATCAGACTTAATGCTGCTTTCTGTAGCCTAGTAGCACACAGTCTTTTTGGATTCATCTTAAAAGCGACATAGGCTTGGCCGGGCGTGGTGGCTCACGCCTGTAATCCCAGCACTTTGGGAGGCCGAGGCTGGTGGATCACGAGGTCAGGAGATCCAGATCATCCTGGCTAACACAGTGAAATGCCGTCTCTACTAAAAATAAAAAAAATTAGCCAGGCGTGGTGGCGGGCGCCTGTAGTCCCAGCTACTCGGGAGGCTGAGGCAGGAGAATGGCGTGAACCCACGAGGTGGAGCTTGCAGTGAGCCGAGATCGCACCACTGCACTCCAGCCTGGGTGACAGAGTGAGACTCCGTCTCAGAAAAAAAAAAAAAAGTAACATAGGCTTCTAGAGCTGCTGGCCTAGCGACAGCAGTGATCCCATTTGACTGTACACATATCTCAGGAGGGGTTTGTGAGTTTACCTTTGCAGACAGGTGATGTGAATTGCGAAACCTGACTATTACAAGGCATGGATTAGCTGGTCTTATCTCTGGTGGTCTTTACCATTGTTTTCTGGGCTACACAGGTGAATGGCAGCCTTGTGGCCAGGTAGGACTCAGCCCTGCTACCAGAGAAAGGAAACAATTCGCTGGATTAGAATTTCTATGCCTGTCTTTGTAAAAATGTTAATTCCCATTTTGCCCCAGACTGTGTTTGCAGCAAACGTTGGGTCTAGACAATTAACTGCTTATAAAGAGCGTTCAATTGCCTCAATGTGGCCTAGAAATTCACCGATTCCAAGCAAATGTGTATACACACACACAAAGGTAAAAATAACCTATCTCTAATGTATGAATAAATACAGACTTGTAATTTATCATGTAAGTTACAACTCTGGAATCTACATCAAAAGGCTACACAGAGCAACAAAAAGCTGAATCTCAGTAAGGGCTACTCATGTAAACAAGAGCCTAATTTCACTGGTTTGCCCAATATTGTCTCTTTCCTCACTTATTCCACTGTACATCAGACACTGAGTTTGGTCTGTAACACAAGAGGGAAAAATAACCATACAGCAATTTTCAATGACGACTTTGTAAAGAAGCCAAACAGAAATGAAAATGAAAAAAAAAAAAGGATTAAAATTTTTTTTTTCTATCACATGTGCTTGGGTGTTAGGCTCTGTGGATTCCTGAAACCACACAGCACCCTTTGTGTGAATATGTATAAAAATAATATATTAGTGTTTAAGTCAACCAAGTGTCTCTGGCATAATAATGTTCCTCCAATCAGGTCCTATTTTTTTCTCACACTATTTTTCTTTCTTACTAAATCTTGCTATTTTATTAAAAGATTTTGTGTTTGCAAATGTGTTTCTGCCAGCAGAAGGAACCACAAAAAATCCTCAACCATTAGCCCCTGATCTTGACAAATTAAACACTAGTGACATATTCTTTTAATGTGATATTGGCAAGATACGGAATGAGAAGAAAGGGAGGAGCGATCTTCCTCCTAGAGCCCATTCCCTATTTATAAATCTGTGAGGGTGTGACATGTCCAGAGGGAATCTACCTGGCCCAGTGACAGAATGGAAAGAGCATGCACAGAGCTTGGAATCAGGGAGCGGGAGTGTGCATCCTGGGCTCCCCCATGTACGTATCATGTGGTCTCAAGTTACCAGCTGCTTCTCCTGGAGGGCAGCGATTAGAGTGACAGCCTCCCAGGCTCCTTATGAGAAGCAGAGGAGAGAATGTTTGTGAAAGTGCTTTCTGCACTCCCAAATCTGCTGACTGGTCCTATGTTGGGGAAGGCAGGTGACCAACCACAGCCAAATCGCAGTGGGTGCCCTCCCTCTGGGGATTGAAGGCTCTGGGTGTGGCTGGCTCTCTTTCTCACTCAGCAGGGAACCCAAGTCGCCAGCCGAAGAGAGCCCGAGGCAGGTAGCTGCAGTTCCCCTCCAAGACTTCTCCACACCTGTTTGACCAGGTACAAGATCAGGCGCCGGGGTCATCTGTTCACTAGGCCACGGGGTCAGGACAAGAGTCACCCGCAGCTCTGAGGCCAGATGGTAATTCCAATCGCCTCCCCAGTTCAGCAGCGAACCCAGCAAGACGAAGATAATTTTCGAAACATTCAGGCTCGGGAGTAGACGTCGCAATGGAGTGCTGTCCTCGCGGCTTTGGAGCCACGGGGCATGGCCAAGGTAAATGGAATCTGACAGCTAAACTTAGGCTCAGGCCTCACGTGCAGTGTCTGTGAGTAGAAAGGGTCACAGGGCCGGATTTCAAATTCAAACACTACAAAAAAAAAAAAAAAAAAAAAAAAAACAGAGCTGGGAGGTGTTAAGGGTGAAGGAAAAGGTGGCTCACTTTCCCTTATGAGCCTTGCTTTTGTCCTTCACCTGCTTCCCATTCCATGGAGAAGCTGATGACATTGACCCTGACCGTTTCTGGACAGCTGGGTGGGGCGCACGGTGCGGGGGGCGGTCCCTGCGCCCGGCCCGTCCTGCAACGCACCATGCCCAGGCCTCTACCTGCACGGGGCCATGGCGCAGGGCACTAGACCTAAGGACACGAGAGCCTTTTATTCCTCCTCGCTTGCAGCCAATGGGCGGGCTCGCCGCGCCGGCTGCCATAGCAACGGGAAGATGGCTCGGCGGGGCCCGAACAGCCATCACGTGGGCCGAGGCAGCGGGGCAGACGGGAGCGGCGAGAGCGGGGGAGGGGTGGCGCGCTGGAGTTAAATGGTCCCACCAGAGGGAGTAAGGCACATTTTGAAGTAAGTGCAAAGCGGGACCATCTATTTTCTTTCTTTTTCCTGCCCTTTAAGCGCTAAATACACATGCACAAACACAAATGGCCTTTCATCTCCGCTCCTGAGGTGCTCCCGGCTCTCTGGCTTTCGTGGCAAACATGAAAGCTCTGATCTCTGGAAGCGTTAAATGAACATTGCCTCGGTGGCGGAAATGCAAGCGGGCGTCCCGCGGCCGTGCAGGCGCAGGCCGGGGAGCTCGGGACCACGCGGGCTGCGACACAATCAACGGGAATTTGAAACGCAAACGCACTGCCCCTGTAGGAAACGGCAAACCCTGCTTCACTCTTGGCGCCACAGAAATAAAAGCGTCCCTGCACCTCCCCCCCGCCCCCGGTAGTTTCTCTGATCCTATCACTCCGGAGCCACTTTATAGAGGCTGAACCAGGGCCAGGCTTATCCATCTACCTGCCAGAACAACAAAGGCCCTTTTGTTGTCTTTAAAGTAGACCCTACCCTAGCTGAAATGCTGTGTTTAAAATGTTTCTGCTGCCATCCCTTTCTTTTCCACGGAAATTAACGAATATAAATGTGTGTGTATATATACCCAGACACACACACACACACACACACATAAATACACACACACACACACACCCCTATATGTTAGTTGGTAAGATAAGAGATGATATTAACGCAGGCAGGAAAGCAGGCAGTAGGCGCTGGGGCCTTTTTTCCTCCCTGCTTGCAGCCAATGGACGGGAACTTAATGCTGCTGCTGTTATCAGACCACACGAATGGCGGGTAGGGGGAGAAAAACGTATAGGCCCTGTCCTAATCTGATAGGTGAAATTCTCTGAATGTGTTGGAGAATGGGAAAATGCTGCTTACAAGTATTTTGCACTTGGGTTTAATTCACCTGACATTCACAGAGTGCCTGCCTTGTGTGAAGTGCTCATGGAATGTTGCCACAGATGCAAAGCAAGGGAAGGTCCCACTCAGCGTGGGGGGGGTGGGGTGGAGAAGAAACGTGGCAACTCTCATAAGGGTCAGAGGAAACGAGATGCAAGCCAAGCGTGATGCGAACATGGAGGGGGGCCGGCTCTGAGAAGCGTCCTGGGGGATGGGGAGCTGAAAAAGAAGCATCTGGCATTGCCCAGGCCCCTGTTCTGTGACAGACACTTTACATATACACCATATCATCCTTATAACTGCCTAAGAAGTAGCCACTATTATCCTGTTTAGCAAATAAGAAAACCTAGGCTTAGACAGGTCAACAACCCAAGGTCATACACAAAGCAAGTACAGAGCCACTGCTGCCCAAGTCATCGGGGACCTCCCTGTGGTTTTTCTCCGCCCAAAGACTTGCGGAAGAGGCATCTCTGCAAGGAATGCAGCTGTGTGTGTAGGTTCCATTTCCTGCTCTTCACCTCAGCCATCACCTTCAGGAAATTGTGGGCTTCAAACATTCACTGCAGTTTTCTTAATATATATTATAAACACATAACTGAGATTTAAAAGATTCATCTGGATACACCGTAAAATCATCTTGCATTCCACAAGGGGTCTGGACATCACATATGGGAGCCACTAAACATTCCCCTGTTGCCACTGAAAGATGAGTAGGAGTGTGGCCCGTGGAGAAATGTGAATTCATTCATTCAAACATCACCCTATGTTGGCCAGGATTATTTTGTGTCTATACTTCTACTGTACTTCTACTAAAATCAAAATGTCTCCTTGATCCTCACAAGAATGCTGTCTTCCACCATCAACCTGGGCAGTAGGTAGAATCTTAGGCTGTTTCTGATGTACTTGGATGGAACTCAGTGCAAGTGAATAAAAGACTGATACCGGCATCTGCACAGGGGCTCCACCCAGGGACTCATATCCTGCCACTGCAGCAAAGGCCTACAGCCAGCAGAGGGCAGTCATACAAACCAGATTTTCCATTTGGCCCAAATGCGGATGCACACAGTTTAATATGTAAAGCCCATTATTACAAGCTTTTCCTTTCCCCACCCCCTATTAATGAACAAATGCCCAAGGGTAATACAGAGATTTCTAAATACAGTGCAAGAAAGGGCAATCTGTACTCATACACAGGGAGTCTAGCACACAGTAATAAGTGGAAATGAAAATAATCACCCACATGCAACTAAACCATTATGCCTAAGATCTAGCTGTCTACGTGGCTGCATACACAGAAATATGGGTGCCTGCCTCCCAGAAATGGGCACTTTTAAAATATTTATTTCACAGGTTCTTATTTAGAGTTCATAATAACACCCGTAATTTTAACCTCAAAGCTACAGAAAGGGACTAAGAAGAATTTTATCCCTATTGCTAGGCATACGGTGGGGAGGGGGGATTTTTCTTTTTGACTAAGGTAAGTCAATGAATTATTCAGGGTTTTTCCATGGGCATTTTAAATCATAACTTCATGCTTTAAACAAAAGCACAGATAAAAAAAATTTTTTAAAGACGAAGAGCTATGTAATCCCCAAACCATAACATATCAACTGACATTTACCCATGTCTATTTAGGGTTTTCCAATGCAAATAAATGATGTTTCAGTGTTGGTGAAAACAACAGTCTTTTGGTACTCAGATGGGTTTTAAACATTGCAGCATAGAGAATACAACAGACCGAGAAGGGATGCTTCTAGCATGCAACTTACCCATTTCCCTGGGAACAAAGAAACAGATAACCATGACATTTTCTCAATTCATGACAGAAAGGAAGATATGCTGATCCTATATTGTAACTATGGTTGGAAATTTGAGGATCTCTAGAAAGGCAGGATGAAGTCACTGTAGACAGCCTTACCTCTGCAGTCACCCATTAAACCCTGATACAGTCGGCCCTCCGTATCCTTGCATTCTGCGTGCTTGGATTCATCCAACCACAGATCAAAATTATTATAAATAAATGAATAAAAACAATACAACAATACAAATTTTAAGAATACAGCATAACTATTTTAATATATTAATAGTATGTGCATTGTATTAGGTATAAGTAATCTAGAGATTATTTAAAGTACACAAGAGGATGTGCATAGGTTATATGTAAATGTCATTTTATATAAGGGATTAAGCATCATCAGATTTTGGTATCTTCAGAGGGTCCTGGAAGCAATCCCCATTGGATACCGAAGGATGACTGTATTCGTAAAATGCCTGACAGATTAGCATGTATCGCCACACAGCATGGGTGAAAAGCTTATGGAATTCAGTGTCAAATGACTCTAGCTCTCTACATTTACTATGGGGGTCATGTTGGGAATGTGAATGAACACTTCTGAGCTTCAGTTTCCTCATAGGCAAGTCAGAGAACAGATCCTGCCCTAGCCTGTGTGTGACTGTGAAGTTTACCCAGCAAAATACAGGAGAAAGCACCGAAAAGCCGTACAACATTCCACTGTTCTTAATTTCCCCATTTTACAAAAGAAGAATGGGCCATAGAGACCTCTCCAAGGTCACGGTCACTACAGGCAGAGCCAGGGCTCCAGCCAGTTGTTCTCCTCCAAGCCAGTGCTCTGCCCCCGCTCCATGGAGTGCAGCACACAAAACAGGGCTCTCTTGTCAGCTCGGGCTGCCATAACAAAGTAACAGACTACGTGGCTTCAATAACAGGCTTCTATTTCTTACAGTTCTGGGGGCTGAGAAGTCCAAGATCAAGGTTCTGGCAAGGTAGGTTTATTCCAAGTCCTCTTCTCAGGGCTTGCAGGCAGTTCTATTTGTGTTCACATGACTTCTGTGTGCAGCAAGAAACACAGCAATAGAGTGCTCAAGAGCCTGCTCCCTGGTGTCTCTTCGTATAAGGACAGCAGTCCCATCACGGGAGCTCCAGCTCAGGACCTCATCTAACCCTGATCACCTCCCAAAGGCCCCATGTCCAAACACCATCACACTGGGGGTAGAGGCTTCAACATATGAATTTGGGGGGACACAGATATTCGGTCCATAACAAGGGGCAACAAAACGGGCTTCTTTATATGCTGTATCACTTCAGTTCAGGTCAAAGATATTTGTTGACAATCACTAGGTACCAAGCACAGCACCAGGCACTGGGGACACACAGGTGAATGGAAGCCTCCTATAAGCTTACTTAATGTAGAAAATGGGAGACGAGTTCCTAGGAGATTCTCTGCAGAAAAGAGCATTTGTCACATGTGAGCTTCTGTGACTGTATGTGGGACAGTTTATTACCACAAACTTCACAAGACTTTGCCTCAGATAGCTTTGTTTAAAGCAACTGTAATGCAAGTCTGGCAATGAATCTGTACATAATTAATATTTGATAAGGTAATTAATTTACTGAGGAACATGGGACGGGAGAATAAGGAGAAAAAGCCATTTTCAGCCTATAGATGTTGAAAAGAAAACACAAAGGATCTGTATATACCTCTTGCTGGGGAATTATCTGGTTCAGTTATATTATCATGGTTATAGCATGGCTAAATATTCATTGAGTATATTTAATTTCTCTCATTTGGGTTGGTATAATTAAAACTATTTTCTGGATCATAAAACTGAAGGGGCTCAGCTTCAATAATGTATACTGGGTCACTACTGCATGCCAGCTTGTGTGTGTGTGTGTGTGTGTGTGTATCACATTTAATTCTTATAATGAACCTATTGGGAAATTTTGTTATCCACACTTAGATCATTTAAAAATTGGTATCAGAGAAATTAAGTCAGGGCTCAAAGAGAGTAAGTGACTAAGAGAGTGCTAGACCACTCTTGCCAAACATCCAAATGCTTTTTGATCACACACACACACACACACACACACACACACACACAATTTTTTTCTCTCCCAAATATCCTTCTAGCTCTTAGGATTTATTTTTTTCTACTGTTATTTTTGGTATGCCACTTTATTTCAGAAGTAGTATAGCAGTAAAATTGGGTCTGTTTTGAAGGTAGAGATGTATGAAAGGGGATAAACTTTTGCAAATTTTCACCTCTCTTCAAAACTAGATAAAGACCCCCGAGAGAGGAAATCAAATCCCATCTCGCTGGGAAACCTGAGTGTGTTCTGGGGTTCAGGGCAAGCCAGATGCGCTCCCACCTAGTGAACAACGCCCACCTCTCCTAAGCAGCCCGAGGAAGAGCCCCCAGTTTCAGTCTCCCATTTTGGGGTGGACACATGACACTGGCAGGTTGGAGACCAGATTATGGGGCCTGTGGTCATCTGAAAAATGGTCTCCCCAAAATGTCCATGTTCCAATCCCCTAAAACCTGTGAATGTTATTTTATATGGCACAGATTTCACAGATGTAACTAAATAAGGGGGGTTGAGATGCGGGAGTATTCTTGATTGTTTGGGTGGGCCCTAAATGCAACTGTCAGTGTCCTTATTAGAGAGATGCAGGACGAGATCAGATGCCCAGAAGAGGATGAGGCAGGTGGCCACAGAGGCAGAGACTTGAGTGATGCAGCCACAGGCCATGCATGGTGGCACCCACCAGACGCTGGAAGATCCGGGGAGGGATTCTTCCCTGGAGCCCCTGGGGGAGCAGAGCCCAGCTGGTACCCTGATTTGGGTCCAGGGAAATTGACTTTGGGCTTCTGCCCTCTGGAACCATGAGAGAATAAATCCCTGTTGCTTTTAAGCCATCCAGTTTGTGGTAATTTGTTATAGTAGCTATAGGATATTAACACAGGGACAAAAAAGTCAGAGATTTGGCAAAGTAGTGAGAGGAAGGCAGTTTCATCTATCACCCACTGACTTAATCCTACCAAATAATGTTGTACGATCATAATAGCAACTTCGGTGTCAAGAGAGTTTGCAGGATAGGGTTTAGGGTCAAGAACAAGATGGTTAATCCTTCCTTTTAATATACAGCATAGCCTCAACCAGGCAGCATGTCCACAGCCTCTGAATTTGGTCTCTCTGTGGCAACAGTGAGTCCATGAAGGGATCAACTTTGAAATACAAAGAAGTATAAAACCATCCTTTATGAGGTTCACTGCACAACAGTAAGATTTCCTGAGTCCCTGTGGTTCTCATAGTGAGTCCCCAGTTCTCTGGAAAGTTCTTGAGCCTTATTCAAAGGTTCTGAACTTTAAGAATTATAGGCTACATCTTAGATATACTGTGATAATTAGGCTCTCTGATTAGAAGTTACAGATGTCTCATGGGAAGATGGTGACATGACTTTGAAGGACCTGGTAGACCATGCGAAGGAGTTCAGATTTCATTCCACATACAGTAGAGATGCCGTGGAAGATGCTGACACAGGGAAGGGAAATGACCCGAGGTACACTGAGGAATATCACTCTGCTGCCTGTGCGGGTGGTCATAATCATGGAGAGGTAAGAAGTTCAGTTGTCCAGGAACAGATAATGGTGGCTTAAATCATGAGAGTGAACGTGAGAGAAAATGAAAGAAGCGAGCACAGTGGGGATGTCTTTTGGAGGTAGAATCTGTTAATCTGATTCATTGGAGGGAAAAGGCGAGGGAAAGGCATGAGGCAGGGATGACTTCTGAGGATCTTGCTTAGTTAGGCAAGTTAAATGATGACCCGATGGGGAAGGGTGTCAATGAGTGGGGAGGGGGGAGGGAGGAGGGAGGAGGAAGCCATGGGACTTGTTTACAGGGGGTGGCAATAATCAAACTTTCATTTTAGAAAGCATTACGTTGACACACAAGTGGCGATAACAAGTAGACAGTTTGTTATGGGGATCTGGAGTCCAGAGGGTAGTTCTAGACCCTAAATTTGAGTGTCATTTACACTCAGAGTGTCACTGATAAAAAAAAAAAAAAAAAAAAAAAAAAAAAAAATTACCATAGAGATGGTATTCAAACTATGCTAAAGAAAAGCAGCAATGACTGCATTGGTAGCGCAGGTGAGTAGGTTTTTTTGTTGTTGTTGTTGTTGTTCTAGTTGTTGAGACGGAGCCCAGGCTGGAGTGCAGTGGCGCAATCTCAGCTCACTGCAAGCTCCGCCTCCCAGGTTCACGCCATTCTCCTGCCTCAGCCTCATGAGTAGCTGGGACTACAGGCGCCCACCACCACGCCTGACTAACTTTTTGTATTTTTAGTAGAGACGGGGTTTCACCTTGTTAGCCAGGATAGTCTCGATCTCCTGACCTTATGATCCACCTGCCTTGGCTTCCCAAAGTGCTGGGATTACAGGCGTGAGCCACCGTGCCCAGCCAAGTAGGTTATTTGGTAGTGACACTGTCTTCTTCCTCCCCGACTCCCCGCAACAAAACACACACACCAGTCAAACCACAATTTGTCAGGGCTTAACTGAAGAGCTTAGGGAGTCACTAAATATCTGGCTGCAATCTAAGCAGGAAGAAAATTAAATAATCAAAACTGAACCTTTATTTTTGAAAATGCTAGCTGGAACCCATTTGTACATGCATACTGTTTTTTTACCTTTCACTTTGGGAACTTTTCTTTAAAATGACCCTGTATTAATTATAAACAAACGCAGAGATGAGAGATAATAAATTGCTAGATAGTTGAAGTTTAAGATAAAATTATGGCAAATATTTAAAGATTGTAGCTATATACTGATGATAGGGACAGGTGGGTGGATGGATGGAAGGGTGGACAAACACTGAGAGACGGATAGATACAGCCTTTAAAACACTGTTTTATATTTGAAACACAGTGGGTAATTTAACAATGACTCCAGAAACATTTTATCCTTATTAGAACTTAATATATTGTAAAATATATACAAAGGAAAATGCTGCTTTTCTTCTCTCTTTTTCGCGAGAGAAATACCCAGAGAAAGCATTGTGCTTTCTTGAAGACTTGAAGAGCTGGCAGAAGGAGCCAGGTCATATGGCCAGGAGAATGCTCTTTAGATTTGCTGTCTTTCACATTTCAAGAAACATAATTTCTCAGTGGGAAAAGATTTAATTCCTAAATGAGCTGGAGTCACATTCTCAGGATGGAAGAATTACACGTGAACCACCCTCACTCTACCGGAGGCCACATTCAGTTTAGGATACTGGGAAATGTTTCTCATGATGGGCTCACTTGGGAGATAAATTGTCCATATTTGACAATCCAAAAACAATAATACATTAGATGATGTCTTGCAATTAGTGCTATAAGCAAATAATTCCACCAAAGATTTGAGGAAAATTTTTTTTTTAATGAGGCTAAGAAAAGATTATCAAGTCTTCTCCTTGAAGGCAAAAACACCCCCCTCCATTTTATGCAAAGTTGTATTAGGGTTAGGGTTGCTCACCAAAGATATGAAGCAGCTGTCAAATTCTGTAAGCAGAATCCAGCATGTTCAAGGTCAGCAAACCCAGCGTGAAGTTCAAGTTTCACTCCTTAAGACTCCATCCTCCTCCTTAAGTCTTTCCTGCCTCTTTTAATCTGATTAGAAATGAGCAAACTTCTTCAGCCAAAACTCTGACAGTCGCTGGTGAGGCTGGTATCCACAACCCAGCCAACTTTGCAGAAAACCACAGTTTCAATGGAAAATCACTTTTGGTTTCTGGCTCCTCAGCAGTACTGCACATCTAATTAGCTCAACAATTGGTCCCTGTGATAAAATCAGCTAATTTTATGTTCAAATGGCTGCTCTGTGGTAAGCAATACTGTCACTCCAAACTTCACATATAAAGAAGCTGCTGAAGAAGCTGGGTACTAGGGGGTCACTGGGAGCAGGCTAGTGAAGAACACTATTAAATTAGTAACCTAAGTCAACATTACAGTTAGTGTATAGGGGTCCCAGCAGCGCTCAAAGAAGACAAATGTCCCGAATGTAGTGATGGGGCCAGAAACACCAAGCCTTCTGAAGAGGAAAGCAGTGTATGTAAAATGAACAGAATGAGTCATGGGCAGAATTTCCCCACTTTTAGAAATCAAACTAAATGTTTCTGACTACAGTACAGAGTTCTAGACCATAATCGAGGAGTGTTAAGAAATGACCCTCCCTACCTTAAACACCTCTGTGGTTTCAGGAGCTTGTTCAAGCTTACCCTAGATATAAAACACAGGAAAGCCCAGTCCGGGGGTCACCTCTTCAGCTCCCTGCTCTCCTTCCCTCAGTGAATAAAGCAGTTGGTTAGATCGGCAATTTTCCCCATTTTGTGAATGTATTAGAAACCACATAACTTTTTAAGGTAAAGGCTAAAGCACTGATCAACCTCTTTACGGTATCAAAGCTGATAACATCACCTCTCACAGGCATTGCAAATTGCTGATTTTGCAATGTTTGTATTATCAGTTATATCAACTGAATAAACAGTCAGAAATTCATTCAAGTTTCAAAACTTAAAAGGGCCTCATAAATACATGAATGCATTTAACTTTATATAAAGACATAGAGAGATACACATCTACAGCTAAACAAATATATGTATACAGATAAACACCTAAGATCTATACATGACTTAAAACTGCTTGATTAGCATTTAGTAAGTACTCTGTTGGTACTGTTGTTGCTGTTCTAACAGTATTACTATTATTATTATATAGCTATATATTATATAGATATACGTATTATACATAATTATGGTATATAACCTATATAAAAGTACATATTATATCACCATATGACTGCAGCAGGATGCACTCTGCTAAAATTGAACTGTGTTTTTCTTTCTCACCTCTATCAGAGGTGCCAGAAAGTCACTCCATCGTGGCAAATCATTCCTGAGCCATTGCAGTCAGCTGCCTTCCCTGGATCGGAGTGAGAAGGACCCTTTGGAGACAGTGGACCCAGAGGACACTAATGCATCACTTTAGATCCCTGTGGCCCCATCTGCCTCTTGCTAGGCCAGCCACAGTACCCAGTTCTGCAAGGGCCCCCATTCACTTTGTGCAGCTTTTAAGCACCTGCATTGCCCAATCTTACACTCAACGCCATGTGCCTCTTGTCTCTTGCCTCCTGCCCTGGCACACAGTACCCTGAGCTCACACACGTGCAGCTCAGAAGTGCAGAATCAACCTATGACTGATGGCATTCAATGGAAACATGCTTCCTCATCTTCTCCCGAATGCCTAGTCATTTCATAAATCTCAAACAACCAGTTACCAGTGGCAGGGGCTAACTTGTATGGGGTCTTCCTTCTTTTCCTCCCCAGTCTCTCTGCCCCTTATTCCTGCTCCCTGGAACCACACATCTCAGTGAATCCTCACACACAAGC
This sequence comes from Homo sapiens, assembly GCF_000001405.40. Classification (NCBI taxonomy): domain Eukaryota; kingdom Metazoa; phylum Chordata; class Mammalia; order Primates; family Hominidae; genus Homo; species Homo sapiens. Next base: position 3,022,356 of record NW_018654717.1, read on the forward strand.
CTCTGGCTTGGGCTCTGCTTTCTGTGGGACCCAGGCTAAGCTAAGCTAAGATAAAAATCACAGTGGTCACCTAGGCATGGATGTCCACTTAGCTCTATTGCTCACCAGGATGGGGTACACAAAGAGACACTTTGGTTCCTGAAAAGGAAAAAACTTGACCCTCATGCTGTGGTCTCCAGGCAGGAAAAGGTGAGAGCAGCTCCCGGTGCAGCACTCTGATGGGCAGGAACCCACGTTCCATGGCCGTCCCATGTTCCATGGCCGTCCCGCTCTTGGGATAAGCCATAGTGAGAGCAGAGGGCCAGGGATCCAGACTGACATGCTCCACCCCTCTACAATGCACATGGGCATGCACACACACGCACAAGCTCACCCCTTAATGAACTGCTATGCTCTCTAAATGGTAGCCACCAGCCACATGTGGCCACTTAAATATAAATGTAAATTAATTAAAAGATTCAGTTCCTCAGTCACACTAGCCACTGAGGAACTGAGCCAGTGAGCCACTATTTCAAGTGCTCAACAGCCACATGTGGCCAGAGGCCCTCCACTGGACAGTGCAAAAGAGACCACAGCATCATGGCGGAAAGGCGAGTGGTGCTGAAAGGAAGCACTGGTCTAGTCTGAACCTCTGGGTTTCAGTCAATTAGCTGGTACGAAAACACTGAACTTTCAACTCATCTCCCAGTGGAATCTAGGGTCAGTTTTATTTATGCAAAACCATAAAAGAGATATGACAGCATTTGTCCCCTGAGTTGGTGATTAAGCAGTTTATATGCAGTAATGTGAGCAGCAATGGCTATCGGGATACTAAAGGCACAGGAGTCCCAATCTTTATTTAAAAAATAGACCCTACTTTTAAAAGCCAAAGAGACACATAGACATGCAGACATGCAGACAGACAGACACAGACACACACACACACACACACACACACACACACACACGTATTTAATTCCCATGTGCTTGGGTTCAGAACACCCAGAAAACATCTGGTCAGCACAACTGCCTACAAGATTAACCTCTCCAAAAACTACAAAAATAATGAAAGGATAATTATAGCAGCTCATTAATTAATTATATAATACCTAAATTTTACCTCCTATGGATATCATTTATCTAAAATCAACGTGGGTTCCCCTCAAAACTGAGGGTAGAAACTACAATGGCATAGAAACTGGAAAATTCGGTGATAAGCCTCTTCACCATCACACGGAAGGCACTGGCCTTGAACTGAAAATCTTCATTGCAAACACCAGGATATCATCATATTTCAGTATTCTGGAGGGCAGTTAATATGCTTCCAGAGTCGCTTGGTATTACTCTTGGTACCCTAGAGAACTACGAATCATTACATAAGGGAGTTTATAGATGGCATTATCATACGTGACTTTTAGTAGTAGTTATAAATACTGCCTTTATAATTAAATACAGTGGGATGAAACAATTGAACCACTTTTTAAGTTCTTGGTTGGGGTTGGTTCCTGTGGTGCCCAGTGTAGTGTCCTGCCTGGTTGGACAGTTCCCCTCCCACCGCTCAAGTGGAGGAATCAGTTCCTCGGGTACTAAGCCCTCTCTTCTGCATTTTTTTTTTTTTTTTTTTGAGATGGAGTCTCACTCTGTTGCCCAGGCTGGAGTTTAGTAATGCAATCTCAGCTCAGTGCAACCTTTGCTTCCTGGGTTCAAGCATTTCTCCTGCCTCAGCCTCCTCAGTAGCTCGGATTACAGGTGCGTGTAACCACGCCTGGCTAATTTTTGTATTTTTAGTAGAGACCGAGTTTCACCATGTTAGTCAGGCTGGTCTCGAACTCCTGACCTCATGATCCGCCCACTTCAGCCTCCCAAAGTGCTGGGATTACAGGCGTGAGTCACTGCGCCCTGCCTCTTCTGCTTTTATCTCATTACTTTTCCCAAGTAATCTTATCAGCAACTGGGGTTTCATTTAGCAAATATAAGTTGATAACTCCCAATAATAATAAGGGTTCCTGTTTATGAGGTATTTACCACGTGCTAGGCCCTGTGTTTCACAAGCATTAGCCCAGTTAGCAGTCCTAACAATCCTCCCTGCAAGGCAGAAACAGCCCATGGCTCCTCCAAACAGCCCCTTGGATGCCCATGTCATGGGCACCTTAGACTCTGCACTTTCACAACTTAACTTACCTTCCCCACAAATCTGCCTCTGCTTCTCTGTACACTTGTACAAAAAATCACCAGCCATGACCTGGACCTGGACCTGTCCCTCTTATTGACTCTCCACTTCCAGTGAAGTTCCAAGTTCTGGTCTTTGTACTTCCTAAATATCCCTCCCTCCCACCCATACTTCCACCATCCTAGACAAAGCTTCCATTACTTCTGGCCCGGAATCCTATAATAGCTGCCCAACTCATCTCCCTGCATCCAGTCTTACTTCTCTTTAATTTCATTTATTCTAAGGTCATTGCTCTCTGTCTTTGAGCATCTGGAAAATGGGGATAATGGGGTCTCCCTCATCCTCATAGGTCTGCTTGAGTCAAATAGAACATATGGCTTTCTAAGTGGCAGGTACTTGATAATAAACTGCACAGATGACATGTGAATTGAGAAAATTTCATGCTAGAGACTGCATGTGTAACCACCACCATAAATGCCCAGGTTAGCCCACCACTGTTACAAAAGCCATTACGAAAAAGGGATAAGAGAAAGAATATATAGGTAAAAGGTTTTTAGAATGGAAATACAAGTATACTTAAATTACTCTAAAACTTAGCAGCTTCAAAGTATATACATTTATTATCTCACAGCTTCTGTGGCACAGCTTGGCTGTGTGCCTCTGGCTTGAAGTCCTTCATGACGCTGTAATCAAACTGTCAGGCAGGGCTGCAGTCTCATCTGAAGGCTTGACTGGGGTTGAGGGGATTCGAAGCTCACTCACATAGTTCTTGGCAGGCTTTTGTCCTTGTCATGTAAGCCTCTGCACAGGGCTGCTTCATGACGTGGCAACTGGCTTCCCCTACCATCTCTCACGCGGTAAGAGAGAGTTTTCACAATACGAGCCACAATCTTTTAATGACCTAGTCTCAGAGTGCTCCCATCACTGCTGTCATTCATTAGAAGTGAGTTGCTAAATGCAGCCCATATTCAAGGAGATGAATTACATATGGGCAGAGAGCACTGGGGGCCATCCCACAGGCTGCCTACCATGACCAGCCAAGCAGACATCACCCTGGGAGGGAGGTGGGAGGGGCCAAGGAAGGAATGGGCTCTGTCAGCGCCTCCCTCAGGCCTCTCCGCTCATCATAGTCGAACTGACCTTGAGTCACCCGTCCTTCTACTTGCTCACCAGTGGACACTCTAGTTACAGCCTCCTCGTCTCTGCACTCATTCCTGGGGGCTGTTGCATACCTGACTTTTTACATAATTCTAACATAGATTAGCTTTATAGTAGCTTCTAGCTCTACTGTCAAATGCAAATCCACATCAGAAAATATAATGATAAATAAAATACAAGTACTATCACAAAGTTCTAAAAACTAAAGCAAGTCAACTTGTTTTTAAAACAACTAAATCTCTATTGGAGGATTTTAAAAAAGGGTACACAACTCTGAAAATAATTATTTTGTGATATCATGTATATATTTCCGAGAACTACTTTTATCATAATTCAATTTACTGTTATGAGAAAGTGTTACGGGTTGAATCGTGTCTCCCTCCAAATGATATGTTGGAGTCCTAAAACCTCGGAATGTGACCTTCCTTGGAGAACGGGTCTTTACAGAGGTAATTAAGTTAAACGAGGTCATGAGGGTTAGCACTAAGCCAATATGACTAGAGACTGTTTAAAAACAAGAAGCTTGGACAAAGAAACACACGCACATAAAACTAGGCTGATGTGAATATAAACATGGAGAAGACAGCCATCTAGAAGCCAAGGAGAGAGGCCTGGAACAGATCCTTCCCTTCCCTCACAGCACTCAGAAGGAACCAGCCCTGCCGACACCTTGATCTTGGACTTCCAGCCTCCAGAATTGTGAGAAAATAAATATCTGCTGTTTAAACTAACCAGGCTGTGACTGTTTGTTACAATAGCCCTGTAAAACTAATACAGAGGGAAGAAAAAAAGAGAGAGTTTCAGACAGAGACAGAAATAAAGAGAGAAGGAAAAAGACTTATTTTAACAGGCTGTGTCTTCATCTAGATGAGTGATTCAAAGGCAAACACATAAGGGCCTACTCTTTATTTTTTTACATTGAGACAGGGTCTTGCTCTGTCACCCAGGCTGAAGTGCAGTGGTGCAATCACAGGTCACTGCAGCCTTGACCTCCCAGGTTCAAACGATACTCCCACCTCACCCTCCCAGGTAGCTGGGACTGTAGGTGCAGGCCACCATGCCTGGCTTATTTTTGTATTTTTTGTAGAGATGGGGTTTCTTCATGTTGCCCAGGCTGGTCTCGAACTCCTGGCCTCAAGTATCCTTCTGCTTCGGCCCCCCAAAGTACTGGGATTACAGGCATGAGCCACTGGCCCTGGCCCAGGCCTACTCTTAAAACCTCATTTAGCACACGTATTAGACACAATGGCTCCACTCCTAGAGGCTGACAGAAATTTCTAAGAGATGTGCAAATAAAACACAATTCCAGTTGAAAAGCAGCAGACTGCCCTCTAAAATCAGAACCTGGCCCTAGTCATGGTGGCCTAAGCCAGGGGCTAGGAGCCCAGCAATCCCTACCTTTTGGTAGTTCTCTTTGGAGCTCAGGGCTGCCTCCATTTGCTTGGCAGAGGTCGGGTAGATGGCCGAGCGGTACTGAGTGCCATGGTCGTTCCCCTGGCGCATACCTAGGAAAGCAGAAAACAGGGAGGGTTACCCGGTCACTAGGCGACAGTGCCAGTCTCAAACTGGGCACAATGCTGAGACATTTTGACACTTTTCATATGGTCCCTGTGCCTGATGTGTTGCTAAGTGCTTGTTTTAATTTTCTGTTTACAGCATTTTCTTTAAACAAGCATGAAATGTATCTGTTTTGATTTGCCTGTTTTAATTACAACAAGTATCTTTGAACTCAGGTAGATTTATCACAGGTCTTGGATCATACTAGATGTTCTATGAATACATACTTTTACATGAAATACTTAAACAACGATCTACTCCAATTGTCACATGTAATGCACTATGATACATATTATTTCCTTGGGTCCTAAGGAGATACCTGTATGGAAGGTTTCATCATCCCTCCCTTGGTGGATGAGGAAATGAGACAATGTCTGTGTAAATTCCTGGCACGGTGCTTGGCACATAGCAGGAGTCCTGCACCTATGACTAAAGTCACCTACCCATCTAGCCTGCAACTTAAAGTCAGCAAAGAGCATTTTCTGCCAGTCTCAGCAGCTGAAGGGTGGATGATAGTCAGTTTCTATCTGAGTGTGACAGTGCCCCAGAGTGAAACAGCCGCAGGGTTGCCACAGATCCCCTGTAGGCCACCATGTTGTGGTGAAAATGAACCAGGCACTGGGATTCAGGAATTGGACCCAGTAGCATGTTTCAGCTAGTCACATTCCTAATATAATCAGGGGAAACAGAGACCAGCAGGCATAAGCAAGAATTAGAGGTGTTAAGGGAAAATCTGTGCAGGTTAAAAAAAATGCAAGGTTTCAGAAAGGGAGTGGGTAAGTTCACGTGATCAGTGGGGAAGGGGCCTATGTCTCAAAGGCTGGATCAAGGAAGAGACTTGTCTTGGCAGCAGGTGGGTGCCAAGGGTGAAGGTAGAACAAAGGTGAGGATTGCGGAGCAGTGCGGTGCCTTCAGGGACTTGGAAGGAACTGCTACTGCTTGCAAAAGCAGCTGTAACCCAGGAAGCATCTGTGTCAAAGCCCTGATGCCCGCTTCTCAAGAGGATGAGCATGGTACCCTCAAGCGTGAAGCCCAGATGAGAAAGATGCTTCACTGGGAAAGATGACTGGAAACTCAACAGACTGAAAACCTAGAAGAAAGAACCAACATCCAGGAGCGGCTGGGAATACAAGAAGTGGCCCTGCTTGTCTACCCATTGAATCACAAAACAAACGAAATATTTGACTGTCATAAATTGATCTAAACAGGCTTTATAATGCTGTTCTCCAGAGGGCAAAATTAACCAAAATTATATTTTGAGATAGGACAGAAAAATGTTATTGATGATAGAATAACTCCTATATGTCTTTCCTCTTTCTGCAAATAAATATGTTCTCTCCAGCAGAAAGAATTCGTGTGTGTCAACTGTAGCCTCCACACTCTAGAGGCTACAGAAGAATTAGGTCATAATCCCTTGTCTCAAGGAATAACCAGGACGAGGGAGGGAGGGGTAAGAGTAGTCACGAGCCTGACACTGTACTTCCCTGTGCGAGGTCTTTGCCATCATTTCTTGTTTCATCCTCACATGAGCCCTGTGGAGAAGATATTCTTAACCCTCTTTGACAAAAAGGAAATTATGGATCAGAGACATTCAGTGACCCACCTGAGGTCACATAGCAGGTAAATGGCCATCCTGCGATTTAAACTTTGATGGCCCCGACACCAAAGCCCTTTCTCCTTCCAAAATGGATGCATGAGAAGTTACAGCAAAATAATCGAGGACAATGGAACAAAGTGCTTCTGGATGTAGGGTACCTGCTGGGGAGGGGGCATCCCAGCCCAAGGCCCAGAAATAAGAACAAGCTTGGAACGTTCTGAGGACTGTGAAGAGGCAGGACAAGGTCTGACAAGGGGCCTGGTGGGTCCTGAAGCTGGTGGGTTGGGCGTGTAACCACATAGGTATCTTGACAAGTCACGGTGGGGACCAGAGATGCGTGGAAAGATCAGACTCCCATGAGCTACAGTATTTTCTGGAACCCTGAGTGAGCATAATCACCAAGCAATGACCCAGAGCCCCCTTTCCCACAGATGCAACAAGTGTTGCAAAGTTCACTGTGCCCTCCACTTGGCTTTTGAAAAACTATGAGGAAAAATTATTGACACTATTTGGCTGTCTTGATGTACCAGGAAAGCAAGCAGTGGACTTTCAGTGTTGAGTGGAAAGAGAATTACTGGCTCAGAAACAACACCTTGTGCTTAAAATGCTTCCATAGTACTCTATAAACTGATTAATGAGGACTGGGCTTTGGGGCATTCTTGATGAGAACTGACCTCCTGACATCTACCAACTGCTTGAGATTTCTCCATCCACTTTCTCCAAAGAAGATTTTAAAGGGACAAACAACCCTAAGACTGCTCTGAGGTTTCTCTCCCTCTCGGCAGAGCCAGAGGAAGCAGAGGAAAACAGAAACGCTTCATCTATAATGAAGCATAAGATGATGACTTCTCCTCTGCTCAGAGGGCCTCCTAAGCCTCAGCTCATCTTTGGGTACCAACTCTGTTTTATCCATCCTGATTGCAGACGTGATAAATGTGTCTGAACATGAGAACTTTAAAGGGAAGTTTATGCTAAGAGTTGTTGCTAGGTGATCACTTTACGAGGTCCCAGGAGTTACCGGCTGACAGTGAACATCAGGACAAGTCAGGAACAACGCCTCAGGGTCTGAAATCGCTATCTCTATCTTAGGGAGCTTTGCGGGAGCAATCTCATTAGCAGGACTGTCCATGTTGGTTGAAAACAGAGTGACTCCTACTAGCATGACCTCCACATTCTTCTCTTCTATAGACTGCTGCTAAGAGAAAACGGATCCTGCCTTACAGTCTGCTGCACCAAAGGCTACCTGCATGCTGCAGTGGCACAGGAAGACCACCAGGGATGCTGGCATTGCTGGGAGAGCTCACCCAGGTGCTGCTTCGGGGTGGCCTCCTACCTTCTGCTGGAAAGTAGGGTCTCTGTGAAAAAACATGCCATGGTGTCCCGAAGTCCTCCCCTAGGTGGATGAGCCTCTATCCTTCACAGTGAAAGATGGCACTTCTTATTATCCAGGTGACACCTCCTGGTGCACCTTGCCTTTACCTTAGGTGTTTGAGACAAGCCCTATGAATATAACCATCTCACTTTATCTGAGAACTTAATCCTGTCCATTTTAACTGACAGCTCATTTTTAATTTAAAACACTGAATAAATGAATGGACAGCCCTCCTTTCATCAAAAGGGAGGAAGGGAGAGAGGGAGGGGGAGAAGAGGAGGAGGAAGGAGAGAGAGAGAGAGAGAGAGAGAGAGAGAGAGAGAGAGAGAGAGAGAGGGATCATCAAAGTAGCTAAAAATCCTATAGTTCTCACTATGTCCAGGCACTGTGCTTTACTACGTTATTCACCCAATTCTGCAAATACTTGGAGGATATTAGTAAACCCATATCCCTGCCCTCTCCCACTGCCAAGGTGAAACTGACACTCCCTCAAAGGTGAAACTGACACTCAGAGAGAGGCTGGTTGCCTGTTGAAGGCCAGTGCTGCATCTGGAACCATCTAACTCCAAAGTCCATGATCTTAACCACTATTATTCCGATTTGTAAATATATATAATTTAAGTAAAAAAAAAAAAGGTGGAATATAGGGATGTATGAAAGATATTATGTGGCTCTCTTCTAAAAGGAAGACAGCCACACAATACGGTCACTATCTATCACCTGCACAATGTTCTTTGCATTTTTTCACGCAGTGCATCTCAAGGGAGATGAAATAGTGTTGCTTTTTAACAGAGGTGCCACATATTTATTCCATATCTAAAAGCAAAAAGAAAAATGAAAGATCCTGATTTTCAGTAAGGAGTACACATTACTTCTATAGTCATAAATTATTTTGACAAGATGTGGTGATTTCTTCATGAAAGGTCAAAAGTTATCATAGTGTGAATTTTGTTTGTGTAAAAGGGAAATTCTATTTATGGTGGCCAAAGAAAATCTTTTTACTTATTATGCGTCCTAGAATGTCTTTTGGGACTCCATGTCTGTTTATGTTCTAAAATCCCAAGTTTGGCCAAATAATGAAAATATTAGAAAACGTTCAAAATAGTAAAATTTTTAGGTCATCATTGCAAGTCCAAATCTTAAAGTTTTACAGCCAAAGTGCCCCACTATATGAGATTTACAACATGCTTACATTGAAATCAGTACCAAGCACACATGTGCACACACATTTACAAAGCTAGTCCATCATGGATAGTGTTCATATTAGCAGAAGTAGCAATCGACATATTATACCTTTGTAGTTTCCAGATTTAATTACAGAAAAGTACATAAGACATAAATGTACAAAGGTACATAAAATAGATACGCACAGTTAAGTGTCTACTATTACTCTATTTATAATTAGTGATTATAAAGTGAATACTCACATCACCACCACTAATGTCAAGAAAGAGAGTACAGCCAAGTACCCTTGAGAGTCTTCCATGTGTCTCTATTGATGACAATGCCTTCCCTCTCTCTGGTTGTACCACACCTGGTTTTTGCAATAATTTCTTTAGCACACGGACACATTCAGAATAAACCTAGTTTAGTTTGGCCTGTGATATGGTTTGACTGTGTCCCCTCCCAAATCTCATCTTGAGCTGTAGCTCCAATAATCCCCACGTGTCATGGGAAAAACCTGGTGGGAGGTAACTGAATCACGGGGGGCAGGTCTTTCCCATGCTGTTCTCATGACAGTGAATAAGTCTCATGAGATCTGATGGTTTTATAAAGGTCAGTTCCCCTACACACACTCTCTTGCCTGCTGCCATGTAATAAGATGTGCCTTTGCTCCTCCTTCGCCTTTGGTCATAATTGTGAAGGCTCCCCAGCCATGTGGAACTTGGGGTCCATTACACCTCTTTTTCTTTATATATTACCCAGTCTCCGGTATGTCTTTATTAGCAGCATGGGAATAGACTAATACAGCCTATTTTTAAAATTAATATAAATGCAATTATACTACAGTTTGAATCTTTCACTTACAATTATGATCATGAGGTCCTTCCATTTTCTTCATTTTCATGGCTTCATAATATCCCATTGTATGAATGCACCACAATGGATTTATACATTCTACCCTTAATGAACATTACCAGCCTGGGGCTGTAAAGAACATTCTTGACATGTATTCTCTTATACATATGCATGAGTTTCTCTTGAGTACATACCTAGAAATAGAATTGTTGCTGTATAGTGTTTGCATGTCTTCAACTTAACTACATGCTGAACTATTTTTCCAGAGTAGTCGTACCAATTTACAAAACCACATGACTGCACAAGAATTCCTGGAGCTCTAAATGCTTGCCAATTCATTAAAGTCTGCTAATGTCAGATTTTCACTTTTTGTCAGTCTGCTTGGTGTGTAATGGAATCTCACTTGATCTTAATTTGCATTTTCCAGATTAATAACGTTAATTATCATTTTATGTTTCTTTGCCACAATTCAAGTCCTTTGCCCATTTTTTCTCTCAGCAGTCTGTCTTTTCTAAAAAAAAATACTGCACATACATTTAAGTCTATTTTTTATATATTCTGAATACTAATCCTTTATCAAATATAATCTCTCTGTTCTTGGCAATTTGTTATTTTTTATTTTTCTTTTTTTCTGTTCTTGGCATTTTCTTTATGATGCTTTTTGATGAACCAAAGTTGTCAGATTTTGATATAGTTAAATTTGTCAAATATTTTTCCTTTACGGTTAGTGCTTTTGTGTCTTGTTTAGGAAATGCTTCCGAAACCCAAGGTCATGAAAATTATCTACTTGAAATTTCGTACGTTTGCCTTTGACATTTATGTATTCAATCTACTTGGAATTGATTTTTGTGTATGGTGTGAGGCAGAAATCCAATTAACTTTCTTCCTATAAGAAAATTATCTTATCACTATTGATTAAGAAGCCATTATTTCCCCAGTACTATGAAATGCCAACTGTGTCATTTGTCATACTTTGACATGAGTGGGTCTGTTTCTGAACTCTCTATTCATTTGTCCCTACATCAGATACACAATGTCTTAACAGCTGTAGCTTTATAATGACTCGATATCTGGAAGAATAAGTCCTCTCATCCTCTTGTTCTTATGCAAGTATCTTTGCTTTTCTTGGACTTTTGCATTTCCCTATAAATGTCGAGATTAGCTTTTAAGATCCACAAAAACAACAACACTGACGACAACAACAACAAAACTGTTGGGATCTCATTTGGATTTGCACTGAATTCATAAAACAATTTGGAGAGAATTGGTGTGTTTACCAACCATAAACAAGACCCAATATTAGATCTTCCAGCTGCCTAACTACTAAGCCAATGCCATGTTTTTTTTTGTTTGTTTGTTTTTTGTTTTTTTTTTTTTAGATTTTTTGGTAGCACTCCACTTCAAGGTACCAGTTCCTGGTAAATAAGTAAACCCTGAAATTCCAGTGGGTGGACATAATAGAAGTTTCTTTCATAATCATGCAAAGCAGTTAATAAAAAGGAGATGGTAACAGTTCTACTTCATGAACTCTTCAGGGGCCTAGGCTGACAGAAGCTTCACCACCTTCAATATGTTGCTTCAAAGGTTTCCCTTGGCATTAGCATTCAGCAGGCAGACTGAATATAGAGAGAGAAGTTCACAGATCATGCAGCAGGTTTTTCTGAGCCAGGTCTGGAAGCAGCATATGTCACTTCTTCCTCATTCCACTGGCCAGAACTCAGTCACATGACCACTTCAAGGGAGAAGAGGAATGGTGTCCGGCTGGGGAAAGATAAATAGGTATCTAGTGGATTTTTCAATCAGCATACATGTATTCTTTCCTTGACTTACTGCATGAGCTAGGACCCCCACTCCAATGCTGATTAGAAATTGCAATGGCATTCTCTGTAGTTTCTCAATGCATCATTATTAAATACAATGCTTGCTATAGGCTTTTGCATGTACTCCTTATCAGAATAAGAAAGTCATCTTTTATATGTGTTTTTAAATCATTTATGAATACTGAATTGTATTCAGTACTTTTTAAGCATCTATTTCAATAATCATACATGTTTTTAAAATACCTGCTAAGGTGGTTAATTACATGGGCTAATACTAAAGTGCTAAACTAAGCTTGTGTTCGTTGGAGGAAACTAAAATTGGTCATGATGTATTATTTTCTTATATACTATTAAATTCAGTTTGCTAATAGTTTGCGTAGGATTTCTGCAAATATAGTCATAAGTAAGATTGTCCTACAATTTTCTTTTCTTACATAGTTAAGTTTTGGTATCAAGACTATGCAAGGATCATAAGATGGACTGCATCTCTCTCTAATCTCTTGAAAACATTATGAAAAACTGCAATTATTTCTTCCTTAAATGTTGGGAGAACTCACTGATGAAGCCAGTGGTGTCTTTATTCAGTTTTATTAAACTATATTTTTAAAGAATGTATCTAACTTTTCAAATTTATTGACACAAAGTTGCTTATCATATCTTCCTGGTTTCTGTAAAATCTCCCACATCTGTAGTGATATCCCACTTTTTATTCCTAATGTTGTATATTTGTGTCTTCTCACTTTTTCCTTGAACAACTTCCCAGAGCTTTATCAATTTTGTAGCCATTGTGAAATATCGACTCTTGGCTTTTTTGATCTTCTGTTTGTTTGCTTCCCATTTCATTTCTTTCTGCCCTTCATTATTTATTTTATACTGTTTGGGTTGAATTTGTTGCTGATTTTCTAAGTTCTTGAGATGGACGCTTAGCTCAGCTTCTTTTCTCTTCTAATATATGAATTTAAGGCTCTATATGTCCCTCTGAGAACTGCTTTACCTATGCCCTATCGATTTTAACATACAGTATTTTAATTATCATTTGATTCAAAGTATTTTACAATTTCCATCATGATTTATCTTTGATAACTAGGATATTCAGATTTGTTTTTTTCAGGCAAGCTCTTGCTCTGTTGCCCAGGCTGGTGTGCAGTGGCACAATCATGGCTCACTGCAGCCTCAACCTCCTGGGCACAAGCACCCCTCCCACCTCAAACTCCTGAGTAGCTGGGACTACAGGGATGTGCCACCATGCCCAGCTAGTTTTTTTGAAATTTCTTGTAGAGATGGAGACCTCACTATGTCACCCAGACTGGTCCTGAACTCCTGGATTCAAGTGATCCTCCCTCCTTGGCCTCCCAAAACGCTGGTATTACAGATGTGAGCCATAATGCCTGGCCAGAAATTTTTAAATTTTCTAACATAAGACGATTTTCTGAATACTTGCATTATGGTAAGAGAAAAAAAAAGCTACATGATTTTAATCCCTTTGAAACATACTGAGCCTTTTATGGCCTGGAATATGTTCCTTGTGTGATTGAGAAGAAGGCGCCCCCCCAGGTGTGGGGTACAGCATCTTATGTCCACTGGGTCAAGTGCTGGAATTGTGTCGGTCACTCCCTCTACGTCCTTAATAAGGCTCTCAAAGCTCGCATTTTCTGGGATTAACAAGTTTGCTCAGAATAAAGATATATCTAATCCTCTGCTTACCTGTCTGGGTTCCTGTGTTGCCTTCCATTTTAACCTGGTTAATTCCTCATAGTTCTGTCAGCCCTTTGATGTGATGCTTTATATATATAGTTGTATTTTATTCAACATTTGGAGCTGCTTTCAGTGGGCAATTTGGTCTGAATAACTCAGCCTGCCATTCCTGGAACCTAGAAATCCTAGTTCCTGCCAGTGTTACCAGCTCTGATTTTTCTGTGACCTAATTCAGTACTCTTTTATGTGAAGTCTAGTAATTCTTCTGACTTCATTTCTTTTTAGTGATTTCATACCATTTCAGCAATTTATTCAAATTCTAAATGACCTAACCATTACTATCTAAGATATGTGAAACTCTTCCTGGCTAAAAGTTTTCAAAAGCCTGATTATTTGGACTTCTTCATCTTGCAAATCCTTAATAGGATTATAAAATTGTAATGGACATCACAAAGAGTTTAAAATCATCGGATAATGTGCTGCTGTTTCCAGTGGGTCATGTTTTCTGCTTTCTGATAGAATTGTGTAGCACTGTGGGGCCATGTGCTACCCAACAGAAAGAACATCAGGCTTCGATTTTAGCCCTGAAGTCCGAATTCCACCTCCGTCAAGCAATGTAGTAAGTGGCTTGTGCCAAATCACTTCACCTCACTGGGCCTTTCTGTTCCTCTACAAAATGGGTCTAAGGTTCATAGGTTGCTTTAAGGAGCAAATGGGATCACGTACACATGAGCACTTAGCATTGCGCACAGCTCAGGAAAGACCTTCAGTAAGAGTCTGTCACTCAGAGTGCAGACACCAAACCCTTGTAACACTAGAAAGGCAAAGGAAAAATGTTAAATAGAAGCTTTATAGTATTATATGACAGAAGGATTTAAAAGTGCAAATAACACTTTTGCAAACAGCAAAGATACTATGAACACGTATGATAATGTGATAGAAGGGAAAGTGTGACTGAAAGAACAATTAATAAAAATATCAGTTAAATTCTTTTGTTTCATTTTTCTCTGTTTCTGAAATTCTTAAAAGAATGAAATCCCTTTCAGAATTCATAATGCTGGGTTTGGGTAGCTTTTGCATTTTATATGTGTGCAGCTGTTCTTCCAATCCGAGTCTGCACATCTGCTCATTAGCAATACAATATCATTCCCACTGTCTAATTATTTGCAGATGATAGATTCCTTGTATATGGTCTAAAAAAGGATAGTCCTTCAAAACTGGTGACTTATTTTAAAAAACTAACTTCAAGGGGTCAGCACAAGGAAGTTCAGATATTAATCTGGCAAGTTCAAATATACGAACGACAGTATTTTATTGCCAAGTTGATGGGGAACAGAAGGAAAATAGGATTTGTCTCCCTTCAATGAATGTTTCCCAGTAGACAGCACAGGGGACCTGCTTCTCCACAGTGCACCTGGAAAGAGGCTCGGGAGCCAACCTCCTGAACACGGAGTGGACCTATCCCACCCGATTCCCTGGGACCACCTGGAAAAAACTCGCCTGGAGCAGGGCTTTGTGGTGACTGCACACGTCTGGCAGGGAAGCCCATGCAGCCCAAGGACACCAAGTAGAGAAGAGTCCTTGCAGGCTCTCTAGTTCCAAGCACAGGCTGAGGAGCCCCACAGAATCCCCAGCTCACGGTAAGGCCAGGATGTGTGGCCCTGGGGCCCCAGGAAACCCAACAGCATAGACGGTGCAGCCCACGGGGGGCAAACCAGACCAAGCCTTCTGAGGACAACTGGGAGCTGTGCTGCAGGTGGAAAGGGGTGAAGAGGAGCTGATTGAGGATAAAGGGTGTGAACCAAGAATAGGAAGCCATCAGGGGTAATCAGAACATGAGCTGAGGAAAAATGATAGAGAACAAGCAGACAAATACTGGGATTCACGAAAGAACAAGACAAACAAACAGCAGCTGGTGATGGAAACGGCCCTTCCACAGGCGGCATGAGCACGACAGCTATTAGAGCCAGCGCTTATTCCGCACCAGGCGCCACGCTCTGCACGGCAGGCTCCGCGCCCGTGTGCGCCCCGACACTGAGAAGGCACAAACTATTACAGATGCAGAAACAGAGGTTCACTCACTAGTTCAATGAGAAAACATTTAATACAAAGCCCACCTTCTAGAGGAGTCAGAGAATAAGCAATAAACAATTAAACATGTGATTTTACCTCATGATGAGTTAGGAAGCAAGGAGAGAATGATAGTACAGAAGTTCATGGGGGTGAGGGCTGGGACTGCTACTTTAATTAGGGTGGGCAGGGAAGACCTTTCTGAGGACGATATCTTCAGCTGAGACTTAAAGGAGAAGGAGCCAGTCACATAGTTCTTGCTCTCCTCGATCCTGGAGCAAGGAAGAGCAACATTTACTAAGCACCCCTTAGGGGCCAGTCTTAGTGGCAGATGTTTTATAATCCTAATTCCATTTAATCCTGACTATAACCCTATGAAGTAGGCATCACTGACTTTGCTTAGCAGAAGAGAAGCAATGAGGTTCCAAAGACTTGCAGTCTTGCCTGATGTTGGTGGCAGACCAAGAGCTATGGACAGGCTAAGCAGTAGGAACAGTGTGCGAGGCAAGAAAGAGCTCAAGTCTTCCAGGAATGGAACAGATGAAGGCGACAGTAACTGAAGCACAGTGAGCATGGATGGGGCATAGTCTGGGGAGAACTGTGGTATGAGCCAAAGTTGGAAAGGCAAGTGCCAATCAGGTAATCCCAGGCCACACTGGCCACTGTAAAGAGTCCGGATCTCATCCCAAAGAAATCGGGCAACCGGCAAAGTGCTTTAAGCCAGAGGGGGCCACAGCTGGTTTTGTGTTTTTAACAGGGCATTATGGAGCAGGGAATGAGAAAGGGTGAGACAGGCCAGTTAGTAGACTACTGGAGGACCTACGTGGTCAAGTGGATAGAGAGAAATGAGGCCTGTCCGCACAGCGAGTGCCGGGCCGATCTGGTTCACAGCCATGACATCTCTGACCCCAGGGTCCACACTCTTAACAACAGGTTTGATTAAAGACGTTTTAATTAAGGGAACACTGCAATTAAGGCTTTCAGAAGGGTAACTGGGAGTTCATCACCAGCTTATAGTTGAAGGCTGTGTTAGTCAAGACATAGGTTCAGCTGCTGTAGAAAATGAGAATAAGAAGGCTTCAATGAACCACAATAGCAGTACTTTAAACAAGAGTTCTTGCCTAAAGATCCAGCCTGGGATGGTGACTCTGGCTCCTTAGTCTCACAGCTCTAGCAGCACAAGGGTCAGGCTCCATCCCTGGGCTTCGTGATGGTCCACCACTTCAGCCCCACACTAACTTGTGGGAAGGGAGGAAGTGGAAGAGAATGCCCCTTCCTCTAAGGCCACAAACCCAGAAGCTGCACGCTGTCACTTCTACTAAGGCCCCCATAGTCAGAATTTAGACATGTGGCCATACTTAGCTCTAAGGTGTCTCAGGGATTTTGTCTTTATGGGTGGCTGCACACCAGCTAAAATTCTTAAACTACACAGGTGGGGGAACCCTAATATTGGGGTCAACCAGCACTCTCAGCCAGAGGCCTCTGCAAAGGCCACTGCTCCCCAAGGAGTATACCGGAGCAGTTTCCAGACCACAGTCCTCTGGGAAGGCTTGGAGTTGCCACAAAAGCTCCACGCATCCAACTGTGCAGCAGGCAAGATCTAGAGCCTGGAGAATGCATTATGTGTACAATAGTTCCCTTTTCCAGAAGTACATGATGTGGAAGTGGTGAATATGATAGGCATGCAATTTAAAGTATAATTAAATCCATGGTAGCATTTTAATATATTTGCTTTTTTAAATGTACTAAAAGCCCAATTGTTATCACTGGAGGATCCATAAAAATGTGCACCCCAGCTGGGCGCAGTGGCCACCTCTGTCATCCCAGAACTTTGGAAGGCTGAGGCAGGTGGATTGCTTGAGCCCAGGAGTTCCAGACCAGCCTGAGCAACATGGCGAAATCCATCTCTACCAAAAATACAAAAAATAAGTTGGGCATGGTGGCGTGCACCTGTCATCCTAGCTACTCAGGAGGCTGAGGTGGGAGGATGTCTTGAGCTTGGGAGGCAGAAGTTGCAGTAAGCCAATTGTGCCACTGCACTCCAGCCTAGGTGACAGAGCAAGACCATGTCTCAAAAAAAAAAAAAAAAATGTGCATCCTTAGAAGAGGTCTTCCTAGTCAGGAAGCTTGGATTCCTCTAGTGTATGGAAAAGAAAATAGACCTGAGCTTTAGACAGAGCTGCATCCAAATACCGCCACTAACATTAAGCAAGATTATGAGTCTTTTGGAACCTCATTGCTCCTCTTCTGCTAAGCAAAGACAATGATCCTTACTTCACAGGGTTATGGTCAGATTTAAATGCAATTAGGATTATGAAACATCTATCGCTAAGACTGGCCCCTAAGAGGTGCTTAGTAAATATTGCTCTCCCTTGCTCCAGGACTGAGGACAGCAAGATGGGTTGCAACTGAGAAATCAGATTTAGTGGGTGAAGTCACACAAAACTGAAGACCCTCTGCCTGGTGTACCTGTGGCTTGGCTCGAGGCACTCAGTCTGTGCCCCGAGTCCCACGCAGGACTAGGAGGTCTGAATTGTGTTATTCATGCACAGGTCATTCTAGTTAGGAGGATACAGACCAGCCATGAAATGCTGGGAACCTGATCCAGTTCTTTAGATTACTCTGTGAGAAGAAGCCTTAAGGAGGCTTTTGAGCAAGGATCCACCAGCCTCATCACCACTGTCAGCACCAGCAAGGTCCCAGAAGACAACATAAACAATGCTGAACTCTTTCCAACCAATGCAAGAGACACAAGAATCTCGGTGGGTAGAAAACCCACACTTTAGTAGATGGAGGGTAAATACTTACCCAGACAAAGAATCAAGGGCAACACAGATGTAAGAATAAATGTAAAATTAAAATCTGATGGAATTGTATTGTTGTGTTGAAAAAGACGTAACAACAATACCTGGCACTGGCATGGCACCTATACCATTTTCATGTTATTTTCACACTATTTTATTTAATTCCTACATCAGACCATTAAGTCGGCAGTATAGACATTATTATCCCTTTTTCTGTAGATGAGAAAAATGGAGGTTCAGGTTGGGTAAGTGTCCTGGCCAAAATCATGTGGTTGGGAAGGGGCCAACCAGGGACCAGAACTCAAAACTCCTAAATCTCAGGCACCCACCACGTTGCCTGGAGACAGTGGGAGTCTGGGTACCCCATGGCCAGGAATGTACACCTGCCAGTCTATCCTCAGAAGCCTAAAGGAACTATCTTCATCCCATGAGTAAGAAAGAAGGCCAGAATAGAACCTATTGGCTTAAACAGTGGGATTCAAATGTTTCAGCAAAAGTAGAGGTTCTGTGGTAATTGGTAAATTAAAAGAAAAGACTATTCCACTTACTGACCACATGAGTAATGATGCTAGCATGTCTGTCATTCCTCCTTAGGCTAATCCGTGGAGTGGCATCCTCTTCAGACTCACTGTCTAGTGGCTGTGGAATAACAGGTCTCGGGCCTCACCTATACCTTAAAAAGCCTACACCTTCCAATCTCTCACTTACCAGCTTTGCTCCCTCCAAAATGGCAGAAGGCTAGGCACAGTGGTTCATGCCTTGTGGCCTGTAATCCCAGCACTTGGGGAGGCCGAGGTGGGCGAATCATGAGGTCAGGAGTTTGAGACCAGGCTGACCAACATGGTGAAACCCCATCTCTATGAAAAATACAAAAATTAGCTGGGTGTGGTGGCGGATGCCTGTAATCCAAGCTACTCAGGAGGCTGAGGCAGGAGAATCACTTGAACCTGTGAAGCAGAGGATGCAGTGAGCCAAGATCGCACCACGGTACTCCAGCCTAGGCAACAGAGCAAGACTCCATCCGGAAAAAAAAAAAAAAAAAAAAAAGGAAGAAAACACATGGGGACTTCATCTAGATGTCCATTAGGGCAGATACTATGAG
Organism: Homo sapiens; assembly: GCF_000001405.40. Taxonomy (NCBI): domain Eukaryota; kingdom Metazoa; phylum Chordata; class Mammalia; order Primates; family Hominidae; genus Homo; species Homo sapiens. The sequence goes on from NW_018654717.1 coordinate 3,041,699, forward strand.
AGCTGCTTCAGCACCTTGAAGCAGGAAAGAACATGCTGAATGTTCTCTGTTTAGCCTATGCCATGAAGATCTGATTTAACTGAAAGGGGACTCTAAGCTTACATTCTTGCTGTTTCTACTACAGTAAGACCATTGACATCAGCAAGAATCTCCACATTTGCAAATATCACTGTAGATACTGCTTCTCCTATAAAATGCAGTGAATTATAACCAAAAAAATTTAAGGCCCCTTCAAGTCCTTAATGACTTTACAAAAAGGTACTAAAATCTTTCAACATGCTAATTAAAATACATTTCTCTTGAGTCACATTTCTGTGGAAATCATGTTTCCTGGGCGCATCTTCACATCAAATGTCAATGACTTTTCAACTTCTACACAAGTTTTGTCTTTTTGTTGATAAGCAATTCTGGCACAGGCAAGAGCATTGCTCGAGTAGTTTTAGTAATCACTTTTGTTTCTGAAAAGAACCTGGAGTGGACTACTGCCTCACAGATCAGAATCACCACCAAATCCAACCTGCTGCTCTCTTTCAAAATGTCCATTTTCTGAGTAAGAACAGTCAGTCTTACATATCTTCACCACCCTCATCTTCTCTAGTGGCGGCTTTCTTTTCAAGACCAACTTTTACTGTGAAACGTGACAGGTTGCCATGTGACCTCAAGTAGAGATTTAGGCAGCTGTGGTCAGATGTGGTGAGTGAGTGATAGCCAAGTTCATTTGTAGCCTGGCTCTCCCCTGCCTCTGGTCCATCCTTCGAGGAGCAGGCTTCAAATTCTGACCTTGGAAAAATGACACTTGACATGTGTCACTGTTTTTGGACCTTCAGGGTTCCCCAGGAATATCAACTCCATTGATACCAGAGTTATTCTGAACTTAAGGGTTGGTTATTGTTTGTTTTTTGCCTTTAATGTTCAAGTGCTAACACATACTTGTTTTAATGATTTCATGTTAACATTTAGCCTGTGGTCTTATGCGCATTTATCTGTATGCTCACTTGATCTCAGCATATTGGAATTAATTATTTTCTTCCTGTAGGAATATATTTTCCATGTGCATTAACCAAGAGGCCGGATACTCGTGCGTATCCCAGATGCCTTAGTGATTTAGTACACCTGGTGGCTAGGCGCAGTGGCTCACGCCTGCAATCCCAGCACTTTGGGAGGCCAAGGAGGGTGGATCACTTGAGGTCATAAGTTCAAGACCAGCCTGGCCAACATGGTGAAACCCCAACTCTATTATAAACATGAAAAATTAGCCAGGTATGGTGGCATGCACCTGTAATCCCAGCTACTCAGGAGGCTGAGGCAGGGGAACTGCTTGCACCTGGGAGGTGGAGGGTTCAGTGAGACGCGATCACGCCACTGCACTCCAGCTTGAGCAAAGGATTAAGACTCAGTCTCAAAAAAATAATAAAATAAAAAACAAAAACAAAAAATAAAAGGGCACCTGGCAAATATAATGGGCATAAGATTGTTTGGATTGAATGGGTGGATTAGTAAGGATTTTTGTTACTGTTACATGTAATAGAAACTAAAAAACTAGCTTAAGAAAAACAAAGCCAGCTGAGTAGAGGTTCCTGACGGAGGATCTCTCGCCCTACCCTTAACTAACCATCATCCCCTGCCCTTCCTTACCTCTTCCTCACCTGTGGGGAGGCCACTGACCTATGGAAAGAGATGGTCCATAAGAGAGGCAGAAGGGTGGGGACCACAGATTGGAGGGGTCCTGGGGCAGTCAGGGTTGCCCTGGTGTTGATGAGTGGTTCTCTGAATTCATCTGGGGAGACTGGATCACGCTACAACCTTAGCCATGCCCTTGCCTTGTTTTGGTCTCCATATTACCACCTATGATGTGAAGATCTGGAAAATCTTTTTTAACCCCAGAGATGCCACCATTACAAACACAGAGCCCATAGAAGGCCAAATGATGAACAGAGAGGTGAGTTCTCCCAGCCCAAACCCTCATCATAGTAGTATTCCCCCCGAGGTTCAGGGGCCGGTATTAGCAACCCAATTAATCAATGAAGATGTGATCAAATGAAAGCATTTAAGAGCGGTATGGAGAGAGAAGTTGACGACAGACTTGGCCTTCTTTACAATTCTGCCAGGCCTAAGCCTAAGGAGATTCTATCAGGACGTGGCATTGCAGTTGGCCACATTAAAGGACACAGACCCGACCTGTCACCTACATGCCTTCAGGCCTTGCCTGGGCCTCTGATACATGTCTTCACTGATAATTTTGGAGCTCTTATCATCTTCCTCTGACCCTTGACTTTGACAGTCAAATGGCTGAACGTCTGCTCCATCTGGATTGATGACTTACCAGAAGGAGCGACTGGCTGTCACCACCCTGATTTATGATCCTCACTGCAGAGCTTCCTGCAGAACCAAAGCAATCTAGGCCCACAGACCTGCCTTCCCACATGAAGTGATGTCCCATATCCCAAGCTAGGGTGACACGTGAACCTTCTGATTAGAGTGTTCTTGTCCTACCGGTTCTTTCCCTACCCTGCCCCATACCTCATCCCTCTTCCACCAGGTACCCATTCCCCCATGTCAAACCAGACTTTGTGGTCATGGAAATCGTGCCCCCGGCCTCCTTCCTAGGCCCAGACCTCTAGGCCCCCATCTGCCCTGATAGATCTGCGTGGATCCTGAACCTGCCTCACCCTGCTCGAGTTTGTCACTTTGCTGCTCTTGCCTCATCTCTGACCTTTGCCCTCTGGCAAAAAGCCCTAGAATGGGATGGTTCTTAGAACCAGCACTCAGGACCCACCAACCTGTGCTGCTACAGGCATATGAAGATTCCACCATGAAGCACAATTTACATTTGGAGAAAAACTTCACTCATCAAGAAATAACACTGCATATCCACTACACAAAAATCTGACACCAAAGAGAAAATACTTTGGTGAAATAGACTGACTGCCAAATGAAGAGGGTTTGTGAAAAACCACATCTATTGCATAGGACTTTTCAGTTCATAAGCTGCATAATATCAGATCATCACACTGGCAAAGCAGGGCCTGCAAGGCTGCTGGGATGCGATCTTGAAATTGCTTCATTATTGAATATTACAATGATATTTGCCAACATGGAATATTTCACTTGTGTATGCATTCAAATAAAATTTCCAACCACCATTGTTTATAGCCCAAATATATTAATATCTCCACATAACAAATTCCAAAGAGAACAAATGAAATATTTAAATGAGCAAGCTTTGTGGACCTAGTGAATACTGCATTTTACCTTTATGTTCTTCTTTATCACCACATACATTTTTTTAAAAAAATCCAACCTGATAACGTCAAAAGACGAGAAAGGCTAAACTCAGAGAAATAAAGAAACCATAAATCAGGAATCTTTGGAGCTGCTGGAAAGACACTTTAATTTTGTAGACAAAAGACTGCATTAAGGAGGAATAATGCAATAATCAAAGGTGAACGGATCGCTATTGTCTGGCGTCTTCCTCTGTGGGAATTTTCCCACCCCTGACAGCTGTAAGGGGGGCAGGGGCGCCGAATGTGGCTGTGCCTTTATTCTCTCACCCTTTTTCTCCCCAGCCCCTCCTCTCCTCCGTCAATAAATGTCTGCAATCATATTCTTGAGCTCCTGTGTGATTTCAAGGTTCATCTCTTCCATGCAGCTCAAACACTAATTATCCCAGCTGTAATTAGTAAGATAATTAAATACTGGCTCACTCATCACTCTACCTTGGGTCGGGTCGTGATTCTCCCAGAAGACCTTGAGCAGTTCCTCAAAACTCATGTGTTCTGGCTGGTACACCACTCGGACGACTTCTGCATGGCCAGTTTTTTCTTGGAAAAAACAAAACGTACAACCGAAATTTACTGACAACATCCATTTATTGCAAGTTTTTTGTTCACAAAAAAAACAACAGACAAAAGCTGAAACTCTACCCTGTGAAGGAAGAATGGAAGGAGGATTAGACTTTAGCTAAGAGTCTCTCTCAAGGCTCTGTTACTGGTTCTTTTTCCATAAAAGCATACAGTTCTCTTCCAGGGAGCTTGCTGCGATGACTTCTACATTGTGCTCTAATAAATTGTTTTAAGTTCATGAAAAAACAAACGTGGGTTTTCAGGTTTCTAAGCTCACTCAGGAAACCTTATGGATCCACCCTGACATAGCGCTCAAGAACTGAAACTCTGCAAAGGGAAAGAGCCAATTTATTTTTATCATCACTCCATGCTATATGTAGTGAGCTCAGCTGCACCACAGTGAGATGGTGCCAGGGAGAGAAACCTGTAAAAAACAGGCTGATCACTCGTTCACATGAGATCAGTGAGTTAAGGAGGGACATACGTGCTGTGCTGTTAACACTGGGACAAGGGTCAGATTTAAATACCCAGCAGGGTGGTAAGTGTTTTCCCAGCCTAATTCTTCTCTGTGGTAAACAATGATGGTGACATATGTCTACTTGCAGGATCCTCTGTAAGTAGGCCTGTTCTCAGTGGTGGTCCTGGAGGTTTGGTGGATCAGGGGTGGGTATTTGCAGTACTGCTTGTACCTGTGAAATTCATGTCCTTCTTTCTTTTATAGTCTTAGAGCATGGCAAATAAGAGATCCCTCCATACTAAGATCACTAGGCTATATAAATTTTTTATCTATCTGTTTTCAGTCACCTTATGTGTAGTAAAGAATTTGGCAAGCTGGGCATGGCAGTTCACTGTAATCCTAGAACTTTGAGAGGCCGAGGAGGGTGCATCACCTGAGGTCAGGAGTTCGAGTAGCCTGGCCAATCTGGTGAAACCCCATCTCTACTGAACAAAAAAATTAGCTGGGTGTGGTGGTGGATGCCTGTAATCCCAGCACTTTGGGAGGCCAAGGCAGGCGGATCACTTGAGGTCAGGAGTTCAAGACCAGCCTGGCCAACATGGTGTAACCCCGTCTCCACTAAAAAGACAAAAATTAGCCAGGCGTGGTGGTGGGTGTCTGTAATCCCAGCTACTCGGGACGCTGAGGCAGGAGAATCACTTGAACCTGAGAGGTGGAGGTTGCAGTAAGCCGAGATCGCACCACTGCACTCCAGCCTTGGCAACAGGGTGAGACTCCATCTCAAAGAAAAAAAAAAGAAAGAAAAAAGAAAATACAAATCACCTATACTACTGCCACATAAGCACTATCAATAAATTTTATCAATCTCTTCCTGGGTGCCTACCAGATGTGTGCATGCACGCGTGCACACACACACACACACACACACACACAAATTTCTTCCACTGCATTCATTACAGCATGCTTTTCTCTCTTACCACTATATTGGGAATACTTCCCCATGTCACTAAAACTTTTAGAAAACACCATTTATAATGAATACATAACTCCCCATCAGATGGTTGTCCAACTACTTATTCAATCATTCCTTGTCATTGGGCAATTAGACTGAAATATATTTTTATCCATAAATGTAAATATTTTTCCATGCTTCTGAAGCTGCCTCAAGCCTTAGTTATATAAATGGAATTTCTAAATCAATGTTTCTAAACATTTTTAAATTTCTTGATGCCTAGCTCCAAACTGCTTTTCAGTAAAGTTGACCCAGTTTTCTCTTTCCATTGGCAGCGTTTTTGAGGGCCAGTCTCAGTCACCATTACAACATTTTTAATCCTTAGCAATTCATAGCTGGAAGATAGGATTCTATTGTTTTATTTAGGATGAATTTATATTATTAGTGAAGTAAAACACAAATTTCATGGTTATTAGCAATTTTAATTTCTTCTTTGCTCTAATTGGCATGTCCTTTTATACTGGGTTATTATTATATTAATATTTTATTATTAATTGGCTAGTCCATATAATTTTAATTCAAATACTATAGTCATTCAAGTTAGCATCTAAACAGATTTTATGCTAAAAGATATGAAAAGAATGACAGTGGAGAGTTTGGGAAAAAGATACAGTAGGTATAATAATGTGATTGTAAAACCACTTTTGCTCTAGTAGAACATATTATTTTGTAATTTGTAATGTTTAAATAAGTGATTCAACTACATAAGCATTAAAAATCTCTGAATATTAAAAATGGTAATATGTTATCAACATGACAGACATATTTGGCATGAAAAACATTGAAACCACACTAAAATATAAGCAAAAGACGTAAACAGGCTATTTCTTCTCAATTTACATGTATTTCTTCCTATGTGAAGAAATACATGTAAATTGAGACATGCAAAATGCCAACATTTTTAGTGATCAAAATGAAAGCAAATAAATGCATATTCAAACACTAACATATTATCTCTTATCACATTTAATAAAATTGCTTAGAAGCATCTTAGTGCTGTTGAGGATACAATGAAATGGTGCCCTTACTTGGCTAGTGACAGGGTAAAATCACTAAATCTTTTCTGAAACCCCACGGGTGTATGTAGCAAGAGCCACAAAGATGCTCATTTACCTTGATTAAGTGATCCAGGAAATCCATCTCAAAGGTATAACTTCAACTAATAGAAAAGATATATACATGCACAAAAAATTCACTCTGTCATTATTACAATGGTAGAATACTTATAAGAAATACACAAGCCAAACAAAGGGAAACAAACGTGGTATACTCATAAGATGAAGTTTCATAGAACCATTAAAATACCACATATTTTACTATCCCACACATGGTCAAAGCTGTTACTTTATGATTTAGTGAACAACAATGATATGGTAGCCACTTATCTACTTGATGCCATTTAATGCTCATGGATTTTTTTCCTATTTTGATAAAATGAACATAACATAAAATTTACCATCAGATTAAGTACATTCACAATGTTTTGCAATCATCACTAATCATCCGGCTCCAGAACTCTTTTCATCTCGCAGAACTGATATTCCGTACCCATTAAATATCAACTCCCCTTGCCCGCTCCCACTGGGCCCTGGCAACCCCCTTTCCACTTTCTTGTCTCTGTGGATTTTACTTCTCTAGGGACTTCCTATAAGTGGAATCCACTATTTGTCTTTTTGTGACTGTCTTACTTAACTCGGCATAATGTCCTCAAGGTTCACCCATGTTGTTGCATGTGTCTGAATTTTCTTCCTTTTTAGGGCTGAATAATATTCCATTGGGTGTATTTTGTTTGTTTATCCATTCATCCATCAACGAACATGTGGGTTGCCTCTACCTTTTTACCACTGCAAACAATGCTACTGTGAACACAGACATACAAACATTGCTCACAACGATTTTGCCAGAGACATATGGTCCCCATTAAACAGATGAGGAAATCAAGGTCTCCCTATGAGTTTTTTCACACAACAGTGAGGACGTAAGAGGATTCAGTCATACGCGAACCAGGTTTCAACCGGGGATGAAGCTCAACCTCCTACTATGACCTGAGCTTCTGAATGGAGAAACCTGAAGCCATGAAGTGACAACAAATGTCACACAGGCTGTAGCCCAGATAAGAAATCACAGCTGTGTGGTAACTGACACGAGGCTGTCAAGAATATTTTATGGGATTAGGCTCTTCTTTCATGACAGCAATATGGGGTCAGGAAAGATTTCCACTCGCCAGCAAACACTTTCAGACATAACCTGCCACTGACGTTATTTGTGGAGAGGTTTAAAGAAGCTTGGTTGTTTAAAAGAAACTACTACCATTCAAATTCAAGATTCATTTGCCTTGACAAACAGCACAGTGATGCCCTTGCCAAACTCACCTTTAAGTTTCTTTACTTTATTTCTCCAAAGTAAAAGAACCTGTGTAAAAATACACAGTGCAAATGATCAAAAGGATTAAGGGACTCAGAACCACTTACAGAAATGCCCACACTTTACAGGAACCAGCCAACGTGCTAGGCTAATTTCATTCCAGAGACCAATCTGCAAATACTTTCTTGTGCTTCCAGAGATGAAAGGCCAGATCTTAAAAATACTTCAAGCCGTGTCTTCACATAACATCGCGCACATAGCATGATAGATGTGACGTGCAAACATGCTTGTTAACAATTCACAGCAGCATTACGGGGGCTTTAACGTTGCTGTTCAAAAATATCTTGAAAGAAAAAATGAAAAGGATGATGTCCTCTCTAAGCATCTCCCTCCACTGCCTTACCCCACAGCCCCAGAGGAAGATGAACAAATGGAGAGGGGTTGATTAAAGGCAGCCATTCCTTGGATTAGACGAAGCATCCAATCCAAGAAGAGACATACAAGCATGACCTGGGGCCAGGAAAATCAGGCATTCTGGGGTCATCTAGCTACATGGAAGCTAAGTCATCCATGGAACTAGGTGCCTTTAAAGAGAACCCCGAGATAAGTCAACCAATGTTTACAGTCCTCCAGCACAGCTTCCTATCCGTGGAGAAAATGTCACCTTTGATTCTTCCAGGTTAGGATAATTAGATTTTGCTACTGTTGGGCTGCTGGGACAAGAACAAGAGAGCAGGGAACTGGCCCACGCAGTACATAAGAAC